>NC_000020.11:45405628-45708658 GCF_000001405.40 Homo sapiens | reverse complement strand
TATGGCTGATTATTTTTGATTGTCTCTTCTTATGACTATAGTTTTTATATCATTTCTGTAGAGAGAACAGAAGGATAATTCAATCTTTGCTCTAGCATGGTTGATCAAAAATTTAAAGTTATTATTGGTAGTTTAGGAAAGATTATTTCCATTTCCATAACTTATCAGTAATGCCACACTGTCATGTCCTCTGCAGTTTCTGGCTCAGGTGGTGCTACATGCCGGGGGCAAGACCTTGGAGAGTTCTAGCCCTTTGATTTTGATTTCATGGCACCTTATTGCAGCCTCTTAGTCACTGATCCAACTCTATCAGGTCCTCACCACCCCCACTGTGCCTGTCCTGGGTTCATGATATGGCCATGAAGCCTTGAAGGCTGGCCCCAAGGAGGTTGCCATGCAGTGTCTGGTTGATATTTCTCCTTGAGGTTAAATATGGGATCAATTAGCCTGATGAGTGCAACCAAGGGCAGGTAATCAGTGAGGGTTGTCCAGATGTTGATGTGGTAGGTCCTTAAGACCACCACCAGGGCACACACAGCATCCCTGGACTGGAACAGTGCTGCTTGTCTCTATGCCAAAGTGGGGTTTCTGATTCCTCTCCTCATCCCAGGAGGAAACTGTGCTGAGCTTTGGAAGGGGCTCTTGCAAGTGTTGACCTAAAGCTTAAGCTTCAAGAGTTTTATGGTAGATTAGCCTTTATTGCCAAACTCAAAAACGATTTGCAGGTTAGATATTGGGCCTCCAGTTTCTTGCTTCTCAATACCTTCCTAAAGGTGGACCAAGAAAAAACATCGTAGAGGCCTGTGGGGAAGGAAAGATAATTAGTCCATTTATTCTTCTTGATTCTTTAAACATCCTTGGACATCATGTTGGGTCTCTAGAGAATTACTGTCATTGAACTGTCTGTTGTCAGGCTATGCTTAGGAACTCCTTAAAGAAATAGCCCCCAAAAACTTTTCCTGGAGTCTAACATGAGGCTGTCATAGAGGGTGTCCTCTGTCATGATCACCTTTAATTAGCCATCATTTTTTAGACATCAGCTTTATGTAGCTTAAAGCAATGCTTTCCATTAGAACTTTCTGTGTTCTGTATTTATAATGTGTAATATGGTAGCTACTAACCACATGTGGTTATTAAACACTTGAAATGGAAAATAAGGCTAAGGAACTGATTGAATATTTTATTTTATTGTAATTCATATGAATTAACATTTAAATAGCCTCTCGTGACCAGTGCCTACAGTATTGGATAGATCAAACTCAGATTATTAAAACAGTGATAGCCAACCTGTATGTAAGAGACCTGCCTCACTCAGGTCAACTCGAACCACATATGGTCAGTTTCTGGTAGTAAAAGAGTCTATAGATTTTTCTGAACAGTATTTCCTGCCCTGGATCAGGGGTCACTAGGTTATGGTAGGCCAAAGATAGGACACTACAAAAGACAAAGAGAGGGACTAATTCTGTCTGGAGTGAACTGGTGAAGTTTCTATGGAGTGTTTAATTTAATAGAAACCTTGAAGCATGAGTGGGAGCTCATCCGCAGCATGGTGGGCTCACCGGAGCCTGGGCAAGTGCTCATGCGTCTAAACTGCTCCACTGGCCTCCACCTGCTACTATTTATCACGCTCCTTTGTACAGGGTTAATAAAAGGACTAAGCTGAAAGACCACCATTCTAATTTGGAACATCTGGAGACATCAGAAGGCCCATTAGAAGACCCTAAACTTCTAACTTTTTCTTTCAAATACTCTGAAACGAAATCCACCAACTTATGAATACTATCATTTTTTTGGTGGTGGAATTCCACAGGACTCCATTTTGTTCACCATTCTTGAAGCATCAGTAAAATAATAAAGATGATTCCCACTCCCTCTTTTTTTTTTTTTGAGACGGAGTCTCACTCTGTCGCCCAGGCTGGAGTGCAATGGTGCACTCTTGGCTCACTGCAACCTCTGCCTCCTGGGTTCAAGCAATTCTCCTGCTTCAGCCTCCTGAGTAGCTGGGATTCCAGGTGTGCACCATCACACCCAACTAATTTTTGTATTTTTAGTAGAGACAGGGTTTCACTCTGTTGGTCAGGCTGGTCTTGAACTCCTGACCTCGTGATCCGTCCACCTTGGCCTCCGAAAGTGCTGGGGTTACAGGTGTGAGTCACCATACCCGGCCCACTCCCTCTTTTTTCAGAGAAAAAACTGGAACCTGAATGAGTGACCTTGTAAGTGAGTTGCTGGCAGTTTCTACCTTTGCAGAGACCAAGTTCTTCCATCTACATGGCCTTGTGTTGTCCTCCCAATACCCCAAGGCATGGATGTTTTCTTCATATTTCACATGAGGGAGGTGACTGTCTCAGAGAGGTACAGTGAGCAGACCAAAGTCTCAGAGCGTGAAGGGCTCAGCTTGAGTCCCTGCCCAGGGTGCTGTCAACCCGGAGGCTAGAAGAGCTTGTTCCTTGACAAAGCCTCAGATCTGAGTGCCCTGGGTTCCCCCTGGGCCATGACTTGGTTCCTTACATTGCTCTGTGTTGCAGAATTCATGCTGGACTGCACCGTGCCTCCCCCAGGGAGTGCAAAGATAGCCCTTGGAGGGGAATGATGGAGGAGGAGGCAATCAGGTAATGAGAGGCCATTCTGAGCTTGTGGGAATGTAGTGCCCCTGGTGAGGCTACAGGAAGAAAGTGAGCATCCCTGGGAATCTCACATGAGGAAGGCGAGACCAAATCCCTGTACTTACAAAATGATCTAGGAAATATGCCTCAGTTGGCAGGCATGATGACTTCTGAGCCCTTGTGTTTGATTCTGTAGAAGAAAAATATTTTCAAATATTAACTAGTGAAGTTTTACTTTTAGAGATATATATTTTTCTTTCAATTACTTCCACCATTAATATTAGACCATGAAGCTCATTTCTCTTGCCATAGGGAAGGCAGAACCTCAAAAAACTCAATGACACCAAAGAGTTATATTTATGCTTCTGCATTCCAATGTAGAGCATTGAAAGATGTGGAATTTAATTGCAAGGGCTAGTCTCTTCAAAGAGAAGTGGTTGCCTAATCCCCAAAATTCACAGCAATTATGTTGGCAAGTAATGTTTTAAAGCTTACATGGATTGTCTATTTTAACCTCACTATTATTGTTCCAGTCTTAAGGATGAGGAAGTTGATGCCCAGAGAGAGGTTAATTAGCTTGTCTAAGATCACTTAAGGTCACTTAGCTAAGAAGCCAGGATTTGAGCCCAGGTGTTTGGCTTTGAGCCCATGCTTAATCACTCTGCACATTATCTCATGCTGGGTATTCTGCTCATGGTAGGGAATACAGCAGGGAACAAGACTGCCAGGCTTCCCTCAAAGGGCTCATTGGTTGAGTCTTCCACTGTGAGTCTTTTGAAATTTCATATGGGCCTTGCAAAGCAGGAAAAAACAAGAGTACTTATTTTACTCATGAGAAAAAGAAAGTAAAAAAGAGGGAATTGTCTTACTCAAGGTCATAGAAAGACATAGTTGCAAGATGGGATTAGAAACCATATGTCTCATCAGCACCCTATGTCCTTTCTCTGCCCTGGGAGCACACTCCATTTAGCAGGCTTGCGGCTAGTGTTAATGTCTGGACAATTAATCAAAACTTCCTTTGGGCTGGATCTCCAGAGCCCAAGAACACTGGTGGCCAAAGGATGGTGTCTTGTGAAAGGAGGGCAAGCAAAAGTGTAGGACAAATTTTGCTTTGGGATTTTGGTTACACCTGCAGGTACAGTGTCCCTGGGATAAGGGTGGATTCTGGGTCGGGGGAAGGTCTGTGGATAAAGGCATTTGTGGGTGTGTTCAGAGAGGCAGAGTCAGAAATTCACGGATATGGTGATGGGATGTGGTGATTGGGAGGGGAGGAGGGCTTTTCTAATCAGGACTTTTATGGAAATTATCCTTGGTCAAGAGAAGGGGCATGTTGGCAACATGGCCACCAAGGAAAAAAAAAAAAAAGGAGAGATCCAGCACAGTTGCTGGTAAGGGACTCTTCTGCTGGGCTCCCACCAGCAGCTCTAGGATCAGACCTGGATATGAGATATCTCTTACCTGTTGCGCTTTTGAAATGTTTCTGATGAACAGACTATCCCACAGAAGGAGGAACAGCACTGAAATCCTTTCTCGCAATCTTCCTGCATTGTACACAGGTGAGTACAGTTTTCAGGTGCTGATATGCAGGGTGGAGGTTCCAAGATATACTCTGGAACACAGAACAAGTAAGAGAAGGGCCTCACCAACAGGCTGGAGTAATGTTCAGAACTCAGAAAGCCCAGGGAACTGCCAGGAAACCTGCCACCCTCATCTGCCTTGCATGGTTCCAGGGTGGTGGCATCAGGTTTTGTCCTCAGCTGCTGCCTTCCTCTGAGTTCTGAGCAGGGAAGCAGGGCATGGATATTTTTTGATCAAGAACAGAGTTTGGTAGAACCCTGCACCCATTGGTCATTCACCATCCTTGTAGTTCAGATGCCAAGCCCCCATTGACTATGGTTGTGTCCATATCAAGGGTATCAATGGTGTATGTGGTGAACAAGAAAGAGGTTTGTATGTTCGTTCTGCACTGATTCATTGTGTGGTCTTGAGCAAGTTGTAGAGCTTCTCATTAACAACATAGTTTACCCTGGGGTTAACCTAACATGGGTTATTTGTGTACAGGAAGAATGAGTGAAAGGTAAGTTTTGGTAAAGGATGAAGACCATGCATTAAACTGAAGGTACTGGATCAGAGAGCTGGGACCCAATTCACAAGTAAGTTCTGGGAGTGACTTCTTTCATGGTAAGAAGGGTGGGGATTTCAGAATGGCGTTCAAAGATTCAGCTTTTTTCTTCCTTGGTGTCTCTCGATCAGGAGGCCAGAGCACCAGGATGCCCCACTTTCTACTGTTAGAGAAGAATAAGCATCATTATGTTGACTTCCTATTTCCTCCCCTACCCCCAAGTATTTCAGTTCAAAGCTAAGACCTACCTGCCCTGGGAGAGTCTTCCCTAAGTCCACAACCCACAATCTCCTTTCTATTCCTGGACTCTAAAGATGGGCCCCATTAATCCCTTTCCCCAAGCCCTTCCAGGTCCTAATTTTTGTACCTTGTGATTCTCCCTTTCTTTGGGGGCAAAAGTCAAAAGTGGGGCATTCTATTGCAAATAGAGGAATTGTGGGTCTATTCCTCTGCAAATATTTGCAATTAGAAGGAAATCTATAGGATATTATGATGATTTGAAAGGAATGAATGAAGAAAGAGGTCATGACTATAACTGTAGTAGCAAATGGCACCAGAATTGGGGTAAAAGAAGCTGAGGTTCAAGCTGTTGACAATTTAACAGAGACCAATAACTAGTACTCACCCCTGGCCTCTCAGCTATTCTATAGCTCACTGGGGCACTGCAAGAAATTGGAACTAATCCACACTTTGAAGAGCTTGGGGCTCAACAGAGCAGTTTAGAGATAGACACCATGATCCAGAGATCTCAGAGAGGTCACCCTTTTCAAGTCTTGACCCCTCTTCTGGGTATCTGGTCCCAACTTCACTCACAGCATTTACCAGTCTTTTAGAAAGCCTCTTTGTGCCTTTCCTCAAATTCTGATTCTCCAATTAACTCTACCCTGGGCACTCCTATTTTCTTGTAGCTTGCTTAGTCCCTCTTAGTCCTACAAACCTGCATGCCTTTTCTGAAACTTCTTAAGCAGGACCTAGCCTCCCCAGACACATGAGCTACCACACTTATCCCTCTTCTGAGCCGCCAGTATTCTGAAGATGTTTTCCCCATAGAAGAGTGGATGTATGATGAATAACAGTTCTTTTCCCACTTGGTATTGGTTAAGGTCAACATTACTAGAGCCAGAGCTCTTTTGAGTTGAGCTGGGCAGTGGTGGCTGCTGAGATGGACTCTACACTGTCCCATTGATGCTAATTACCGGTAATTGTACAGTACCTCTGGAGTTTGAAAATGTGGAATAAAAGGCAAGACTTCCTTTCCCTCCTTCCCAAAACATCCTCCAAGGCCAAGGTTATGTAGATTCTAGCTTGAGTTCTACCAACTTCGTTGTCTCTCTGTTTTATTGCTTGAAAAGTGAGTCCAAGCATCCATGAAGGAGCCACGGGCAGCAAGACTAAGCTGGATGATGAGGCTGATCACATTTACAGCATTTAATATTACTGAGCATTTACCATGGTTTAGTAAGAGTGAGCTATGTCTGCATGCATTATCTGTTCTCCTCCTGTATTCATTATAAGGATAAAAACCTGAGGCCCAGATACTATGCCCAAGGTCACTCAGCAACAGAGCAGGGATTCAAACCTAGATCTTGCCAACAATAAAGCTTGGGCCCTTGAACATGACACGGTATTTTTCCAAGAGGTGTGACAGACTGTCAGCCCTCAGATCCTCTCCTATCCACACATGTTACTTCCCTCCTTGGGCCCAGATCCAGCACCTACTCAGAACACGCTGCTTGGGACTCCCAGGCACCAGCTGCAGTGCTAGGCAGAACACCACCAGGAACTGGAGAGGCAGCACAGGCTTCATGGTGTCAGTGGGATGGGTGAGTAAGTTCTGGCCAAGGGTTGCTGGGTTTGACCAGGCACTGCTGTGAGGAGAAGAGAAGGAAAGAGGGCAAAGTGGAGGCCCAGTGTGACTAGCCTTTCACCGTGTACTCCAATCAAAACCGGCAGGGCAGGAATCCAAGCACCTCCCAATCACACCCACTCCAGGGTCACGTAGTGTTTTCATATCCTCCTTTATTCCCCTAATCTTGACCTTGCTATCTCTTTCATCTGTATCTAGATCTTATTCATGTCCCTTAACATTTTTTTATAATTTTCCCCTGTGGAAATTGTACATGTTATATTTATTCACAGAGGATTGAATTTTTTTTTTTTTTTTTTGAGATGATGGAGTCTGGCTCTGTCACCCAGGCTGGAGTGCAGTGGTGCGATCTCTGCTCACTGCAGCCTCTTCCTCCCAGGTTCAAGCAATTCTTGTGTCTCAGACTCCTGAGTTGCTGGGATTACAGGCGTGTACCACCATGTCCAGCTAATTTTTGTATTTTTAGTAGAGATGGGGTTTCACTGTGTTATCCAGGCTAGTCTTGAACTCCTGACCTCAGGTGATCTGCCCTCCTCAGCCTCTCAAAGTGCTAGGATTACAGGTGTGAGCCACCGCGCCTGGTCTGAGGCTTGAAGTTTTTAAAAGGAAATTGTAAATGTTATCATAACTTTTCAACTAATTCCTTTTGTTTACTGCTAATGTAGAGAAGTTAACTTTCCAGTTTGCTCAAAAATCTCCACCATGACAATTATTTGACCTCACTGAAACCAATAAACATTGACTCTTCACTTCCCTATTTCGTAGTCCTCCCCTATAGGCGTTTACTTTTCTTTCTATCAATGTAGGACTCAGAACCTGTCATTTAAATCTCCTTGCTTGAATCTACCTACAAAAACTGCAACCCTGAATGAATCCAACCATCAATTTCATTGAAGCTTGAACCTAGGCAGATAATTGTTGCTGGGGGAAAATAACTCAACTGGGCTACTAAACAGCACAATAGATGCACCATCACCAAACCAAAAAGGGTCTGGCAATCTTACTAAGTTTCTTCAGTAAGCCAGTGTTCCCACTTTCTACAAATACTATTTCAAACTTGCTTTCCTCTCTTTAAAGCTTGGATCTTTTCTTCTTTCCACAAATTTGTAACTAGTTAGCTTGCTAAATTCTCCCATTGTTTATTATGGTTTCTTTGTGTGTTCTCTTCAGTGTTTATCATAGGCAAATAAGCAGTTATAGTTTTCTTCTTCAAACTTTATGCCATTTTTAATGCCTCACTGTGCTCGCTAGGCCCTTGAGTACATCATATGTAAGTGGTGATAGTGTGTATTTTTGTCTGATACCTGATTTAAAATGAAAACTTCTTGTTTCCCCTTTTAGAATTGTCTCCACTTTAGGTTTCTCATAAGTACCCTCTATCAGGTTTAGAAATTTTTCTTTCATTCCTAACAAGAAATTTTAAATTAGTTTATGTCAGATTATATGTATTGCTTTTTTCTATGTATATTGAGATGATAACATTTTTATATCCTTTAATCTGTTAATGCAGTGAACATTCAGATTTTCAAACATTAAGCCATTTCTATGGTAATATAAGGTGATCATTGAATATTATCATTTTTATATTGTTTGGTTTAGTTTGCTATTTTTAAGGTATTTTACATCTATGTTCATAATGAACTGGGCCTGTAACTTGTCTTTCTCATATTGTCCTTGCTTGGTTTCATAGCAAGTTTATGCTGACTTCATAGGATGTGCTGAGTAGCAGCCCTTCTTTATCAATTCTCTATAAATTCTTGATTTAAGATAATTAGTTACTTGAACTCTCAACTCTGTTTTTCTTGCACGAATATACCCATTTGCACCTTGTTGTTTTCATTTAACAATATATCCTGAAAACTGCTCTCCAGTAGTTCATAACAATTTTTCCTCTATTACAGCTGCATTTGACATACACCTTAGTCATATAGCCAGTCTCCTATATTTGGGCATTTAGGTAGTTTCCAAGATTTTGCTATTATAAATAATGCTGCAATGAACAATTATGCATAATTTTCTGTATTGTTGGAGGTATAATATCAGTAAATTTCTAAAAGTGTGATCATTGGTTAAAAGGATAAATGCACGGCTGGGTGCGGTGGCTCACGCCTGTAATCCCAGCACTTTGGGAGGCTGAGGAGGGCAGATCATGATGTCAGGAGTTCGAGACCAGCCTGGTCAACATGGTGAAACCCCATCTCTACTAAAAATACAAAAATTAGATGGGCGTGGTGGCACATGCCTGTAGTCCCAGCTACTCAGGAGGCTGAGGCAGAAGAATCGCTTGAACCCGGGAGGCAGAGGTTGCAGTGAGCCAAGATCAAGCCACTGCACTCCAGCCTGGGTGACAGAGCTAGACTTTGTCTCAAAAGAGAAAAAAGAGGATAAATGCACATATAGTTTGGCTAGATATTGCCGATTTCTACTTCATAAAGATTATACCTTTTTGTAATGCCACCAACAATGTGACTGTGCACGTTTCCTACAGTCTCACTAACAGAACGTGTTGTCATGCTTTTGAATTTTTTCCAAAACAATTGGGTAGGAAATGTTATTTCTGTAGTTTTTGAGGTTCATTTACTATGTAGCATGCACCAGTACTTCATTCCATTTTATGGGTGAATAATACTCCATTGTATATATATATATCACAATTGTTTATCCATTCATCTGTTGATGGACATTTCAGCTGTTTCCTTGCTTTGGCAATTGCAAATAATGCAGCTATGAACATTTGTAGATGAATATTTTTTTGAGTATATATTTTTAACTCATTTGGGTAAATATTTGGGAGTAGAACTGCTGGGTCATATGTTTAACTTTGTATGTTTACTTTTTTGAGGAAACTCCAAACTCTTCCCACAGCGGCTGAACAATTTAATACTTCTATCAGCTATGCACGAGGGTTCCAATTTCTCCACATGCTTGTCAGCACTTATTATTTTCCTTTTTAGAAATTATAGCCAGTCAAAAAATGTGAAGTGGTATCTCATGGTTTTTATTTGTATTTCCCTAATAACTAATGATGTTGAGCATTTCTTTCTTCTTCTTCTTCCCCCTCCCCCTCCTTCTCCTCCTTCTTCTTTTTTTTTTTTTTAGATGGATTCTCACTCTGTCGCCCAGGCTGGAGTGCAGTGGTGTGATCTCAGCTCACTGCAACCTCCACCTCCTGGGTTCAAGCGATTCTCCTGCCTCAGCCTCCTGAGTAGCTGGGATTACAGGCGCCTGCCACCCACACCTGACAAATTTTTGTATTTTTAGTAGAGACAGGGTTTCACCATGTTGGCGAGGCTGGTCTTGGACTCCTGACCTCAGGTGATCCACCTGCTTTGGCCTCCCGAAGTGCTGGGATTACAGGCATGAGCCACCGTGCCCAGCCGATATTGAGCATATTTTCATGTGCTTGTTGGTCATTTTTATATTTTCTTTGAAGAAATGTATATTCAAGTCCTTTGCCCATTTTGTAATTGGGTTTTTTTTTTTTTTTCTTCTTGAGTCATAAGAGTTCTTTAATATATTCTGGATACTCACCAGATAGATGATTTTTTCAAATATTTTCTCCCATTCCATAGGCTGTCTTTTCACTTTTTTGATAGTCATTTGAGGCACAAAAATTTTTAACTTTGATGAAGTCCGATTTTTTTTTCTTTTGTTACTGTGCTTTTGGTGTCTTTTCTAAGAATCCATTGCCCAATCCATAGTCATGAAGATTTACTTCTACATTTCTTCTAAGAATTCTGTAGCTTTTATATTTAAATCATTGGCTTATTTTTGAATCAGGAAGTGTGAATTCTACTTTTTGAAGACTGCTTTGGCTATCCAAAGCCTTGGCTTCGGTTCAGCCTTGCTGGGAAAAACATGCAACTGGCTGGGTCACACAGCCAACAAGGCACTCTCTGTTTTTCACTCAGAACGCACAAAATGGGGGAAATGGGAGACCCTACAAAGTACAACAATGAAAAGGCAGTTTTGTATGAACTCGAGGATCAAGTTTTCTGTTTCTCAAATAAAGAAAAATCCGGCCAGGTGTGGTGGCTCACACCTATAATCCCAGCACTTTGGGAGGCCGAGGCGGGTGGATCACCTGAGGCCAGGAGTTCGAGACCAGCCTGGCCAACATAGTGAAACCCCATCTCTACTAAAAATATAAAAATTAGCCAGGAGTGGTGGCACACTCTGGTAGTCCCAGCTACTCGGGAGGCTGAAGCAGGAGAATTGCTTGAACCTGGGAGGCGGAGGTTGCAGTGAGCTGAGCTCGCGCCACTGCACTCCAGCCTGGGTGACGGAACGAGACTCCATCTCAAAAAAAAAAAAAAAAAAAGAAAAAGAAATACCTGTTGGAACTTGATTGGAATTGCATTGTAATGCCGTCTTAATAATTTTAAGTCTTCCAATATAGAATATAGGATGTCAGCTAGGTGTGGTGGCTCACGCCTATAATCTCAGCACTTTGAGAGGCCAAGGCAGGTGGTTTGCTTGAGCTCAGGAGTTCGAGATCAGCCTGGGCAACATGGCAAAACCCTGTCTCTACAGAAAATACAAAAATTAGCTGGGCGTAGTGGCATGCGCCTATAGTCCCAGCACCTGGGAGATGGAGGTTACAGTGAGCCAAGATCATGCCACTGCACTCCAGCCTGGGTGACAGAGCCAGACGCTGTCTCAAAAAAAAAAAAAAAAAAAAAAATGATGGGATGTCTTTCTATTTCTTGAGGTCTTCTATAATTTCTTTCAGCAATGTTCTGTATTTTGTGGTATACAAGTCTTTTACCTCCATGGTTAAATTTATTTCTAGGTATTTTATCCTTTCATAGCCTGTTGTAAATCAAATTGTTTCCTTAATTTCCTTTTTGGATTGCTCATTGCTGGTGTTTACAAAAACAGCTGAGATAGTTTTACTTTCTTCCCAATTTGGATGACTTTTATTTCTTTTTATTACTTGATTGCTTTGGTTAGAACTCCATTACAATGTTGACTAGCAGTGGTGAAAGATGCATCCTTGTCTTATTTCTGATCTTGGGAGAAAGATTTTGATCTTTTGCAATTGAGTATAATGATCATTGTATATAGTTTTTTATAGGTACCTTTAATCATGTTAAGGAAGTCCTTTATTTCCTAGTTTTCTGAATTTTTTTTAATTATAGAAGGGTGGTGAATTTTGTGAAATGCTTTTTCTGTATCAGTTAAGATTGGAAAACTTTGAGAAGGATTGGTGTTAATAAAAAAATGTTTGGTATAGATTTTATCAGTGAAGTCATCTAGCCCTAGGCATTCTTTTTGTTGAAGAGAGTCATGTGTATTTTTCAAAAATTACTGATTCTATCTCTTTATTTGTTATAGGTCTGTTAATATTTTCTATTCCTTCTCAAGTCAGTTTTGGTGATTTGTGAGTTTCTAGGAATTTGTCCATTTCATCCAAGGTTATCTAATTTGTTGGTGTAAAATTGTTCATAGTATTCTCTTATAATTTTTTTAGTTCTGTAAGGTTGGTGGTGATGTCCCACTCTAATTTCTGATATTAGTTATTTGTGTCTTTTCTCTTTTCTTCTTAGTCAATCTAGCTAAAGATTTTCAATTTTATTGATCTTTTAAAAAAACCAAGCTTTGGTCTTGTTGATTCTTTTTATTGGTTTTCTATTTCCTATTCCATTTTTCTGTGCTCACATGTTTATTATTTCCTTCCTTCTGCTAGCTTTGGGTGTATTTGTTCTTCTCTTTCTAGTTTCGTATGATGTAAAGTTAGGTTGCAGATTTGAGATCTTTTTTTTTTTTTTTTTTTTTGAGACGGAGTCTTGCTCTGTCGCCTAGGCTGGAGTGCAGTGGCGCGATCTTGGCTCACTGCAACCTCTGCCTCCTGGGTTCAAGCGATTCTCCTGCCTCAGACTCCTGAGTAGCTGGGACTACAAGGCTCATACCACCATGCCCAGTTAATTTTTGTATTTTTAGTAGAGGTGGGGTTTCACTGTGTTAGCCAGGATGGTCTCGATCTCCTGACCTCGTGATCTGCCTGCCTCGGCCTCCCAAAGTGCTGGGATTACAGGCGTGAGCCACTGCGCCTGGCCGTGCTCTTTTTTAATGTAAGTATTTACAGTTATAGATTTTCTACCCTGAGAACTACTTTTACTGCATCTCATAAGTTTTTGGATGTTGTGTTTTGTGTTTTCATTTTCATTCATCCGAAAGTTTTTTTTCTAAGTAGTTGGGACTACAGGTGCATACCACCATGCCCAGTTAGTTAGTTTTTTGTAGAGACAGGGTCTTTTTATGTTGCCAGGCTGGTCTTGAATTCCTGGGCTCAAGTGATCCACCCACCTCAGCCTCCCAAAGTGCTGGGATTACAGGCATGAGTCAACATGCCTGGCTCAAATTATTTTCTAATTTCCGTTGTGATTTATTCTTTGACTCATTGGTTGTTTTAGAGTGTATTAATTTCACATTTTTGAGAATTTTCCAGTTTTCCTTCTCTTATTGATTTCTAGCTTTGTTCCATTGTGGCTGGAGAAGATAGTTTGTATAATTTCAATCTTTTAAAATGTATTTAGGCTTGTTTTGTGGCCTAACATGTAGTTTATCCTGGAGTATGTTCCATATGTGCTTGAGAAGAATATGCATTCTCTTCTTGTCTTAGGTCTGTCTTAGGTTTATAGTGTTGTTTAGTACCCTATTTCCTTATTGATTTTTCTGTCTACATGTTCTATTCATTATTGAAAGAGGGCCTGGAATGCTTTCCAACACCAACAACCAATTCTCCTATCTCTGGACACCAACTGGGTGTTCCAAAATTTAATTTAATTCTGACACTAACTACTTGAAGTTAGTGCAGACCCCACAGCTTATAGGCTTGATTTCACAAGACTACTCCCAACTTCAGGTGCCAGTTGCAAGTCTTGGGCCTCCTGCACTTTTGATCTACTGGCTATAAATCAGGGGCTCCCACAATCCCATCTGAAAGTTTGATAATTTGCTGAAACAGCTCACAGAACTCAGGAAACACTTTACTTAAGGTTTATCAGTTTATTATAAAGGATACAAATGAATAGCCAGATGAAGTAAATAGGGTGAGCTTCAGAAGGGTCCCAAGCACAGGAATTTCTGTCCTTGTGAGTTGTGTGTGCCACCCTCCTGGCACATGGATGTGTTCACCAATTCAGAAGCTCATCAAATCTTATTGTTTAAGAGTTTTTATAGAGCTTCAACTCCTTCCTTCTTTAACTTCCTGGAGGAGAGTGGGTGGGTCTAAAATTTCCAGACCTCTAATCACTTGACCTTTCTGGTGACCAGCTCCATCCTGAGGCTACCTAGGGGCCCCACTCCAAGTAACCTCATTAGCAGAAACTGAGGTGGAATCGAAAGGGGCTTCTTATGAATATCAAAAGACACACCCATCACTCAGGAAATTCCAAGAGTTTTAGGAACCTTGTGCCAGGAACTGGGGACAAAGACCAAATATATTTCTTATGATGCCATGGTGGGATATTGAACTCTCCAACTATTTTGTAGTGCTTCGTCTCCCTTCAATCCTGTGGTGTTTGCTTCATATATTTTGAAGCTCTATTGCTTGGTGTGTATATGTTTATAATTTTTATATCTTTTTGATGAATTGACCCTTTTATCGATATATAATCATGTTTTTTGTTTCTTTTAACAATATTTGACACAATGTGTATTTTGTTTGACTTTAATATAATAATCACAGCTCTTTTTGCTACTATTTGCCATATGCAGAAAATTGAAACTGGGCCTCTTCCTTATGCCTTATACAAAAATTAACTCAAGATGGATTAAAGGCTTAACTGTAAAACTCCAGACTATAAAAACTCTAGAAGAAAATCTGGGCAATACCATTCAGGACATAGGCATTGGCAAAGATTTCATGACAAAATCACCAAAAGCAATTGCAACAAAAGCAAAAATTGACAAATGGCATCTAATTAAACTAAAGAGCTTCTGTACAGCAAAATAGACTATCATCAGAGTGAACAGACAACCTACAAAATGGGAGAAAATGTTTGCAATCTATCCACCTGACAAACGTCTAGTATCCAGAGTCTACAAGGAACTTAAATTTATAAGAAAAAACAAACAGGAGGAGGAGCCAAGATGGCTGAATAGGAACAGCTCCGTTCTACAGCTCCTAGCGTGAGCGATGAAGAGGACGGGTGATTTCTGCATTTCCATCTGAGGTACCGGGTTCATCTCACTAGGGAGTGCCAGACAGTGGGCGCAGGTCAGTGGGTGCAGCGCACCGTGCGCAAGCCGAAGCAGTGCGAGGCATTGCCTCACTCGGGAAGCGCAAGGGGTCAGGGAGTTCCTTTTCCTAGTCAAAGAAAGGGGTGACAGACGGCACCTGGAAAATCGGGTCACTCCTACCCCAATACTGTGCTTTTCCGACAGGCTTAAAAAACGGCGCACCAGGAGATTATATCCCACACCTGGCTCGGAGGGTCCTATGCCCACCGAGTCTCGCTGATTGCTAGCACAGCAGTCGGAGATCAAACAGCAAGGCGGCAGCAAGGCTGGGGGAGGGGCGCCCACCATTGCACAGGCTTGCTTAGGTAAACAAAGCAGCCGGGAAGCTCCAACTGGGTGGAGCCCACCACAGCTCAAGGAGGCCTGCCTGCCTCTGTAGGCTCCACCTCTGGGGGCAGGGCACAGACAAACAAAGACAGCAGTAACTTCTGCAGACTTACATGTCCCTGTCTGACAGCTTTGAAGAGAGCAGTGGTTCTCCCAGCATGCAGCTGGAGATCTGAGAATGGGCAGACTGCCTCCTCAAGTGGGTCCCTGACCCCTGACTCCTGAGCAGCCTAACTGGGAGGCACCCCCCAGTAGGGGCAGACTGACACCTCACACAGCTGGGTACTCCTCTGAGACAAAACTTCCAGAGGAACGATCAGACAGTAGCATTCGCGGTTCACGAAAAACCACTGTTCTGCAGACACCGCTGCTGATACCCAGGCAAACAGGGTCTGGAGTGGACCTCTAGCAAACTCCAACAGACCTGCAGCTAAGGGTCCTGTCTGTTAGAAGGAAAACTAACAAACAGAAAGGACATCCACACCAAAAACCCATCTCTACATTACCATCATCAAGACCAAAAGTAGATAAGACCACAAAGATGGGGAAAAAACAGAGCAGAAAAACTGGAAACTCTGAAAAGCACAGCACCTCTCCTCCTCCAAAGGAACACAGTTCCTCACCAGCAATGGAACAAAGCTGGACGGAGAATGACTTTGACAAGTTGAGAGAAGAAGGCTTCAGACGATCAAACTACGAGCTACAGGAGGAAATTCAAACCAAAGGCAAAGAAGTTAAAAACTTTGAAAAAAATTTAGACGAATGTATAACTAGAATAACCAATACAGAGAAGTGCTTAAAGGAGCTGATGGAGCTGAAAGCCAAGGCTCGAGAACTACATGAAGAATGCAGAAGCCTCAGGAGCCAATGTGATCAACTGGAAGAAAGGGTATCAGTGATGGAAGACGAATGAAATGAAGCGAGAAGGGAAGTTTAGAGAAAAAGGAATAAAAACAAATGAACAAAGCCTCCAAGAAATATGGGACTATGTGAAAAGACCAAATCTACGTCTGATTGGTGTACCTGAAAGTGACAGAGAGAATGGAACCAAGTTGGAAAACACTCTGCAGGTTATTATCCAGGAGAACTTCCCCAATCTAGCAAGGCAGGCCAACATTCAGATTCAGGAAATACAGAGAATGCCACAAAGATACTCCTCGAGAAGAGCAACTCCAAGACACATAATTGTCAGATTCACCAAAGTTGAAATCAAGGAAAAAATGTTAAGGGCAGCCAGAGAGAAAGGTCGGGTTACCCACAAAGGGAAGCCCATCAGACTAACAGTGGATCTCTCGGCAGAAACTCTACAAGCCAGAAGAGAGTGGGGACCAATATTCAACATCCTTAAAGGAAAGAGTTTCAACCCAGAATTTCATATCCAGCCAAACTAAGCTTCATAAGTGAAGGAGAAATAAAATACTTTATAGACAAGCAAATACTGAGAGATTTTGTCACCACCAGGCCTGCCCTAAAAGAGCTCCTGAAGGAAGCACTAAACATGGAAAGGAACAACCGTTACCAGCCACTGCAAAATCATGTCAAAATGTAAAGACCATGGAGACTAAGAAGAAACTGCATCAACTAACAAGCAAAATAACCAGCTAACATCATAATGACAGGTTCAAATTCACACATAACAATACTAACTTTAAATGTAATGGACTAAATGCTCCAATTAAAAGACACAGACTGGCAAATTGGATAAAGAGTCAAGACCCATCAGTGTGTTGTATTCAGGACACCCATCTCACATGCAGAGACACACATAGGCTCAAAATAAAAGGGTGGAGGAAGATCTACCAAGCAAATGGAAAATAAAAAAAGGCAGGGGTTGCAATCCTAGTCTCTGATAAAACAGACTTTAAACCAACAAAGATCAAAAGAGACAAAGAAGGCCATTACATAATGGTAAAGGGATCAATTCAACAAGAAGAGCTAACTATCCTAAATATATATGCGCCCAATACAGGAGCACCCAGATTCATAAAGCAAGTCCTGAGTGACCTACAAAGAGACTTAGACTCCCACACATTAATAATGGGAGACTTTAACACCCCACTGTCAACATTAGACAGATCAACGAGACAGAAAGTCAACAAGGATACCCAGGAATTGAACTCAGCTCTGCACCAAGCGGACCTAATAGACATCTACAGAACTCTCCACCCCAAATCAACAGAATATACATTTTTTTTCAGCACCACAACACACCTATTCCAAAATTGACCACATAGTTGGAGGTAAAGCTCTCCTTAGCAAATGTAAAAGAACAGAAATTATAACAAACTATCTCTCAGATCACAGTGCAATCAAACTAGAACTCAGCATTAAGAAACTCACTCAAAACCGCTCAACTACATGGAAACTGAACAACCTGCTCCTGAATGACTACTGGGTACATAACGAAATGAAGGCAGAAATAAAGATGTTCTTTGAAACCAATCAGAACAAAGACACAACATACTAGAACCTCTGGGACACATTCAAAGCAGTGTGTAGAGGGAAATTTATGACACTAAATGCCCACAAGAGAAAGCAGGAAAGATCCAAAATTGACACCCTAACATCACAATTAAAAGAACTAGAAAAGCAAGAGCAAACACATTCAAAAGCTAGCAGAAAGCAAGAAATAACTAAAATCGGAGCAGAACTGAAGGAAATAGAGACACAAAAAACCCTTCAAAAATTTAATGAATCTAGGAGCTGGTTTTTTGAAAGGATCAACAAAATTGATAGACCACTAGCAAGACTAATAAAAAAAGAGAGAAGAATCAAATAGATGCAATAAAAAATGATAAAGGGGTATCACCACCGATCCCACAGAAATACAAACTACCATCAGATAATACTACAAACACCTCTACGAAAATAAACTAGAAAATCTAGAAGAAATGGATAAATTCCTCGACACGTACACTCTCCCAAGACTAAACCAGGAAGAAGTTGAATCTCTGAATAGACCAATAACAGGAGCTGAAATTGTGGCAATAATCAATAGCTTACCAACCAAAAAGAGTCCAGGACCAGATGGATTCACAGCCGAATTCTACCAGAGGTACAAGGAGGAACTGGTACCATTCCTTCTGAAACTATTCCAACCAATAGAAAAAGAGGGAATCCTCCCTAACTCATTTTATGAGACCAGCATCATCCTGATACCAAAGCCGGGCAGAGACACAACCAAAAAAGAGAATTTTAGACCAATATCCTTGATGAACATTGATGCAAAAATCCTCAATAAAATACTAGCAAACCGAATCCAGCAGCACATCAAAAAGCTTATCCACCATGATCAAGTGGGCTTCATCCCTGGGATGCAAGGCTGGTTCAATATACGCAAATCAATAAATGTAATCCAGCATATAAACAGAACCAAAGACAAAACCACCTGATTATCTCAATAGATGCAGAAAAGGCCTTTGACAAAATTCAACAACCTTCATGCTAAAAACTCTCAATAAATTAGGTATTGATGGGACGTATCTCAAAATAATAAGAGCTATCTATGACAAACCCACAGCCAACATCATACTGAATGGGCAAAAACTGGAAGCATTCCCTTTGAAAACTGGCACAAGACAGGGATGCCCTCTCTCACCACTCCTATTCAACATAGTGTTGGAAGTTCTGGCCTGGGCAATTAGGCAGGAGAAGGAAATAAAGTGTATTCAATTAGGAAAAGAGGAAGTCAAATTGTCCCTGTTTGCAGATGACATGATTGCATATCTAGAAAACCCCATTGTCTCAGCCCAAAATCTCCTTAAGTTGATAAGCAACTTCAGCAAAGTCTCAGGATAGAAAATCAATGTTCAAAAATCACAAGCATTCTTATACACCAATAACAGACAAACAGAGAGCCAAATCATGAGTGAACTCCCATTCACATTTGCTTCAAAGAGAATAAAATACCTAGGAATCCAACTTAAAAGGGACGTGAAGGACCTCTTCAAGGAGAACTACAAACCACTGCTCAATGAAATAAAAGAGGATACAAACAAATGGAAGAACATTCCATGCTCATGGCTAGGAAGAATCAATATCATGAAAATGGCCATACTGCCCAAGGTAATTTATAGATTCAATGCCATCCCCATCAAGCTACCAATGACTTTCTTCACAGAATTGGAAAAAACTACTTTAAAGTTCATATGGAACCAAAAAAGAGCCCACATCGCCAAGTCAATCCTAAGCCAAAAGAACAAAGCTGGAGGCATCACACTACCTGACTTCAGACTATACTCCAAGGCTACAGTAACCAAAACAGCATGGTACTGGTACCAAAACAGAGATATAGATCAATGGAACAGAACAGAGCCCTCAGAAATAACGCCACATATCTACAACTATCTGATCTTTGACAAACCTGAGAAAAACAAGCAATGGGGAAAGGATTCCCTATTTAATAAATGGTGCTGGGAAAACTGGCTAGCCATATGTAGAAAGCTGAAACTGGATCCCTTCCTTACACCTTATACAAAAATTAATTCAAGATGGATTAAAGACTTAAACGTTATACCTAAAACCATAAAAACCCTAGAAGAAAACCTAGGCATTACCATTCAGGACATAGGCATGGGCAAGGACTTCATGTCTAAAACACCAAAAGCAATGGAAACAAAAGCCAAAATTGACAAATGGGATCTAATTAAACTAAAGAGCTTCTGCATAGCAAAAGAAACTACCATCAGAGAACAGGCAACCCATAAAATGGGAGAAAATTTTCGCAACCTACTCATCTGACAAAGGGCTAATATCCAGAATCTACAATGAACTCTAACAAATTTACAAGGAAAAAACAAACAACCCCATCAAAAAGTGGGCGAAGGACATGAACAGACACTTCTCAAAAGAAGACATTTATGCAGCCAAAAAACACATGAAAAAATGCTCACCATCACTGGCCATCAGAGAAATGCAAATCAAAACCACAATGGGATATCATCTCACACCAGTTAGAATGGCAATAATTAAAAAGTCAAGAAACAACAGGTGCTGGAGAGGATGTGGAGAAATAGGAACACTTTTACACTGTTGGTGGGAGTGGCGATTCCTCAGGGATCTAGAACTAGAAATACCATTTGACCCAGCCATCCCATTACTGGGTATACACCCAAAGGACTATAAATAATGCTGCTATAAAGACACATGCACATGTATGTTTATTGCGGCAGTATTCACAATAGCAAAGACTTGGAACCAACCCAAATGTCCAACAATGATAGACTGGATTAAGAAAATGTGGCACATATACACCATGGAATACTATGCAGCCATAAAAAATGATGAGTTCATGTCCTTTGCAGGGACATGGATGAAGTTGGAAATCATCATTCTCAGTAAACTATCGCAAGAACAAAAAACCAAACACCGCATATTCTCACTCATAGGTGGGAATTGAACAATGAGAACACATGGACACAGGAAGGGGAACATCACACTCTGGGGACTGTTGTGGGGTGGGGGGAGGGGGGAGGGATAGCATTGGGAGATATACCTAATGCTAGATGATGAGTTAGTGGGTGCAGCGCACCAGCATGTCACATGTATACATATGTAACTAACCTGCACATTGTGCACATGTACCCTAAAACTTAAAGTATAATAATAATAATAATAATAATAATAATAAAAGAAAAGACAAGCAATCCCATTAAAAAGTGGGCAAAGGACATGAACAGACACTTCTCAAGAGAAGACATATATGCAGCCGATAAACATGAAAAAAAGCTGAACATCAGAGTAATGCAAATCAAAACCACGATGAGATACCATCTTACGCCAGTTACAATGGAGGTTATTAAAAAGTCAAGAAACTACAGATGCTGTTGAGGTTGTGGAGAAATAGGAACGCTTTCATGCTGTTGGTAGGAATGTAAATTAGTTCAACCATTGTGGAAGACAATGTGATGATTCCTCAAAGATTTAGAACCAGAAATACCATTTGACCCAGCAACCCCATTACTGGGTATATACCCAAAGGAATGGAATCATTCTGTTATAAAGACACATGCATGCATATGTTCATTGCAGCACTATTCACAATAGCAAAGACATGAAATTAACCCAAAAGCCCATCAATGATAGATTGGATAAAGAAAATATGGTACATATACACCATGGAATACTATGTGGCATAAAAAGGAATGAGATCATGTTCTTTGCAAGGACATGGATGGAACTACAAGCCGTTATCCTCAGCAAACTAATGGAGGAACAGAAAACCAAACACCCCATGTTCAAACACCCCATGTTCTCCCTTATAAGTGGGAGCTGAACAATGAGAATACATGGACACAGGGAGGTAAACAACACACCTTGGGGCCTGTCATAGGAGGGAGAGCATCAGGATAAATGGCTAATGCATGCTGGGCTTGATACCTAGGTGATGGGTTGATAGGTGCAGCAAGCCCCCACAGCACATGCAACAAACCTGCACATCCTGCACATGTACCCCAGAACTTAATATTAAAAATATAGCTCAATCATATAGAGTTTTGTGTAATGAATTGATAAGAATAATTTATAATTAGGCCGAGTGTGGTGGCTCACGCCTGTAATCCCATGACTTTGGGAGGTTGATACAGGTGGATCAATTGAAGTCAGGAGTTCAAGACCAGCCTGGCCAACATGGCGGAACCCCATCTCTACTAAAAATACAACAATTATCTGGGTGTGATGGCACATGCTTGTAATCCCAGCTACTCAGGAGGCTGAGGTGCGAATTGCTTGAACCTGGAAGGTGGAGGTTGCAGTGAGCCAAGATCACGCCATTGCACTCCAGCCTGGTGTGGAGTGAGACTCTGTCTAAAAAAAAAAAAAGAAGAATTTATAATGAACACATCCATTATATGCAAATAGCCACTTCCTAAAGGGGCTCATGATATGATTTCTGCTTTCACAACTGTGGAAATTGGAGTGTCTATCTGTAGCTACGTTCACCGCCCCCCCCCAAAAAAATTATGTCTTTTCTTTTTGAGAAATAATGACATTGTAAATATTTGCATGACTAAATAAAGGTGGCAGACGGTAGGTAACAAAAGATAGGTGATTCAAAAATGAGAAAATAAAAGATTGTTTACATTAAATATACAGAGGAACTAAAAGATAATGTAATAAAATATGGGTTAATTCTAAGCACCTTTTAAAAAATTATATTTCTTCTTTTCTTTTTTCCATAAAGCATTTTATAATTAGAAAGCAGAAATAAAGAGTACCTTTTGGAAAAGAAAAACTCTGTTAGCAAGAACACAGGACTGGTTATGTGATGTGAGAGGAGGCATCATTCCTGCAGAAGCCCTATCCTACATGGAGAAGGACAGGGCCAGGAGAAGGCAAGGGCAGGAAGCAAGGACTCTTGCTCTGCCCTGACTTGTCCAGTGGAGGCAGCGAGGAGCTGAAGATCATTCCTTCTTTATTTCCTTCCCTCTCCACAGGCAGCTCTGCAGGGAAGTCTGTGACTGCCTGGCCAGACTTAGGGCTCACGCTCTGGTCAGAGTTATGGCACCCCAGACTCTGCTGCTTGTCCTGGTTCTCTGTGTGCTGCTGCTGCAGGCCCAGGGAGGATACCGTGACAAGATGAGGATGCAGAGTAGGTGATGGGCTGCTGGATGGGTGATGGAGAGTTGGGTAGGGGGAATGGAGGAGCTGTGTCCAGTCTGAGTAGGACCTAGGACTTGCAACCTTTCTGCATATCCAGCTCTGACCACAATGCTGTGCAGACTCTGGGCTGTCCCAAACCATGGCCCTCCAACCCCTTTACCTGGCCCTGGGAATAGTAGTGGGAATGAAGGGGGAACCTACATCTTTTGTTGTTTGCTCCCAGTACTTAGAGACAAATGGTACATCCCATAGTGAAAGGTGAACCAGGGCTGAGAATCCAATGGGAAAGCAAGACAATTATTCTTTGATTTATGCACATTTGTGAGGAGTGAACATCTAGAAGTGGTTATGAGGGTAGGTGTAGGTGTAGAAATGGGTATAAGTGTAGGGTAAAAAGGACATAAGCAATGAAAAGTTGGAGTATACAGGGCAAAGTTAAGTATAACATCAAAGGAGCCAGGAGAGTGGTGGTGGGAAGCGATACTAGGGACAGTGATGGAGAGGAGAGGAGAAGGAGGGATGAGAGGCAAGTTCATCTTCTTTTCTGGGCTCTGCAAATTCTGGAGACTAGGGGAGGGTTTGGAAATGTCTCAGGCTTCTTTGAGCTCTCAGGGTCAGACCATAGATTCTATGGGGGTGACTTCACCATGATTAATGGGGAGACAGAGTTCTGAATGCAGGTGTATGGCGAGAGTCCAGGAAGCCCAGGCATTGAAGTCTACTGGGGTGAGATGCAGGGCAGGGAGACAGGATTTAAGATACTGCCAATCACTAGGATTGGTGATGGGCTGGAAGGAAGTTCCCTGAAGAGTCCAGGAGAGTCGTGGTGGCAGGGGTGCCTTGGTTCTGGGGCCATGGAGGAGCTTCAAGCTTGAGAAGGCTGCTCTATAGGTGCATGGTTTCATTGACCCTGCTCCTGCATCATTTCAGGAATCAAGGTCTGTGAGAAGCGACCCAGCATAGATCTATGCATCCACCACTGTTCATATTTCCAAAAGTGTGAAACAAATAAGATATGCTGTTCAGCCTTCTGTGGGAACATTTGTATGAGCATCCTATGAGTGGGAGAGTGGGCTGGGATGTGCATCCTGCTCCCTGAACCCTTCCATCCGAGACTGTGCCCACATCCGAAGCACAAGGACATCAAATCATCAGCACAAGAACATCAACAGGAATGCCACCCTCCCCAGTGTCTGAACTCCCTGTCCCTGTCAAATAAACCAGAACAAATGCCCATGGATCCTGCCTCTTTTGCTGCCACTACAGGTGATCATTGAGAGCCCACTGTAGCCCCCAAAGATGCCCCACTCATCTTGTGTCCTGGTGTTTGATTTCTCTCCCTGGCTATGCTTCTCTACCCTCCTTCTCCTTCTTTGGCCCATGTATCCCTCCCAGCCCTCAGGATGCCCAGCCCCTTGCTGTTTTGCTCACTGAACCAGTACTCCCAGGGGGAGGAACTGCTCATGTGCAGCGTCTCCTGATGCTAAGGAGAACATTTCTCACCCTGGAGTCAGAAGGACCCATTAAGCACGAGATGGGTGGCAGTTAGAACCCAAGGTAAAGAGTGGGAGGCCCCCAAGCACTGCTTTGGTCTCCTTAGCCTTGGTACTCCCCCACCTCATGCTCCCCAATCTCTTTCTGAGCTTCAGATTGCTGTCTCTTTACAATGAGGATAATGAGTCCCAGGAAGGCCAGCGACATGCCTAAGGCCACAAGAGAGAGAGAGGATATGATGTGGCCGGAAGAGGATGTTTCCTCTGAGCTCACTTTTTCTCACTTCTCTCCATTACTTGAGACCAGAGGCATCCTAGTGAGAGTGAGTGCCTGCACCAACCCCAAAGCTCCTCCTATCCAGCACCCACCAACATGGCTACTCCTCTGATGGGACCCAATTTGGGTCTCAGGATCTAACACTCCAGCACCTTCCATTAACTGAATAGTCCCTATCTTTCCCAAGCCCTCTTCCTTAGAGGCTTATTCTCTTTTCTTTTGATCAAGAGGAACACCAAGGGGTGGGGAACAGGTGGTTCATGCTGCTATTGCTAAGGAGTAATTGGCACAGAGTGGCAGTGGGTCTTGCCTGTCATCCTACTGTGAGTTAGTGGAAATTAACCACTGTGGTACAGACTCTCCCTTACTCTATGCAATCGCAACTCCTCTGAAATGATCCTGGGGCCAGATCCAGGGTTGCATCACATGTGGCTAATTGGAACACGGAGTCAAATGTGAAGAGGTTTCAGGAGGACAGGCCATGCCCAGAGGCAGGTGTGCAGTGTTATGCTCCAGTCTAGTGCTTCTTGCTGGGCTATTCAATGAAAGAGACATCAGAGAAGAAAACTTCCCCCATCAGACCAGAGGCCATGAGCCACCTCTGAGGCATCACACCAGGCTCTGGATATCTCAGATTTGTCTTCACCTTTCTCAAGAGCTTTTCTTGGACAAGGGAGTCTTAGAAAAGAGATCATAATCAACTACCAACACAGACATCATCAGCAGTAGGTGGGCTATAAGGGCATGGTCTCTAAGAGATCTTATTTGGTGCTTCCTCAGATAGCCTCCCTTAGCAAGCGTCATCTCAGGCCATCTCCAAACACTGCTAGGAGACACTATTAAGAGAGGCAAATTTACCTTTCAGGGACCATATAGAGAATAACCTCCCCCATTCAAGTTCAGTGCACTGTACCATGTGGACATGCCATGGGTGTCAGGTTGACCTATTCCATGTCACTGGCATGAGCATCATAGACTATGAATTTTACTGGAAGCAGTTGCTCTGCTTTCTTCTAATCACTGGTGCCCTGACCTGTGTTCCAGAGAGCTCTCTGGACAGCTCACAGTGCCCCAGGGAACTCAAAGCTGAAAGGAGTGCCCATTTGGTTATGACTGTGTGCTCTCTCTTCTATGAAAACATCTATGTGCTCTCATATTATGTAGAGTAAGGTAGTGAGGACCCTTAGAAGAACATGGACGTCTTGGAGGCAGAGGAAGAAGCAAAGGCAAATTCTTCCAAAATCTGGATCTCCAAAATGTCAAGTTCTAGCCTGAAAAGAATCACAGATGAGGCCTGTTGTGTTTGAGAGCAAACACATAGTCTTATGGTTGCCATTGCTTTTGCATTGTTTGTTCTTTTTCTATCTCCTAGGCCATGCTGCTTTTCGAAGTGAATGTAAATGGGGAGACTCTAGAAGGATACTGCCATCTCATGTATGCAACATGACACTGATCCACCCCTACCTTGTTTCTGTACTTTGGCTGCATTTGATGCTCACAGGTGGTTCTATACCAATGTCGTCACCAGCAATGTTTGTCCCTCCCCTACCTCTGTTAGCAGTCTGCATTATTCCAAACTCAGGATACCTAATTCATGAACTACAGGACGTTATTTGAAATCTAAGGTTGCGTTTGGTGTCTGAGGCCCCTGTTGTGACTTCTTTCACCGTGAAATGCATGTTGGCACAAAAATAGAATGTTCATGCTGTGAAAGATTCAAGGGAAGTCTCCTATCCAGAAGTCATTGTTGCCAAGCCTAAAGGCTTACCCTTAGATGACATCAGCAACATGGTGAAATAGGAGACTCCTGACTCTCCCTTCACCCACCAATGCACTGAACAAACTATTCACTGATTGATTCTCTGAAAAAAGTCAGGAACCAATTGAGAGACTCCTACCCACTGGGCAACTGAGAAAAAACATCTGCATCAAATGAGTGGGAAAAGCTGAGGTGCACTCAGGCATGAACTCCACCTTGGACACTGTGCCATACAACCAGGAAAGGAATCCCTAACACACAACTTCTCTCTGTGGAGAGGAGGGTTTGGGCCTCACATATAGTGCTTTAGCTCTGAAATTCCCCGTGGTTCGGCTCAATTAATCAACTCTGGAAGTGGAGGGGATTAGGAATACATGAGTCTTTCTGACCTACAGGAAAAAAGCAGTGGTTTTATGCTACAGAACAAGCACTTCCAGGGGCCTCACTCTCTGGAGGCAGTGCAGAGAAGGACTTAAAAAAATGCAGCTTCTTGTTTTTCTCTGGGAGGGGTTTATGACACTCTTCTAGGGGCTACTTGGTGGCTGGGCTTCTAATTAACTTGCATTAATTAACTTGCATTGGGGAGTTAAAGAGGCAAATAGTAGCCTGCTGGTAGCCTCAGAAGCAGATCAACACTTCCTAAGCCTTTTCCCCTGGCTCACTCCAGTGATAACTCCAGGTCTATTACTCCTTCCTGGAGAGAGTTTGTCCACATGTAGAATGCCTCAACTTTTGCAGCTTCTACTGGAAGGACTGCACTCTAAAACTCCCAGCTTTAGGAGCAGAGAGGACTATGCATATGAGAATCTCTCTAGACAACAGACAAGAGTGGTAGGTTTATACAGGTGCACACGTATTTCTGGGGGTTTCAAACTCTTGGAGTGGTACAGAAAAGGGGCTTAAAAATGCAGCTCCCTGTTACTCCCTGTAAGGGGTTTATGCCATGCATTGAGTGGCCCAACTTTTACAGCAGCTACCACCTGAAACTATGCATACTCAAGTCTTCCCAGATCACATACAAAAAGGTTTTTTTGTTTGTTTGTTTGTTTTTTAAACAGAGTCTCACTCTGCCACCCAGACTGGAGTGCAATGGCATAATCTTGGCTCACTGCAACCTCCACCTCCCGGGTTCAAGCGGTTCTCCTGTCTCAGCCTCCCAAGTAGCTGGGACTACAGGCATGCACCACCACATCTGGCTAATGTTCTGTATTTTTAGTGGAGACAGCGTTTCACCATGTTGGCCAGGCTGGTCTTGAACTCCTGACCTCAAGTGACCCACCCACTTCAGCCTCCCAAAGTACTGGGATTACAGGCTGAGCCATTGCACCCAGCCAAAAAGGTGGTTTTAAATGGACATAATAACACTGCCAGGGTCTACATCTCCTGGGAGCAGTGTAGAAAAGGGACTAGAATGCTGAGCTCCCATTTTCTCTTTGCAAGGGGTTTCCTGCTTACTCTATTGGTGGCTACTTGATGACCTTGCTTTTAATGAATTTGCATTGAGGACCTAAGGGGAGAAAGTAGCTCCCTGTCATCCTGAGCTTGAGCTGAGCACTTTCTGAGCCTTTCCTTTGGCTCATCCCAGTGATAAATCCAGTCGACCCATTCTTCCTGGAAGGAGTTTGTCCGTGTACTGAGTACCTAAGCTTCTATAGTTTCCACCCAAGGGACTGTCTCCTTATCAACCTAGCTCTGGGGACTAATGGGGCTTTGCATTCCCAATGAGACTTTGCATTCCTAAGCGGCCTGGGACTACAGAAAACAAAGACATGGGCATACAACGGGCCCACTTTCAGCATGTATTAGTCCATTCTCTCATTGCTATAAATAAATACTCAAGATTGCATAATTTATAAAGAAAAGAGGTTTAATTGGCTCATGGTTCTATGGGCTATACAGGAAGCATGGCACTATCTGCTTCTGAGGAGGCCTCAGGAGCTTTTACTCATGGCAGAAGACAAAGCCAGAGCAGGCATCTTCACATGGCTGGAGGAGGAGCGGGGTGAGGGATGTACTATATACTTTTAAACAACCACATCTCACTCACTATCATGAGAACAGCACCAAAGAGATGATGTTAAACCATTCATGAAGGATTTACCCCCGTGATCCAATCACCTCTCACCAGGTCCACCGCCAACATTGGGGATTACAACTTGACATGAGATTTGGATGGGGACACAGATTCTAACCATATCAAGCAGCTATCTCACCAGGATCAGAGGGTGCAGTTTGGACACAAGTATAGGCATTTGTCACAGATTATCTCTCCAGCTTAGTGCAGAGAGAGGGAGAGATAAATACTGGCATTCACCTTCACCATAGGATGGAAGAAACCAGAATACTCACCACCCTCCCCCTGCCATACATGCAAAAAGACAGAGAAAGTTTTAAAAACAGTGAGGAAATAGTGAATTGCTACACACAAGAGAACCCTCCCTTAGATTATCAGCAGATTTCTCAGCAGAAACTTTGTAGGCCAGAAGGGGGTGGGATGTTATATTAAAAATCCTGAATAAAACAACCCTGTCAACCAAGAATACTATACCCAGAAATCTTTTCTTTCAAAAATGAAGGGGTGATAAAGACTTTCTCAGACAAACAGAAGCTGAGAGAGTTTATTACTACTAGACTTGCCTTACAAGAAGTGCTAAAGAGAGTTCTTCAAGCTGAAGAAGAGGACACTAATTAGTGACTGGAAAACATATGAAAGTATAACATTCACTGATAAAAGTAAATACATTGTGAAATCCAAAATACTCTGATACTGTAATGTCAGTGGGTAAATAAATTATATCTTTAATAACATTAAAAGGCAAAGCTATTAAAAACAATGAAACCTACAATAATTTGTCAAGGGATACAAATTATAAAAAGATGCAGATTGTGATATCAAAAACTTAAGACAAATTTTCTCTTCTCTGAGGCTAGCTTGACTTCTCTTTGTTCTGCGTTCCACTGTTACCTAAAGAGTGTCCTTAGTGCCTGCCTCACAGCCCAGCACAAGGATATGAGCTGCAGAGAGTGACAATACAAGAAAGGCTACTCTGTGGATATGTCTCTGGTGCAAGAGCTGGTTTGCCCTGTCCTGGAGAATTTTCCCAGGATGGGGAAAGCCATGTGCTTCTTAATCCATCCCTGATACCTCAGGACTAAACTGGGAAGTGATGTCAGCAAGATGGCAGAATAGATCTCCTGGGATCACTTCCTGACACAAAAATAAAATGAAAAACTATTCAAAGACAAGAATGCCACCCTGAATACACCAGAACTTGAGAAGCAGAGAAACCCCCTGGGCTCATAGAATTGAGAGAAGCAGTGACAGGTAAGAGAAATGGTCATTTCAGCCTGTTCCACCCTCTCTCCCAGGCCATAATAATACCACTCACAGAGAACTTCCCTAGACCCACAGTTGCTGAGATGAGAAGAAGGAATTGGAGGTGGATATTTGATCTTCCCACTTGTCTAGGAATCTTAATGGTAAGTCCACTCCAGTTTCATCCCACTAGAGAACCAAGAGGGCTGAAAAACCTGGGGTGAATTGGGGACAAAGAGTAGGTCACTGATTGCAGCAACTGGCATGTGGATCTTGGTGATTGTTCAGTGCTTTGATCAGTGGGGATGCCATATTGAAGAGACTGGTGGGGGGGCCAGAGTATTGTAGGGGACAAAATTTATGGGAAGGCCCAAATCCACAAAGCCCAGGTGCACATGTGAAGCTTTTCCCTGGCCCAGAAACAACTAAAAGGTCAAGATTTTCAGTACCCACCTAAGTTTTTCCCACACTGAGAAACAATAGTAGGGCAGCAATATTGTTCCAGGGCATTTAAGCTGTGGTGCTCACTATAAGTTTTCCTTACACTGGGAAACAATGACAGGGCAATGAGTTAGGTCCAGTGCAATGTTTTAGTTCTGATGCTCACTATTAAGCCCTCTCTACAGTGTAAAGCAACAACAGGCCAGTGTTTAAGTTCTAATACTAAGAAGTAAAGGTCTAACACCATGAAAGAGCACCTGCAAAAGCTGGAAGAGTTGGCAGTCGCCTCAAATATGCAGGCATCCATGTAAAGATACAAGGCTTGTGAAAACTCAGAAATATTCAATACCATCAAAAGAAATCAACAAAGCTCCAGGAATGGTCCCAGAAGAATTGAAGATTTATAGAAACAATGAAAAAAAAAACCAAGCAATAGAAATAGAAATACTAGTAATAAAGAATAAAATAATTGAACTGAAAAACTCATTATAAAGCTTCAACAGCAGACTTGAGCAAACAGAGGAATTAGCAAGCTTGAAGACAGAACATTTGAAATCACCAATCAGAGGAACAAAAAGAGAAAAAAAAGAATGAAGAAGGTCTACAAGAACTATGGGACATCATCAGGCAAATTAACCTCTGCATAATTAGAATTCCTAGAGAAGACAAGAGAGAAAGGGCCCACAAAGCATATTTAAAGAAATAATGGCTGAAAATTTCCCAAATCTGGAGAAAGATGACAGCATCCAGGTGCAGGAAGCTCAGAAGTCACCAATGAAATTCAACCCAAACAGGAAATCCACAAGGCATATAATAATAAAATTATCAAAAATCAAAGACAGAAAGAATACTCAAAGTAGCAAGAAAAAAGAAACATATTACATTAGATGAAGCCTCAATATGGCTTTCATAGAAACCCTGATGACCAGATGACAGTGAGATGTTATATTCAAAGTGCTGAAGGAAAAACCTGCTAACCCTCAAAAATCTACCCTTCAAACATGAAGGAGAGATTAGAGACTTTCCCAAACAAGCAAAAGCTGAGAGAATTCACCAACACTAAGCTTGTCTTATAAAAAATGCTAAAAGGACTGTTTCATGTGAGGGCCATATGTGCAAAGTGTCCCCCAAATGCTGAAGGAGCCAAGAAACCAAAAAAACAACCAGAGAAATCCAGTTTGTCAGTAAAGTGTGTTTTTACTAGAAGAACTTACAGACAGCTATCCTATGTTCACGGACTGGAAGAATCAAAATTGGCAAAATGTCCATACTATCCAAAGTGATGTACAGATTCAATGCAATCCATATTAACATTCTAATGTCATTCTTCACAGAAACAGAAAGAAATAATCTGAAGCTTCACATGGAACCACTGGAAACCCAGAATAGCCAAAGACAAATTTACCAAAAAGAAAAAGATAGAGGTATCACACTGCTGGATTTCAAAATGTATTACAAAGGTATAGTAATAAAAACAGCATGCTATTGGCATAAAAACAGACACAGCAACTGATGGAATAGGTTAGAGATTTCAGAAATAAGCCCATACGTTTATGGTCAATTGATTTTCAACAAGGGCCCAAAGAACACACAATGGGGAAAGGACAGTACCTTCAATAATTGGTGTGGGCAAAACTATATCTATATGCAGAAGAATGAAAGTGGACCCTTATCTTACCTCTTATACTAGAATGAACTCAAAATGAATCATAGACTTAAATGTAAGACATGAAACCGTAAAAACTACTAGAAGAAAACATAGTGGGAAAGCTTCATGACATTGGTCTTGGCAGTGATTTATTGGATATGATCTCCCAAAGCACAAGCAACAAAAGCAAAAATAGGGGAATAATATTGTATTAAACTAAAAGCCTTCTGCCCAGCAAAGGAAACAACACAGTGAAGACATAACCCACATATTGGGAGAAACTATTTGGATGATAAATCAGATAAGGAGCCAATATCCAAAATATGTAAGAAACTCAAACTACTCAAAACAAGAAAACAACCCTATTTAAAAAATGGGCAGAGGACCTGAGTAGACATTTCTCAAAAGAAGACATACAAATGTCCAACAGATATATGAAAAAATGCTCAACATTTCTTATTTATTTATTTTTACTTGTTGCTGACAAAGCTCAGATCAACATTTTTAATCATCAGAGAAATGCGAATAAAAACCACAATGAAATATTACTTCACGCCTGGTAGATTGGCTATTATCAACAGTATGAAAGATAAATGTTGGCAAGTATGTGGAGAAAAGGGAATCCTTGCACACTGTTGGTGGGAATGTAGATTGGTTCAGCCATTTTGGAAAACAGCATGGAGGGTCCTCAGAAAATGAAAACTAGAATTATCATATGTTCCAGCAATCCCACTTCTGAGTATATGTCCAAAGACATTGAAGTCAGCATGTCAAAACATATCTGCACTCCAATGTTCACTGTAGCATTATTCACAATAGCCAAGATATGGAATCAACCTAGGTATTCATCATCAGATAAATGGATTAAAATGTGGTATATATAAACAGTGGACTACTATTTAGCCTTAAAAAAGGAAATTCTGTTATTTGTCACAACATGGATGAACCTGGAGAACATTATGATAAGTGAAATAAGCCTGGCACAGAAAGGCAAATAATGCATAACCTCACTTATATGTGGACTCTAAAATTAAAGTCCAACTCACAGAAGTAGAGAGTGGAATGGTAGTTACCAGAAGCTGGAGGAGGGGGTGAACCAGGAAAGGGAATCTGTTGATGAAAGGATACAAAGTTTTGATTAGACAGAAGAAATAAACTTTAGGGGTCTATTTCACAGAATGGTGATTATGATAAATAGTAACACATTATGTATTTTAAAATTACTAAAAGAGTAGATTTTAAATATTTTTACCACATTACAAAAGATAACTATGTCAGGTGATAGATTTGTTAATTAGCTTGATTTAATAATTCACAATGTAAACATGTCAAAACATCACCTTGTACCTCATAAATATATACCATTATTATTTGTCAATTAAAAATAAAATTTAAAGAAGGAATTGGATTGAACACACTGGCAAAAAAAGTTGGTACAACACAAAATTACTCAAAAGTTTAGTAAATTTTAAAATTTACTAAAAATTAAAGTTTTAATTGCACGGTTCCTTTGTTCTCCACTTTGTGTACTATTACCATTAATTACTGACAATAAATCTACTTGAGACGATGTTAAAAAACCACATCATTTAGCTCACTTAATTATAATATTAGGCAATGAGATATACTCTATTATTACAGGCATACCTCATTTTATTGTGCCTCTTAGATATTGCAGGTGCAAATTGAAGATTTGTGGCAACCCTGACTTGAACAAGTTTATCAGTGCTATTTTTTTTTATTTTTTATTTTTTTTAGACGGAGTCTTGCTCTGTCGCCCAGGCTGGAGTGCAGTGGCACAATCTCGTCTCACTGCAAGCTCCGCCTCCCGGGTTCATGCCATTCTCTTGCCTCAGCCTCCTGAGTAGCTGGGACTACAGGTGCTCGCTACCACACCCGGCTAAATTTTTGTATTTTTAGTAGAGATGGGGTTTAACCGTGTTAGCCAGGATGGTCTCGATCTCCTGACCTCATGATCCGCCCGCCTCGGCCTCCCAAAGCGCTGGGATCACAGGCATGAGCCACGGCGCCCAGCCTTCAGTGTCATTATTTGAAAAGCATGTGATCATTTAGTGGCTCTGTGTCACATTTTGGTAATTTTCATAATATTTCAAACATTTTCATGATTATTGTATCTGTTATTATGACCTATGATCAGTGATCCTTGATTGTAATTGTTTGGGGGCACTGTGCCCTTATAAGATGATGAGCTTAATTGATAAATATGTGTGTTCTGACTGCTTCACTGACCAGCTCTTTCCCTATCCCTCTCCCTCTTCTTGGGCCTTCGTATTCTCTGAGACACAACAATATTGAAATTAGACCAATTAATAACCCCGCAATGGTCTCCAAGTGTTCAAATGAAAGGAAGAGTCACACATCTCTCACTTTAAATCAAAAGCTAGGAATGATAAAGCTTAGTGAGGAAGGCATGTCGAAAGCTGAGACAGGCTGAAAACTAGGTCACTTGCATCAGTTAGCCAAGTTGGGAATGCAAAGAAAAAGTTCTTGAATGAAATCAAAAGGGCGACTCCAGTGAACACATGAATGATAAGAGGAAAAACAGCCTTTTGCTGATATGAAGAAAGTTTTAGTGGTCTGAATAGAACGTCAAACCATCCACAATATTCTCTTAAGATAAAGCCTAATCCAGAGAAAGACTATAACCCTCTTCAATTCTATTGAGGCTGAGAGGTGAGGAAGCTGCAGAAGAAAAGTTAGCAGTGGTTGGTTCATGAGGTTAAGAAAGAAGCCATCCCCATAAAATAAAAGAGCAAGGTGAAGCAGCAAGCAATGATGTAGAAACTGCAGCAAGTTACCCAGAAGATCTAGTTAAGATAAGCGATGAAGGTGTCTACGCTAAACAACAGATGTTCAATGTGGAGGAAGCAGCCTTCTGTTGGAAGAAGATGCCATCTAGGACTTCATAGCTAGAGAGCACAGGACAGCTCTTTTGTTAGGGGCTGGTGCAGCTGGTGACCTTAAGTTGAAGCCAATGCTCATCTACCATTCTGAAAATCCGCAGGCCCTTCAGAATTGTACAAAATATATTCTGCCTGCACTCTATAAATGAAACAACCAAGCCTGGATGATAGCACATCTATTTACATGATGATTTATATTAAATCCGTGTTCGAGACCTACTGCTCAGAAAAGAAGTTGCCTTTCAAAATATTACTGCACGTTGACAATGTGCCTGGTCATTCATGAGCTCTGATGGAGATGTACAAGATTAGTGTTGTTTTCATGCTCGCTAACACAACATCCATTCTTCAGCTCCTAGAGCAAGGGACAATTTTGACTTTCAAGTCTTATTGTTTAAAAAATACATTTTATAAGGCCATAGATGCCATAGATAGTGATTTCGCTGATGGATCTTGGCAAAGTAAGTTGAAAACCTTCTGGAAATAATTCACCATTCTAGATGAACATTCATGATTGGCAGGAGGAGGTCAAAATATCAACACTAAAAGAAGTTTTGGAGAAATTGATTCCAACTCTCATGAATCACTTTTAAGGGTGTAAGACCTCAGTGGAGTAAGTAACCTCAGCTGTGGTGGAAATAACAAGAGAACTAAAGTTGAGCCCAAAGATGTGATTGAATTCCTGGAATCTCATGATAAAACCTGAATGGATGAGCAAAGAATGTGGTTTATTGAGATGGAAACTTCTCCTAGTAAGCATGCTGAGGAAGAAAATGAATTGTTGAAATGACAACAAATGATTTAGAATGTCACATAAACTTAGTTGATAAAGCTATCAACTTTATCAACTTTATCAACTTTATCAAATCCTTATGAGAGGATTTGAGAGGATTGACTCTAATTTTGAAAGAAGTTCTACTGTGGGCAAAATGCTATCAAACAACATTGCATGCTACTGCACAATTGTTTGTGAAGGGCAATCAATCAATGTGGCAAACTTCATTGTCTTATTTTAAGAAATTTCTGCAGCTACCCTAACTTTCAGCAGCCACCACCCTGATGAGTCAGCAGCCATCAACACTGAGGCAAGGCCTTCCACTAACAAGAAGATTTTGACTTGCTGAAGGTTCAGATGATGTTAACATTTTGAGCAATAAAGTATTTTTCTTCTTTTTTTTTGCCTTGCCAACTTTTAGGTTCAAGGAGTACATGTGCAGGTTTGTTAGATGGATAAATTGTGTGTTGTGGGAGTTTGGTGTACAGATAATTTTGCCATCCAGGTAATAAGCATAATCCATGATAGGTAGTTTTTCAATCCGACTCTCATACCAACTTCCACCCTAAAATAGGTCCCAGTGTCTAGTGTTCCCTTCTTTGTGCCCGTGTGTACTCAATGGTTAGCTCACACTTATGTGAGAATGTGTGGTATTTGGTTTTCTGTTCCTGCTTAATTTGCTTAGGATAATGGCCTCCAGCTCCATCCATGTTGCTGCAAAGGCCATGATCTCATTTTTAAAAATAGGTAGTATTTCATGGTGTATACATACCACATGTTCTTTATCGAGTCCACCATTGATGGGCACCCTAGGTTGATTCCATGTCTTTGCTATTGTGAACAGTGCTGTGATGAACATACGCAGGCATATGTCTTTATGGTAGAACAATTTCTATTCTCTTGGATATATACTTAGTAATGGAATTGCTGGGTCAAATGGTAGTTCTATTTTAAGTTCTCTGAGAAATCTCCAGACTGCTTTTCACAGTGGCTGAAATAATTTACACCACCAGCTCTGCACAAGCATTCCCTTTTCTCCCTCACCAGCCATTCTGACTGGTGTGAGATAATATCTCATTGTGGTTTTGAATTGCATTTCCCTAATGATTAGTGATACTGAGCATTTTTATCATATGCTTTTTGGCCACATTATGTCTTCTTTTGAGAAGGGTCTGTTCATGTCCTTTACCCATTAAAATTTTTTTTTGTTTTTTGCTTGTTGATTTAAGTTCTTTATAGATTCTGGATATTAGATCTTTGTTGGATGCATAGTTTGCAAATATTTGTTCCCATTCTGTAGGTTGTCTTTTACTCTGTTGATAGTTTCTTTTCCAGTGTAGAAGCTCTTTAGTTTAATTAGGTCCCACTTGTCAATTTTTGTTTTGGTTGCAATTGCTTGTAGAGTTTTTATCATGAAGTCTTTGCCTGGGCCAATGTCCAGAATGGTATTTTCTAGATTTTCTTCTAGGGTCTTTATAGCTTTAGATTTTACATTTAAGTCTTTAATCCATCTTGTATTGATTTTTGTATGTGGTAAAAAGTGGGGGTCCAGTTTCATTCTTCTGCATATGGTTAGCCAGTTATGCCAGTAGCATTTATTGAATAGGAAGTCCTTTTCCCATTGATTGTTTTTGTCAGCTTCATTGAAGATCAGACAGTTGTAGGTGTGTAGCTTTATTTCTGGGTTCTCTATTCTGTTTCATTTGTTAATGATTCTCATTTTGTACCAGTACCATGCTGTTTTGGTTACTGTAGGCTTGTAGTATAGTTTGAAGTCTGGAAGTATAATGCCTCCAGCTTTGGTCTTTTTGCTTAGAATTGTTTTGGCTATCCAGGCCCTTTTTGCTTCCAAATGCATTTTCAAATGGCTTTTTCTGATTCTGTGAAAAATGTTGGTAGTTTGTATATAGGAATAACATTGAATCCGTAAATTGTTTTGGGCAGTATGACTATTTTAACAATATTGACCCTTCCTATCCATGAGCATAGAATGTTTTTCTGTTTGTTTGTGTTGTCTCTGATACAGTGTTTTATAATTCTCATTGTAAAGCTCTTTCACCTCCCTGTTTAGCTGTATTCCTAGGTATTTTATTCTTATTGTGGCTATTGTGAGTGGGATTGCATTCTTGATTTGACTCTCAGCTTGGACATATTTCTATGCATTTCATACGATTGAAATGCTGCTAGAAATGCTGATTTTTGTACATTGATTTTGTATCTTGAACCTTTGCTGAAGTGGTTTATCAGATCTAGAAGCTTTGGGCAGAGACTACAGGGTTTTCTAGGCTTATATTGTCTGTGAATATTGTCTGTCAAACATAGTTTGACTTCCTCTCTTCCTATTTAGATGACTTTTATTTCTTTCTCATGCATGATTGCTCTGGCTAGGACTTCAATACTATATTGAGTAGGAGTGGCAAGAGTGGGCATCCTTGTCTTGTTCCGCTTCTCAAGAGGAACGCTTCCAGCTTTTGTCAATTCATTATGATGTTGGCTGTGGGATTGTCAGAGTTGACTGTTACTATTTTGTGGTATGTACCTTTGATGTCTGGTTTGTTGAGGGTTTTTAACATGAAAAGATGTTAAATTTTATCAAAAGCCTCTTCTGCATCTATTAAGATGATCTTTTTTTAAAGTTTGGTTTATGTGATGAATCACATGTATTGATTTGCATATGTTGAATCAATCTTGCTTCCCAGGGATAAAGCCTACTTGATTGTGGTGAATTCATTTTTTTGCGGGGCAGGGGGGAGGGGGGGTGGGTATTGCAGGGAGCTCCCAACAGGAAACAATGTGGTGGATTAGCTTTTTGATATACTGCTGGATTTGGTTTGCTAGTATTTTGTTTAGGATTTTTGCATCTATGTTCATCAGTGATATTGGTCTGAAGTTTTCTTTTTCTGTTGTCTCTCTGCCAGGTTTTGATGTCAGAATGATGCTGACTTCATAGAATGAATTAGGGAGGAGTCCCTCCTCCTCAAGTTTTTGGAATAATTTCAGTAGGATTGGCACCAGCTCTTCTTTATATGTCTGGTAGAATTTGGCTGTGAATCCATCTGGTCCAGGGCCTTTTCTGGTTGGTAAGTTTTTTTTTAATTACTGATTAAATTTTGGTACTTGTTATTGGTCTGTTCAATTTCATCCTGGTTTAATCTTGGGAGTTTGTATGATTCCAAGAGGTTATCAATTTTGTGTAGGTTTTCTAGTTTGTGTGCATAGTGGTGTTTGTAATAGTCTCTGATTTTTGTTTGTATTTTTATGGGGTCAGTGGTAATATCCCCTTTGTTATTTTTGATTGTGTTTATCTGGATTTTCTCTTTCTTTAGTAGTCTAACTAGTGGTCTACCAGTCTTATTTATTCTACAAAGAACCAACTTTTGGTTTCATGGATCTTTTGTATGGTTTCCCTTATCTCCATTTTGTTCAGTTCAGCTCTAATTTTGGTTATTTCTTTTCTTCTACTAGCTTTGGGGTTGGTTTGCTCTTGTTTTTCAAGTTCCTCTAGGTGTGATGTTAGGTTAATTGGAGATATTTCTAACTTTTTGATGTGGGCATTTAGTGCTATAAACTTTCCTCTCAACACTGGTTTAATTGTGTCCCAGAGATTTTGGTATGTTGTATCTTTGTTCTTATTAGTTTCAAAAAACTTCTTGATTTCTGTCTTAATTTTGTTGTTTACCAAAAAGTCATTCAGGAACAGGAGCATGTACTAACAAGCACATGTAAGTGTGTGGTTTTGAGAGCTCTTGGTATTGATGTCTATCAATAAACTATTTTTGGATTAAGATATGTACACTGTTTTTATACATAATGCTGTCACACACTTAGTAGATCACAGTATAGTGTAAACATATCTTTTATATGCACTGAGAAACCAAAATATTTGTTTGACTCACTTTATTAGGGTGGCCTGGAACTGAATCTGTAATATCTATGAGGTATGCCTGTGCTATAATTTTTCCATGTGATTTAATGGAGTTTTCCAGAAGTGAAATGAGTTACCCAAGGTCATGGAGTTAGCAAATGATAAAGATGGTTTTTTAATTTTAATTTTAATTTTTTAGTATCTGCCTCTGTAAAGATGGGTTTTAAGTTTACATCGGATGAGTGTAAGGCCTGTGATTGTGACACTAGACAACTGTGAATAGTCAATAGCCTGCTGGCTCCTCCGACCTACCATCTGAATCCTCTGAATGTCTATATCAGGGTCAAGATGAAGGAAATGGTCTGACATTTTCAGACCATTTCTTTGTTGGTGCAAGTATAGCCTAAACATTATGAAGAGAGAATTGGTAATATTTATGCACAGATTGAATTATCTGTATTTCTACTTTTATTGGCTTTCCCAAGGAATAAATAAATAAATACTCAAGGATTTAGTTATCATTATGTAACTAATAGTGAATTTCTACAATAGGGAAAAACTGAAACCACCAAGCTTGTCAACAACTGGTGATTAATTGGCAGAGTAATCTACCAATCTATGAAATTTTTGAAAATATTTAGGAGTACAGGAAAATATTTATTGTAAATGTTAAACTTAAAAATAGTCACAGGATTATCCACTATATAAAAATATATATGTACATAAGAAAAAGTCTACTAGAATATATGCACAAATGTTAGCATAGGTTGACAAGATTAACAATTATTTTTAAATTTAATTGTCATTTTCATATTTTTACAAAATTTATGCACTAAGCATGAGTTGCTCTTTTATTAGTACAAGAGCAAAAAATGACATCTTGAAAAGAAATCTTTTTCTTTTTTTTTTCCTACGGAGAGAAGTAAATGATATAAATTGATGAGGGGTCCCAGGAATAGGACAAGGCCAAGAGTATATTGTAAAGTGGGAAGAGGCAAGGAAATAGAACTAGAGAAGAAAATGTTAGGACAATCTACAGGCTTTGCTTCTCTCCCACTTTCCCACTTTCTCATCCCAACCAAACAACTCTGGGAATATTCCTAGACCCAGTCAAGACTTACTCAGAGCCTCTCACAGTCAGCTCAGCTCCTGAAATTTCCCTTCCCATTATGCCCCTCTGCTAGCACTGTAAGGGTATCTAGAGAGAGTGCCTTGGTGATGGGAATAAGCCCAAGATGTATCGTGGCTCTGAGGCCCAGGAAAAGCTGTGGGCTTCACCATCTGGCATACCTGGCTCTGAATTCACTTCCTTTCAAATCTTGTTTCTACCACTTATTGGCTGTGTGGCCTTGGGCAAGTTGCTTAGCTCCTCGATGCTTCAGTTTCTGCATTGGCAAAATATAAATATTTAGCACTAAACTCACTGGGTCACTGAGAGTATTGGTTAATACATGTTAAATATTTGACTCATAGTGAATTTGGTGTCCAACTGGGTGATTCTGAACACTTCAATAAGTGTTTTATTGGTTTATTTAGCAAACCATACATAGCACTGCTTATATGCCAGACATTGGGTCTCAGTGTTTAACACAAAATAACTCATGGAATCCTCCCAAAAATCCTATGAAGAAAGTACTGCTATTCTCACTTTAAAAATGAGGAAATTGAGGCACAGAGATGATTAGTGACTTTCCTAGAGTAAGTGGGATGTAGGATTTGAGTATAGTTTAAGTCTATATATTTAAAATCTACATGTTATGTGATATTTTCGAAGCCCTCTTGGAAGAGATCTCTCTTTTCCTCACAAAAGTCACAAGAGATTGCTGATAAGGTGGTGTTAGGCTGATGCTAGCAATGGAGAAATTAATATAAAGATGGATGAGACTTTATGAAGGTCCTCACACAATGTTAGAAAAAAAATAGATATGTAGATCCTCCTTCCACTCCACAATCACCCAGACTTGTGTCTGAGTGTCCACAATCAGCCAGACTTGTGTGTGTGTTAGGGGAGCAGAGGATTCTGCAGGTCCACAGTGTTCTGTCTCTATCTATATTGCCTGCAGCAAAAAGAAGAAAGTACTCCTTGAATAGGAATTCAGGGACAATGTTCTATATGTACCCAACTTATGGTTTGGGACAGAACTTACAGATCTGCCACAACCAGAAGCATGACTAAGATCTGCATAATTGACTGGTTTTGCTCACCACCTACTCACTGTGCAGGGGCTCCATGGTTCCTAGAGGCAAGGAAGAAGAGCCACCAGTCAAATAGGTTTCAGCACCTCCAACTCCAACATCTTCAAAGGTAGGTGGGGGTCAGGGTCCTGGGGCTGGAAGTGTGAGCCTGTAAAAGCTTTCACCTTTGTCTTGCTTGGATGGGTTCCCTGCCCAAATCATGCCCCTGCATCATGCCAACACTATCCCTCTATGGAATAAATTATTGTTTATGTTATTCAAATGGAGAAACTGAGACAGAGAAAGATAACATGGATAGACATTGTGTGCCTCCATATATGATATCCTGAGAAGGACACAGCATCATCTACATGCTATTCCCATTGAGAATACATAACTTATATCTAATCTTAAGAAAATCTCAGATAAACCCCAATTGAAGACTATTCAGTTCAAAGAAAAGGTTGGCTGTATTCTTCCAAAATTTGAATTTCATAAAAGAAAAAGAACATTATTGGGTGAAGTGATAAAATTTAATACTCATGATAGAATAGATAAAAGTATGTTTGATCAAGGTTAAATTTAACAAAGTTGATAACTGTAGTATGATCATGTAAGATAAGGCTCAGGTTGATAAGAAATACTCATGGAGGAGGCGGCTCCAAGATGGCCGAATAGGAACAGCTCTGGTCTGCAGCTCCCAGCGTGATCAATGCAGAAGATTGGGTGATTTCTGCATTTCCAACTGTGGTACCTGGTTCATCTCACTGGGACTGGTTGGACAGTGGGTGCAACCCATGGAGGGTGAGCGGAAGCAGGGTGGGGTGTCGCCTCACCTGGGAAGGGCAAGGGGTTGGGGGATTTCCCTTTACTAGCCAAGGGAAGCCGTGACAGATGGTACCTGGAAAATCAGGACACTCCCACCCAAATACTGTGCTTTTCCCAAGGTCTTAGCAACTGGCAGACAAAGAGATTCTCTCCCGGGCCTGGCTTGGCGGGTCCCACACCCACGGAGCCTTGCTCACTGCTAGTGCAGCAGTCTGAGATCGAAATGCGAGGTGGCAGCCTGGCGGGGGGAGGGGTGTCCATCATTGCTGAGGCTTCAGTAGGTAAACAAAGTGGCTGGGAAGCTCAAATTAGGCAGAGCCCATCGCAGCTCAGCAAGGCCTAGGCCTCTATAGTCACCACCACTGTGGGCAGGGCATATCTAAACAAAAGGCAACAGACAACTCCTGCAGACCTAAACGTCCCCGTCTGACAGCTCTGAAGAGAGCAGTGGTTCTCCCAGCATGGTGTTTGAGCTCTGAGAACAGACAGACTACCTCCTCAAGTGGGTCCCTGACCCCTGTGTAGCCTAACTGGGAGTCACTTCCCAGTAGGGGCCGACAGACACCTCATATGGCCAAGTGCCCCTCTGGGACGAAGCTTCCAGAGGAAGGATCAGGCAGCAATATTTGCTATTCTGCAGCCTCTGCTGGTGACACCCAGGCAAACAGGGTCTAGAATGGACCTCCAGCAAACTCCAACAGACCTGCAGCTGAGGGACCTGACTATTAGAAGGAAAACTAACAAACAGAAAGGAATAGCATCAACGTCAACAAAAAGGACATCTACACCAAAACCCCATCTGTAGGTCACCAACATCAAAGACCAAAGGTAGATAAAACCACAAAGATGGGGAGAAACCAGAGCAGAAAAGCTTAAAATTCTAAAAACCAGAGTGCCTCTTCTCCTCCAAATGATCGCAGCTCCTCGGCAGCAATGGAACAAAGCTGGACAGAGAATGACTTTGATGAGTTGACAGAAGTAGGCTTCAGAAGGTCTATAATAACAAACTTCTCCGAGCTAAAGGAGGATGTTTGAACCCATTGCAAGGAAGCTAAAAACCATAAGAAAAAGTCAGATGAATGGCTAACCAGAATAAACAGTGTAGAGAAGACCTTAAATGACCTGATGGAGCTGAAAACCATGGCACGAGAACTTCGTGATGCATGCACAAGCTTCAATAGCCAATGCATCAAGTGGAAGAAAGGGTATCAGTGATTGAAGATCAAATTAATGAAATAAAGTGAAAAGACAAGGTTAGAGAAAAAAGAGTAAAAAGAAATGAACAAAGCCTCCAAGAAATACGGGACTATGTGAAAAAACCAAAGCTACATTTGATTGGTGTACCTGAAAGTGATGAGAAGAATGGAACCAAGTTGGAAAACACTCTTTAGGATGTTATCCAGGAGAATTTCTGCAACCTAGCAAGGCAGGCCAACATTCAAATTCAGGAAATACGAGAACATCACAAAGACACTCCTCGAGAAGAGCAACCCCAAGACACAAATTGTTAGATTCACTAAAGTTGAAATGAAGGAAAAAATGTTAAGGGCACCCAGAGAGAAGGGTCAGGTTACCCACAAAGGGAAGCCCATCAGACTAACAGCAGATCTCTAGGCAGAAACCCTGCAAGCCAGAAGAGAGTGGGAGCCAATAATCAACATTCTTAAAGAAAAGAATTTTCAATCCAGAATCTCATATCCAGCCAAACTAAGCTTCATAAGTGAAGGAGAAATAAAATCCTTTACAGACAAGAAATGCTGAGAGATTTTGTCACCACCAGGCCTGTCTTACAAGGGCCCTGAAGGAAGCACTAAACGTAGAAGGAAACAATCTGTACCAGCCACTGCAAAAACATGCCAAATTGTACAGACCATGAAGGCTATGAAGAAACTGCATCAATTAATGGGCAAAATAACCAGCTAACATCATAATGACAGGATCAAATTCACACACAATATTAACCTTAAATGTAAATGGGCTAAATGCCCCAATTAAAAGATGCAGACTGGCAAATTGGATAAAGAGTTAAGACCCATCAGTGTGCTATAATCAGGAGACCCATCTCATGTGCACAGACACACATAGGCTCAAAATAAAGGGATGGAGGCCGATCTACTAAGCAAATGGAAAGCAAAAAAAAAGCAGGGGTCACAATTCTAGTCTCTGATAAAACAGACTTTAAACCAACAAAGATCAAAAGAGACAAGGCCATTACATAATGGTAAAGGGATCAATTCAACAAGAAGAGCTAACTATCTTAAATATATATGCACCCAATACGGGAGCACCCAGATTCATAAAGCAAGTCCTTAGAGACCTGCAAAGAGACTTAGACTCCCACACAATAATAATGGGAGACTTTAACACCCCACTGTCAATATTAGACAGGTCAACGAGACAGAGGGTTAACAAGGATATCCAGGACTTGAACTCAGCTCTGCACCAAGCAGACCTAATAGACATCTACAAAACTCTCCACCCAAATCAACAATATACATTCTTCTCAGCACCACATCGCACTTATTCTAAAATTGACCACATAATTGGAAGTAAAGTACTCCTCAGCAAATGTAAAAGAACAGAAATCACAACAAACTGTCTCTCAGACCACAGTGCAACCAAATTAGAATTCAAGATTAAGAAACTCACTCAAAACCGCTCAACTACATGGAAACTGAACAACCTGCTCCTGAATGACTACTAGGTAAATAACAAAATGAAGGCAGAAATAAAGATGTTCTTTGAAACCAATCAGAACAAAGACACAGCGTACCAGAATCTCTGGGACACATTTTAAGCAGTGCATAGAGGGAAATTTATAGCACTAAATGCCCACAAGAGAAAGCAGGGAAGGTCTAAAATCAACACCCTAACATCACAATTAAAGTAACTAGAGAAGCAAGAGCAAACAAATTCAAAAGCTAGCAGAAGGCAAGAAATAACTAAGATCAGAGAAGAACTGAAAGAGTTAGAGACACAAAAAAACACTTCAAGAAATCAATAAATCCAGGAGCTGGTTTTTTGAAAAGATTAACAAAATTGATAGACCACTAGCATTGCGACAAATAAAGAAAAAAAGAGAGAAGAATCAAATAGATGCAATAAAAAATGATAAAGGGGGGCTATCACCACCAATCCCACAGAAATACAAACTACCATCAGAGAATACTAGAAACACCTCTATGCAAATAAACTAGAAAATGTAGAAGAAATGGATAAATTCCTGGACACATACACCCTCCCAAGTCTAAACCAGGAAGAAGTTGAATCTCTGAATATACTAATAACAGGCTTTGAAATTGAGGCAATAATTAATAGCCTACCAACCAAAAAAAGTCCAGGACCAGAGAGATTCACAGCCGAATTCTACCAGAGGTACAAAGAGGAGCTGGTACCGTTCCTTCTGAAATTATTCCAATCAATAGAAAAAGAGGGAATCCTCCCTAACTCATTTTATGAGGCCAGCATCATCCTGATACCAAAGGCTGGCAGAGACACTACAATAAAAGATAATTTTATACCAATATCCCTGATGAACATTGCTGCAAAAATCCTCAATAAAACACTGGCAAACTGAATCCAGCAGCACATCAAAAAGCTTATCCACCATGATCAAGTTGGCTTCATCCCTGGAATGCAAGGCTGGTTCAACATTCACAAATCAATAAACGTAATCCATCACATAAACAGAACCAAAGACAAAAACCACATGATTATCTCAATAGATGCAGAAAAGGCCTTTGACAAAAATTCAACAACGCTTCATGCTAAAAACTTTTAATAAATTTGCTATTGATGGGACGTATCTCAAAATAATAAGAGCTATCTATGACAAACCCACAGCCAATATCATCCTGAATGGGCAAAAACTGGAAGCATTCCCTTTGAAAACTGGCACAAGACAGGGATGCCCTCTCTCACCACTCCTACTCAACATAGTGTTGGAAGTTCTGGCCTGGGCAATTAGGCAGGACAAGGAAATAAAGTGTATTCAATTAGGAAAAGACGAAGTCAAATTGTCCCTGTTTGCAGATGACATGATTGCATATCTAGAAAACCCCATTGTCTCAGCCCAAAATCTCCTTAAGCTGATAAGCAACTTCAGCAAAGTTTCAGGATACAAAATCAATGTTCAAAAATCACAAGCATTCTTATACACCAATAACAGACAAACAGAGAGCCAAATCATGAGTGAACTCCCATTCACAATTGCTTCAAAGAGAATAAAATACCTAGGTATCCAACTTACAAGGGACGTGAAGGACCTCTTCAAGGAGAACCACAAATCACTGCTCAATGAAATAAAAGAAGATACAAACAAATGGAAGAACATTCCATGCTCATGGCTAGGAAGAATCAATATCATGAAAATGGCCATACTGTCCAAGGTAATTTATAGATTCAATGCCATCCACATCAAGCTACCAATGACTTTCTTCACAGAATTGGGAAAAACTACTTTAAAGTTCATATGGAACCAAAAAAGAGCCCGCATCACCAAGACAATCCTAAGCCAAAAGAACAAAGCTGGAGGCATCACACTACCTGACTTCAAACTATACTACAAGGCTACAGTAACCAAAACAGCATGGTACTGGTACCAAAACGGAGATATAGATCAATGGAACAGAACAGAGCCCTCAGTAATAACGCCGCATATCTACAACTATCTGATCTTTGACAAACCTGAGAAAAACAAGCAATGGGGAAAGGATTCCCTATTTAATAAATGGTGCTGGGAAAACTGGCTAGCCATATGTAGAAAGCTGAAACTGGATCCCTTCCTTACACCGTATACAAAAATTAATTCAAGATGGATTAAAGACTTAAACGTTATACCTAAAACCATAAAAACCCTAGAAGAAAACCTAGGCATTGCCATTCAGGACATAGGCGTGGGCAAGGACTTCATGTCTAAAACGCCAAAAGCAATGGCAACAAAAGCCAAAATTGACAAATGGGATCTAATTAAACTAAAGAGCTTCTGCACAGCAAAAGAAACTACCATCAGAGTGAACAGGCAACCTACAAAATGGGAGAAAATTTTCGCAACCTACTCATCTGACAAAGGGCTAATATCCAGAATCTATAAAGAACTCAAACAAATTTACAAGAAAAAAACAAACAACCCCATAAAAAAGTGGGTGAAGGACATGAACAGACACTTCTCAAAAGAAGACATTTATGCAGCCAAAAAACACATGAAAAAATGCTCACCATCACTGGCCATCAGAGAAATGCAAATCAAAACCACAATGGGATACCATCTCACACCAGTTAGAATGGCAATCATTAAAAAGTCAGGAAACAATAGGTGCTGGAGAGGATGTGGAGAAATAGGAACACTTTTACACTGTTGGTGGGACTGTAAACTAGTTCAACCATTGTGGAAGTCAGTGTGGAGATTCCTCAAGGATCTAGAACTAGAAATACCATTTGACCCAGCCATCCCATTACTGGGTATATACCCAAAGGAATATAAGTCATGCTGCTATAAAGACACATGCACACGTATGTTTATTGAGGCACTATTCACAATAGCAAAGACTTGGAACCGAGCCAAATGTCCAACAATGATAGACTGGATTAAGAAAATGTGGCACATATACACCATGGAATACTATGCAGCCATAAAAAATGGTGAGTTCATGTCCTTTGTAGGGACATGGGTGAAATTGGAAATCATCATTCTCAGTAAACCATCACAAGAACAAAAAAACCAAACACCGCGTATTCTCACTCATAGGTGGGAATTGAACAATGAGAACACATGGACACAGAAAGGGGAACATCACACTCTGGGGACTGTTGTGGGGTGGGGAGAGGCGGGAGGGATAGCATTGGGAGATATACCTAATGCTAAATGACGAGTGAATGGGTGAAGCACACCAGCATGGCACATGTATACATATGTAACTAACCTGCACATTGTGCACATGTACCCTAAAACTTAAAGTATAATAATAATAAAATAAAATTTCAAAAAAAGGAAATTGAAATTATATCAAGCACTCTCTCATACCACAGTGGAATAAAACTGGAAATCAATTCCAAAAACAGCTACAAAACCATGCAAATATATGGAAATTAAATAACCTGTTCCTGAATGATCATTGGGTCAAAAATGAAATCAAGATGGAAATTAAAAAATTATTCGAACTTAACAACAATAGTGACACAACCTATCAAAACCTCTGGGATAAAGCAAAGGCAGTGCTAACAGGAAAGTTCATACCCCTAAATGCCTACATCAAAAAGACTGAAAGAGCACAAATTGACATGCTAATGTCACAGCTCAAGGGACTAGAGAAACAAGAACCAAATCCAAACCCAGCAGAAGAAACCTTAGAAATAACACCACACATCTACAACCATCTGATCTTTGACAAAGCTGAAAAAAGCAAGCAATAGGGAAAGCATTCCCTATTTAATAAATGGTGCTGGGAAAACTGGCCAGCCATATGCAGGAGGTTGAAACTGGATCCTTTTCTTAACCTTATACAAAAATCAACTCGAGATGGATTAAAGACTTAAACACAAGACCTAAAACCATAAAAACCCTAGAAGAAAACCTAGACAGTACCATTCAGGACATAGGGATGAGCAAAGGCTTCATGACTAAAACACCAAAAGCAATGGCAGCAAAAGCCAAAATTGACAAATGGGATCTAATTAAACTAAAGAGCTTCTGCACAGCAAAAGAAACTGTCATCAGAGTGAACAGGCAACCTACAGAATCGGAGAAAAATGTTGCAATCTATCCGTCTGACAAAGGGCCAATATCCAGAATCTACAAAGAACTTAAACACATTTACAAGAAAAAAACCAAACAACCCCATCAAAAAGTAGGCGAAGGATATGAACAGACACTTCTCAGAAGAAGACGTTTATGCAGCCAACAAACATATGAAAAAAAGCTCGTCATCACTGGTCATTAGAGAAATGCAAATCAAAACCACAATGAGATACCATCTCACGCCAGTTAGAATGGCAATCATTAAAAAGTCAGGAAAAAACAGGTGCTAGAGAGGATGTGGAGAAATGGAACACTTTTACACTGTTGGTGGGACTGTAAACTAGTTCAACCCTTGTGGAAGACAGTGTGGTGATTCCTCAAGGATCTAGAACTAGAAATATCATTTGTCCCAGCAATCCCATTACTGGGTATACACCCAAAGGATTATAAATCATGCTGCTATAAAGACACATGCACATGTATGTTTATTGCAGCACTATTTACAATAGCAAAGACTTGGAACCAACCCAAATGTCCATCAATGATAGACTGGATTAAGAAAATGTGGCACATATACACCATGGAATACTATGCAGTCATAAAAAGGGATGAGTTCATGTCCTTTGTAGGGACATGGATGAAGCTGGAAACCATCATTCTCAGCAAACTAACACAAGGACAGAAAACCAAACACTGCATGTTCTCATAAGTGGAAGTTCAACAATGAGAACACATGGACGGGGGGGTGGGCATCACACACCTGGGCCTGTCGGCGGGGGATGTGGGGGAGGGATAGCATTAGGAGAAATACCTAATGTAGATGACGGGTTGATGGGTACAGCAAATCACCATGGCACGTGTATACCTATATAACAAACCTGCACATTCTGCACATGTACTCCAGAACTTAAAGTGTGATAAAAAAAGAAAATAACCAAGATCAGAGCAGAATTAAATGAAATTGAAACAAAAAAATACAAAAGATAAATGAAACAAAAAGCTGGTTCTTTGAAAAGATAAATAAAATTGATATACCATTAGCAAGATTAACCGAGAAAATAAGAGAGAAAATCCAAATAAGCTCATTAAGAAATGAAATGGGAGATATTACAACTGACACCACAGATATACAAACGATCATGTAACGCTACTATGAACACCTTTACACACATACACTAGAAAACCTAGAAGAGATGGATAAATTCCTGGAAAAATACAACCCTCCTAACTTAAATCAGGAAGAATTAGATACCCTGAACAGACCAATAACAAGCAGAGAGATTGAAGATATTAGTCAAAGGGCACAAAATTTCAGTTATACAAGATGGATACATCTCAGAGACTTGTTGTATAGCATAGTGCCCTTAGTTAGCAATACTGTATTGCAAACTTAAAAATTTGTTAAGATGATAGGTCTTATTTTTATTGCACACACACACACACCAAATAATAAGTAAAAAGGCCAGTGGAAACTATTGGAGGTGATGGATATGTTTATGGCCTAGATTGTGATGATGATTACATGGGTGTATACTTGTCTTCAAACTCATTGTAGTTGTATACATTAAATATGTCCTATAAATAGTTTTTTATATGTCAGTTATATCTTAATAGTTTTCAAAAAGTCATTATATAACAGCAAGCTTATATAATTTTGTTTTATAAAAAATCTATATTTATATCTATGCACATATGAAAGATAGAATATTATACATCGATATAGTGGAATTGCTAGAAATATTTTCACTATGTTCTATGTGCTTTTTTATGTTTTAAGAATTTTGTAAGCTAACACTTTAAATGTGCTCAGAACACTTAACATTAGCTTACTGTTGGGCGAAATTATCTAACACAAAGCTTATTTTATAATAAAGTGTTGAATAGCTCATGTAATGTATTTAATACTGTACTGAAAATAAAAAACATTAAAGAGAAAAATTAAGCATGGATGGAAGGGGGAACAATTCTCATTCATGTGCAGAAGAATAGTGTACTTGTTCATGGCTGCTTTAGTTTTATAGTTTCAACAGTGAAACCACTGCAGACAACCTAAATGTTCATTTTCTTTTTATTATACTTTAAGTTTTAGGGTACATGTGCACAACGTGCAGGTTAGTTACACATGTATACATGTGCCATATTGGTGTGCTGCACCCAGTAACTCGTCATTTAACATTAGGTATGTCTCCAAATGCTATCCCTCCCCCCTCCCCCCACCCCACAACAGGCCCTGGTGTGTGATGTTCCCCTTCCTGTGTCCATGTGTTCTCATGGTTCAATTCCCACCTATGAGTGAGAACACGCAGTGTTTGGTTTTTTGTCCTTGCGATAGTTTGCTGAGAATGATGGTTTCTAGCTTCATCCATGTCCCTACAAAGGACATGAACTCATCCTTTTTCATGGCTGCATAGTATTCCATGGTGTATATGTGCCACATTTTCTTAATTCAGTCTACCATTGTTGGACATTTGGCTTGGTTCCAAGTCCTTGCTATTGTGAATAGTGCCTCAATAAACATACGTGTGCATGTGTCTTTATAGCAGCATGATTTATAATCCTTTGGGTATATACCCAGTAATGGGATGGCTGGGTCAAATGGTATTTCTAGTTCTAGATCCTTGAGGAATCTCCACACTGACTTCCACAATGGTTGAACTAGTTTACAGTCCCACCAACAGTGTAAAAGTGTTCCTATTTCTCCACATCCTCTCCAGCACCTGTTGTTTCTGGACTTTTTAATGATCTCCATTCTAACTGGTGTGAGATGGTATCCCATTGTGGTTTTGACTTGCATTTCTCTGATGGCCAGTGGTGATGAGCATCTTTTCATGTGTCTTTTGGCTGCATAAATGTCTTCTTTTGAGAAGTGTCTGTTCATATCCTTTGCCCACTCTTTGATGGGTTTGGTTTTTTCTTGTAAATTTGTTTGAGTTCTTTGTAGATTCTGGATATTAGCCCTTTGTCAGATGGGTAGATTGCAAAAATTTTCTCCCGTTCTGTAGGTTGCCTGTTCACTCTGATGGTAGTTTCCTTTGCTGTGCAGAAGCTCTTTAGATTAATTAGATCCCACTTGTCTATTTTGGCTTTTGTTGCCATTGCTTTTGGTGTTTTAGTCATGAAGTCCTTGCCCATGCCTATGTCCTGAATGGTATTGCCTAGGTTTTCTTCCAGGGTTTTTATGGTTTTACATCTAACATTTAAGTCTTTAATCCATCTTGAATTAATTTTTGTATAAGGTGTAAGGAAAGGATCTAGTTTCAGCTTTCTGCACATGGCTAGCCAGTTTTCCCAGCACCATTTATTAAATAGGGAATCCTTTCCCCATTGCTTGTTTTTCTCAGGTTTGTCAAAGATCAGATGGTTGTAGATGTGTGGTGTTATTTCTGAGCCCTCTGTTCTGTTCCATTCGTCTATATCTCTGTTTTTTTTTACCAGTACTATGCTGTTTTGGTTACTGTAGGCTTGTAGTATAATTTGAAGTCAGGTAACGTGATGCCTCCAGCTTTGTTCTTTTGGTTTAGGATTGACTTGGCGATGTGGGCTCTTTTTTGGTTCCATATGAACTTTAAAGTAGTTTTTCCCAATTCTGTGAAGAAAGTCATTGGTAGCTTGATGTGGATGGCATTGAATCTATAATTTACCTTGGGCAGTATGGCCATTTTCTCGATATTGATTCTTCCTAGCCATGAGCATGGAATGTTATTCCATTTGTTTGTATCCTCTTTTATTTCATTGAGCAGTGGTTTGTAGTTCTCCTTGAAGAGGTCCTTCATGTCCATTGTAAGTTGGATTCCTCGGTATTTTATTCTTTTTGAAGCTATTGTGAATGGGAGTTCACTCATGATTTGGCTCTCTGTTTGTCTGTTATTGGTGTATAAGAATGCTTGTGATTTTTGAATACTGATTTTGTATTCTGAAACTTTGCTGAAGTTGCTTATCAGCTTAAGGAGATTTTGGGCTGAGACAATAGGGTTTTCTAGATATACAATCATGTCATCTGCAAACAGGGACAATTTGACTTCCTCTTTTCCTAACTGAATACCATTTATTTCCTTTTCCTGCCTGATTGCCCTGGCCAGAACTTCCAACACTATGTTGAATAGGAGTGGTGAGAGAGGGCATTCCTGTCTTGTGCCAGTTTTCAAAGGGAATGCTTCCAGTTTTTGCCCCTTCAGTATGATATTGGCTGTGCATTTGTCATAGATAGCTCTTATTATTTTGAGATACATCCCATCAATACCTAATTTATTGAGAGTTTCTAGCATGAAGGGTTGTTGAATTTTGTCAAAGGCCTTTTCTGCCTCCATTGAGATAATCATATGGTTTTTGTCGTTGGTTATGTTTATATGCTGGATTATGTTTATTGATTTGCATATGTTGAACCAGCCTTGCATCCCAGGGATGAAGCCCACTTGATCATGGTGGATAAGCTTTTTGATGTGCTGCTGGATTCAGTTTGCCAGTATTTTATTGAGGATTTCTGCACCAATGTTCATCAGGGATATTGGTCTAAAATTATCTTTTATGGTAGTGTCTCTGCCAGCCTTTGGTATCAGGATGATGCTGGCCTCATAAAATGGGTTAGGGAGGATTCCCTCTTTTTCTATTGATTGGAATGCTTTCAGAAGGAATGGTACCAGCTTCTCCTTGTACCTCTGGTAGAATTTGGCTGTGAATCCATCTGGTCCTGGACTTTTTTTGATTGGTAAGCTATTAATTATTGCCTCTATTTCAGAGCCCATTTTTGGTCTATTCAGCGATTCAACTTCTTCCTGGTTTAGTCTTGGGAGGGTGTAGGTGTCAAGGAATTTATGCCTTTCTTCTAGATTTTCTAGTTTACTTGCATAGAGGTGTTTCTAGTATTCTCTGATGGTAGTTTGTATTTCTGTGGGATCGGTGTTGATATCCCCTTTATCATTTTTTATTGCATCTATTTGATTCTTCTCTCTTTGCTTCTTTATTAGTCTTGCTAGCAGTCTATCAGTTTTGTTGATCTTTTCAAAAAACCAGCTCCTGGATTCATTGATTTTTTGAAGGGTTTTTTATGTCTCTATTTCCTTCAGTTCCTTTCTGATCTTAGTTATTTCTTGCCTTCTGCTAGCTTTTGAATTTGTTTGCTCTTGCTTCTCTAGTTCTTTTAATTGTGATGTTAGGGTGTCAGTTTTAGATCTTTCCTGCTCTCTCTTGTGGGCATTTAGTGTCATAAATTTCCCTCTACACACTGCTTTGAATGTGTCCCAGAGATTCTGGTATGTTGTGTCTTTGTTCTCATTGGTTTCAAAGAACATCTTTATTTCTGCCTTCATTTTGTTATGTACCCAGTAGTCATTCAGGAGCAGGTTGTTCAGTTTCCAAGTATTTGAGTGGTTTTGAGTGAGTTTCTTAATCCTGAGTTCTAGTTTGATTGCACTGTGGTCTGAGAGACAGTTTGTTATAATTTCTGTTCTTTTACATTTGCTGAGGAGTGCTTTACTTCCAACTATGTGGTCAATTTTGGAATAAGTGCAGTGTGGTGCTGAGAAGAATGTATATTCTGTTGATTTGGGGTGGAGAGTTCTGTAGATGTCTATTAGGTCCTCTTGGTGCAGAGCTGAGTTCAATTCCTGGAAATCCTTGTTAACTTTCTGTCTTGTTGGTCTGTCTAATGTTGACAGTGGGGTGTGAAAGTCTCCCATTATTATTGTGTGGGAGTCTAAGTCTCTTTGTAGGTCACTCAGGACTTGCTTTATGAATCTGGGTGCTCCTGTTTTGGGTGCATATATATTTAGGATAGTTAGCTCTTCTTGTTGAATTGATCCCTTTACCATTATGTAATGGCCTTCTTTGCCTCTTTTGATCTTTGTTGGTTTAAAGTCTGTTTTATCAGAGACTAGGATTGCAACCCCTGACTTTTTTTGTTTTCCATTTGCTTGGTGGATCTTCCTCCATCCCTTTATTTTGAGCGTATGTGTGTCTCTGCATGTGAGATGGGTTTCCTGAATACAACACACTGATGGGTCTTGACTCTTTATCCAATTTGCCAGTCTGTGTCTTTTAATTGGAGCATTTAGCCCATTTACATTTAAGGTTAATATGGTTATGTGTGAATTTGATCCTGTCATTATGATGTTAGCTGTTATTTTGCTTGTTAGTTGATGCAGTTTCTTCCTAGTCTCGATGGTCTTTACAATTTGGCATGTTTTTCAAGTGGCTGGTACCAATTGTTCCTTTCCATGTTTAGTGCTTCCTTCAGGAGCTCTTCTTGTAGGGCAGGCCTGGTGGTTATAAAATCTCTCAGCATTTGCTTGTCTATAAAGTATTTTATTTCTCCTTCACTTATGAAGCTTAGTTTGGCTGGATATGAAATTCTGGGTTGAAAACTCTTTTCTTTAAGAATGTTGAATATTGGCCCCCACTCTCTTCTGGCTTGTAGAGTTTCTGCCGAGAGATCCACTGTTAGTCTGATGGGCTTCCCTTTGTGGGTAACCCGACCTTTCTCTCTTGCTGCCCTTAACATTTTTTCCTTGATTTCAACTTTGGTGAATCTGACAATTATGTGTCTTGGAGTTACTCTTCTCGAGGAGTATCTTTGTGGCATTCTATTTCCTGAATTTGAATGTTGGCCTGCCTTGCTAGATTGGGGAAGTTCTCCTGGATAATATCCTGCAGAGTGTTTTCCACCTTGGTTCCATTCTCCCTGTCACTTTCAGGTACACCAATCAGACGAAGATTTGGTCTTTTCACATAGTCCCATATTTCTTGGAGGCTTTGTTCATTTGTTTTTATTCTTTTTTCTCTAAACTTCTCTTCTCGCTTCATTTCATTCATTTCATCTTCCATCACTGATACCCTTTCTTCCAGTTGATCGAATTGGCTACTGAGGCTTGTGCATTTGTCACATAGTTCTCATGCCTTGGTTTTCAGCTCCATCAGAATTCCTTTAAGGACTTCTCTGCATTGGTTATTCTAGTTGGCCATTCGTCTAATTTTTTTTCAAGGTTTTTAAATTCTTTGCCATGGGTTCGAACTTCCTCCTTTAGCTCAGAGTAGTTTGATCGTCTGAAGCCTTCTCTCAACTCATCAAAGTCATTCTCCATCCAGCTTTGTTCCATTGCTGGTGAGGAGCTGTCTTCCTTTGGAGGAGGAGAGGCACTCTGATTTTTAGAGTTTCCAGTTTTTCTGCTCTGTTTTTCCCCCATCTTTGTGGTTTTATCTACCTTTGGTCTTTGATGATGGTGACGTACAGTTGGGGTTTTGGTGTGGATGTCCTTTCTGTTTGTTAGTTTTCCTTCTAACAGTCAGGACCCTCAGCTGCAGGTCTATTGGAGTTTGCTCGAGGTCCACTCCAGACCCTGTTTGCCTGGGTATCAGCAGTGGAGGCTGCACAACAGCGGAGATTGGTGAACAGCAAATGTTGCTGCCTGATCGTTCCTCTGGAAGTTTTGTCTCAGAGGAGTACCCAGCTGTGTGAGGTGTCAGTCTGCCCTACTGGGGAGTGCCTCCCAGTTAGGCTACTCGGGGGTCAGGGACCCACTTGAGAAGGCAGTCTGTCTGTTCTCAGATCTCCAGCTGCGTGCTGGGAGAAACACTACTCTCTTCAAAGCTGTCATACAGGGACATTTAAGTCTGTAGAGGATTCTGCTGCCTTTTGTTTGGCAATGCCCTCCCCCAGAGGTGGAGTCTACAGAGGCAGGCAGGCCTCTTGAGCTGTGGTAGCCTCCACCCAGTTCATGTTTCCTGGCTGCTTTGTTTACCTACTCAAACCTCGGCAATGGAGGGTGCCCCTCCCCCAGCCTCGCTGCCGCCTTGCAGTTTTATCTCAGACTGCTGTACTAGCAATGTGTGAGGCTCCGTGGTCATAGGACCCTCTGAGCCATGCATGGGATATAATCTCCTGGTGTGCCATTTGCTAAGACTGTTGGAAAAGCGCAGTATTAGGGTCGGAGTGACCCGATTTTCCAGGTGCCGTCTGTCACCCCTTTCTTTGACTAGGAAAGGGAATTCCCTGACCCTTTGCACTTCCCAGGTGAGGCAATGCCTTGCCCTGCTTTGGCTCATGCTCGGTGTGCTGCACCCACTTTCTGACACTCCCCAGTGAGATGAACCCGGTACCTCAGCTGGAAATGCAGAAATCACCTGTCTTCTGTGTCGCTCACGCTGGGAGCTGTAGACTGGAGCTGTTCCTATTCAGCCCCTAAATGTTCATTTTCATGAAAATGAATAAATATTGTGTGACATATTCACAGAATGGAATATTATGCAACAACAAAAACAAACAAACAAACAAAACAAAAAAAACCCCTCCAGAATGGTTGATGGGTACTGAAAGTACGATTTGTACTGGATGTATATTGCCTTTTGCACCATCATAAAGTTGAAAAGTTGTATGTCAAACCATCATAAGTTAAGGACCCTCTCTATATATATGGTGTATAATAGTGCTGGGCACATAGTAGGTGTTCAATAAATGTTGAATACATTTTCAAAAAGAATTTTGTTCAAACCAAATACTGCATGTTCTCACTTATAAGTGGGAGCTAAATGATGAGAACTCATGAATACAAAGAAGGAACAACCAACACTGGGGTCTACTTGAGGGTGAAGGGTGGAAGGAGGGAGAGGAGCAGAAAAGATGACTGTTGGGTACTGGGCTTAATACCTGGGTGATGAAATAATCTGTACAACAAACTCTCATGATACAAGTTTTCCTGTGTAACAAACCTTCACATGTACCCCAAACCTAAAATAAACGATTTAAAAAAATTTTTTTGTAAGCTGAATTTGAATTATGTTTTAATCAAAATAAGGCAACACATTATATTTTTTTTCCAGCAAAAGGAAAACATGAGGTGTGAGATGGAGGGATTCCTTTTGGCAAAGCCAACGCTCAGCTTAGGTGTGCCAGTTGTTGGGTAGGCAGAGGCCTAGGGGGAATAGTGAGAAGATAAAGAATGAAGAAATTCGACAAGCACTTTCTCTTGCTTCACACCTCTCTTTCCCTATTTATATGTCTTGATCTCTAGCAGCGACTGGGAAGAAAAATAATCCTTCTGACAACACATATTCAGACACATATGGTCAGCCTCATGAAGCTCTGGATACCCATGCTCATGACATTCTTCTGTACGGTGCTACTGTCTGTGCTGGGAGAAATGAGGAAGAAAAGATATGACAGTAGGTGGTGAGGCTGGATTAGGGGCCACAGGAGGGGGATGAGCTTGTTTCTGAACAAGGGAGGGGGTTTCATTGTCCGCTGTATCTGACTCAGGACCCACCTTCGTAGTATCACCCATCAGAGAATGACAATTTTGTATGCACAGAGATTCAAGAAATCCCTAAGCTGAGGTCCTTCAATGCTTCCTCTTTTAACCTTTAAAATAGCAATATCTGTCTATCTCTCTCTCTCTGTCTCTCTCTCTCTCTCTCTATATATATACAAACACATGTGTGTGTGTGTGTGTGTATATATACCATAAGCTATAAACATAAAAATATTTTCCAATGTTAGGCTGTCTTTGAGGGTCAGATGTCAGTATAGAGCTAATCCTGTAGCTCTATACTGGTATCCCTGTGCCCTAGCTGCATATACTTTGTCATATGAGTACCAAATGGGCATTTCTTAATACATACCCTTAGTTTCAGTGGCAAGGCTTTCAGAATGTGAAAAGTTAGGAAAGAGGCTTGAGATCCCTTCTTAGTGGGGCAACCTTGGGGGTCATATGATGAGAAAATGGGGTGAATAGAGGGGCTAAGAAAACTGAGTGAGAGAGATAAGAATTTGAAGAGAGGCTGAGTTATTAAACACAGAGTCAGCAAGTAGGGAAAGAAAAAGGGAGAGAATCTGTTTCTTACTTGACCTGGCCTAGCTCCCCACTCTGTGAAATAGGCATTGCAATGAGGCTACAAGATATGCCGGGCCCTGAGATCTCCTGTTATGTAAATGCAGATTTTATAGGAGGTTACATGAATGCTCCGGGTTGACTGAGTTTTATCGTTGGGATGCTCAGAGAGGGCCCAGAGGCCTGCAACACTGGTAAAGCCTGCAGAGGTCGAGAAGGAAAAGAAGTCAGTGAAGATGCAATAGGGTCAGTGAATGTATAATGACAGGAATTTGAGGAGGCTCATGAAGGCAATTCCCTTAAAAGGCAAATAGATATCTTGGTTGGAATTTGGGGCCCAGATTCCAGGAGGAACTGTTAAACGTATGAAAGGCCTTTCTTTCCGCTCTTGGCTGAAACATACCATCAACCTTTGACCATCTCATCTCAATTTCAGGGAAGGAATTGTTACTTGAAGAATGCTGGGGAAAGCCAAATGTCAAAGAATGTACCAATAAGTGTTCTAAAGCCTTTAGATGTAAAGACAAAAATTACACATGCTGCTGGACCTATTGTGGAAACATCTGCTGGATAAACGTCGTGAGTTGGGAGATGTTTGCTTGGGTGTATATCTTCACTGATTCTCATTCCCTTCTCGGAGGCTGTTATTCCTAAACAGAAGACTGAGGTACCCCAAATTCTAGGTACAAAAATAACAGAAGACAATGTCCCTTTAACTTGGAAAGCAATTCACTGGCGAGTAAATCAAGACACCAGCTTAGACCCCATTGTTTCTTTCATTATATAATCAATACCTGTCTGTGTTGTCTTCTTTGTATTACACCATAGTTTGCTATTTTTCCTAAATTTGTCCAGATTTCTAACCACTGCTTCCATAGTCAGACTTTCCCATGGGCCATTTGGCTCAGCCAGGCCCAAAGTCTCCACCTTTTTTTGTCCAATACCTCACCTACTCAGAAGTGGACAACTCCTGTTGTTACGTTAAAGTATTCTTGTCCCATTGTCTGGTGAACATGGATACTATTAAGCAGGGGGAATGAATGCTTGTTTCTCAGAGTTCTCTAGCCTCTAAAAATCTAACCTTTTTGTTTTACAGGAAACCAGTGGAGATTACTAAAACCGTAGCTTCCCACCAGGCTGCCACCTGTGTGGGCTGGGAAATGTTTAAGAGGTCTCATAGTAGTACCCTGTGGCTACTTTTAGGAACACCAGTCTATTTTTACTGAGAGCTGGACAACAGCAAACACTTGACAAATAAACTTATTTACCAGTAGTGGCCTTGCCTTTTTTCAGCTCATCCCACCACCCATGAGTACCCTTATTACAAATCCCCAGTATTGTTCCTCTCCTACATTGTAGACTACCTTCCAACTTTTGCTGTCCCATCTGATAAGCTTAGAACTGATAAGCTAATTTCATGGGCTTCACAGAACAGAATTTTATTTCTGTCCCATTTTTAATGTGGGGAATTTTCAGTAGCACTTTCACTCAGTTGTTTAGAGAGCAGGTGTCTGGTAAATGGTTTCTCACAGAGATATGGATAAACAATTCTAAAACTACTTTCCATATATACAAGTTTAAACAAATAAGTAAATAACTGGAAGATAATTTGAGTAAGGTTTCTAATTGTCAGAAGAAAGAAATTACAAATAGGCTGACCTCAGCAGCCCCAGGCTCCAGGTCTGCCTAGTAGACTTGATCTCTGGGTCTGCTCTAGTGCCAGCTCAACCCTAGCGGCCCCAGTGGCAGACAGGCCCCAGCAGTCCTAGCTTCAGGCTAGCCCCAACAGAGTCATGTTCTAAGCCCATCCCAGGGCCAGGCAGACCCCAAGGCCCTAAGCTCTGGACCTTCTCCAGCACTGGGCTGGCCCTCATAGCTTCAGGCTTCAAGTCTACCTCAGCACCAGGTTGATTTCCACAGCCCTACTCCTCAGACCAGCATGTGCAGACTCAGCCTCCAGGCCAGGCCCTACAAATACAAGATCCAGGACCACTCAGTACTAAGCCAACCCCCGTGGCCTCAGGCTTCCCACCCATTCCAGTGCCAGATCAGCATCCCTGGCCTTAAACACCAGGAAGATACCTACAGACACAGGCTCAGGCCTGCACAGTGCCAGGCCAGTCTCCATAGCACCACCCTCCATTTGACTGAAGGTCCAAGAGTCTCAGTAGACTCCAGAGCTGGACCAGGCTTCTTGGCTCTAGGCTCCAGGACAGCTCCAGTGACTCTAGGCACCAGGTCAGTGCCCATGATCTTGAGGCTCCAGACCAGCCCTTGTGAACCAAACTCCACACTAGCCCCAGTACCAGGTTGACTGTAGGCTCCAGGCCAGTCCATGTGCACCCAAGGCCCAGTGAACCCAGAGTCCAGGCCTGATATAGCAGATCCAGGGTCCAGGCCCACCCCAGTAGAACTCAGTTCTAGGCCGGATCCCATAGGCTGAGGCTCCAAGAACACCCCTGCAGACATAAGCTCCAGGACAGCCCTGAGGTACTCAGGCTCCAGACCCATCTCAATAGTCCCAGGTGCCATCCCCCTCCCAGAACTTGGCCAGACCCTGTAGATTCAGGCTCACGGTCCATCCCAGAGCCAGGTTAGCTCCTGTGTACCCAGGCATGAGGCTGGCCTTCACTGATACAAGGTCCAGGCCTGCCTTCTTGAACCCTGGCTCCAACACCATTCCTGCAGACCCAATCAACAAATTCACCCCAGTGGATCCAGCCTTCAGGCCCAACCCTGTGGACTCAAGCACCAGGCCCACCCACCTCCTGACCCAGGAACCAGGCCAGCCTGCCTGAGGACTCTAGCAGCAAGTATGACCTGGGATCATGCCAGATGGCCTCTCCCGAACCTCCGGATGACTGATAAAGGGCTTCCCCAGAAAAAACTAGTCTTCAAAGACTGAAATGTCCTTATTTCTTCAAATGCACACACATTAATGTAAGGCAATAACAAAAAAAAATACAAGGAGAACACCAAAGAATACAGTGATCTCTCCTCTCTCCTCTCTCCTCTCTCCTCTCTCTCCCCTCTCCCCTCTCCCCACGGTCTCCCTCTCCCTCTCTTTCCACGGTCTCCCTCTGATGCCGAGCCGAAGCTGGACTGTACTGCTGCCATCTCGGCTCACTGCAACCTCCCTGCCTGATTCTCCTGCCTCGGCCTGCCGAGTGCCTGCGATTGCAGGCGCGCGCCGCCACGCCTGACTGGTTTTCGTATTTTTTTGGTGGAGACGGGGTTTCACTGTGTTGGCCGGGCTGGTCTCCAGCTCCTAACCGCGAGTGATCTGCCAGCCTCGGCCTCCCGAGGTGCCGGGATTGCAGACGGAGTCTCGTTCACTCAGTGCTCAATGGTGCCCAGGCTGGAGTGCAGTGGCGTGATCTCGGCTCGCTACAACCTCCACCTCCCAGCAGCCTGCCTTGGCCTCCCAAAGTGCCGAGATTGCAGCCTCTGCCCGGCCGCCACCCCGTCTGGGAAGTGAGGAGCGTCCTGCCTGGCTGCCTATCATCTGGGATGTGAGGAGCCCCTCTGCCTGGCTGCCCAGTCTGGAAAGTGAGGAGCGTCTCTGCCCAGCCGCCATCCCATCTAGGAAGTGAGGAGCTCCTCTTCCCGGCCGCCATCCCATCTAGGAAGTGAGGAGTGTCTCTGCCCGGCCGCCCATCATCTGAGATGTGGGGAGCGCCTCTGCCCAGCCGCGACCCCATCTAGGAAGTGAGGAGCGTCTCTGCCCGGCCGCCCCGTCTGAGAAGTGAGGAGACCCTCCGCCTGGCAACCGTCCCATCTGAGAAATGAGGAGCCCCTCCGCCCGGCAACCACACCGTCTGGGAAGTGAGGAGCGTCTCCACCCGGCCAGCCGCCCCACCCGGGAGGGAGGTGGGGGGGTCAGCCCCCCGCCCGGCCAGCCACCCCGTCCGGGAAGGAGGTGGGGGGGTCAGCGCCCCGCCTGGCCAGCTGCCCCGTCTGGGAGGTGAGGGGCGCCTCTGCCCAGCCGCCCCTACTGGGAAGCGAGAAGCCCCTCTGCCCGGCCAGCCGCCCTGTCCGGGAGGGAGGTGGGGGGGTCAGCCCCCCGCCCGGCCATCCGCCCCGTCCGGGAGGTGAGGGGCGTCTCCGCCCGGCCGCCCCTACTGGGAAGTGAGGAGCCCCTCTGCCCGGCCATCCGCCCCGTCCGGGAGGGAGGTGGGGGGGTCAGCCCCCCACCCGACCAGCCACCCCGTCCGGGAGGTGAGGGGCGCCTCTGCCCGGCTGCCCCTACTGGGAAGTGAGGAGCCCCTCTGCCCGGCCGCCACCCCGTCTGGGAGGTGTACCCAACAGCTCATTGAGAACGGGCCATGACGACAATGGCGGTTTTGTGGAATAGAAAGGGGGGAAAGGTGGGGAAAAGATTGAGAAATCGGATGGTTGCCGTGTCTGTGTAGAAAGAAGTAGACATGGGAAACTTTTCATTTTGTTCTGTACTAAGAAAAATTCTTCGGCCTTGGGATCCTGTTGATCTGTGACCTTACCCCCAACCCTGTGCTCTCTGAAACATGTGCTGTGTCCACTCAGGGTTAAATGGATTAAGGGTGGTGCAAGATGTGCTTTGTTAAACAGATGCTTAAAGGCAGCGTGCTCATTGAGAGTCATCACCACTCCCTAATCTCAAGTACCCAGGGACACAAACACTGCGGAAGGCCGCAGGGTCCTCTGCCTAGGAAAACCAGAGACCTTTGTTCACTTGTTTATCTGCTGACCTTCCCTCCACTATTGTCCTATGACCCTGCCAAATCCCCCTCTGTGAGAAACACCCAAGAATGATCAATAAAAAAAAAAAAAAGAAAAAAAAAAAGAATACAGTGATCTCTTAGTAGCTGATACCAAAGGAATGGAGATATATGAACTGCCTGACAGACAATTCAAAATAATTGTTTTAAGGAAACTCAGTGAACTTCAAGAAAATACAGAGAAACAATTCAATCAAATCAGGCAAACAATAAAATGACCAAAATGATAAATTTAATGAGAGATTGAAATTATAGAACATATCAAACAGAAATCAAATATCAAACTGGAGCTAAAAAATACAATGAAATGAAAAATGGAATAGATAAGAAATTGAGCAGAAGAAAGCATTTGTGAACTTAAAGATAGGTTATTTGAAAATATACAGTCAGAGGAGAAAAAGAGAATGAGAAGGAATAAAGAAAACTTATAAGATTGCTGGGTGTAGTGGCTCATACCTGTAATCCCAGCATTTTGGGAGGCTGAGGTGGGAGTATCACTTGAGCCCAGGAGTTTGAGACTAGCCTGGGCAACAAAGTGAGACCCATGCCCTCTACAAAAAAAATTAGCTGGGCATGGTGGCTTGCATCTGTAGTCCCAGCTCCAGCTGCTTGGGGGGCTGAGGTGGGAGTGTCACTTGAGCCTGGGAGGTCAAGGCTGCAGTGAGCCATGATTGTGCCACTGCACTCCAGCCTGGGTGACAGAACTGAGGCCCTGTCTCAAAAACAAGCAAGCCCCAAGCAAGCAAACAAACAAAACTCAACAACAACAAAAAGGAAAGCTGACAGGGTTTATGGGACAGCATCAAAAGATCAAATACCAAGTTATGGGAGTTCATGAAGGAGAAGAGAAAGACAAAGGGGTAGAAAAGTTATTTAAAGAAATATTAGCAGAAAAATTTCCAAATTGGGAGACAAATATAAATATCCAGGTACAGGAAGGTCAAAATTGTCCAATGAAATTCAATCTAAACAAGACTACACCAGGACATTTGATAACCAAACTGTCAAAAATCAAGGACAAAGAGAGGATCCTGAAAGCAGCAAAAGAAAATAAAAAAATCTCACATAATAAAGTTCCAATAAGGTTAGTAGCAGATTTCTTGGCAGACCTTACATGCCAGGAGCGAGTGGGATGATATATTTAAAATGCTGGAGGAAAAAAACCTGTCAAGCCCAAATACTACACCCTGCAAAGCTATCCTTCAGAAATGAAGGAGAGATAAAGACATTCCAAGACAAACAAAAGCTGAGGGAGTTCACCATCACCAGGCTGATTTTACAAGAAATACTAAAGGGAATATTCAAGCTTAAAGTAAAATATACTAATTAGCAACATAAAACATATAAAACTTAACGGTCAAAGTAAGAACACAGTCAAATTCAGAATACTCTAATACTGAATGGTGGTGTGCAAATCACATATATCTTTAGTACGAAGGTTGAAAGACAAAGTTATTATTAAAATTAATAGCCACAATAATTTTTCAGGGACACACAATATAAAAAGATGTAAACTGTGATATCAAAAATTTAAAATGCAGGGCATGGTGGTAGTAGAGAAAAAGTGTATCGTATTTTTGTTGTTGTTGTTGAGACAGAGTCTTGCTCTGTTGCCCAGGCTGGAGTGCAGTGGAATGATCTCGTTTCACTGCCACCTCTGCCTTCTGGGTTCCAGTGATTCTTGTGTGCCTCAACCTCCTGAGTAGCTGGGATTACAGGCATGTGCAACCACGCCCAACTAACTTTTTGTATTTTTAGCAGAGATGAGGTTTTCTATGTTGGCCAGGCTGGCCTCAAGTGATCCACCTGCCTTGGCCTCCAAAGTGCTGGGATTAAAGGCATGAGCCACTGCACCCATCACCCCCCACCGCTCTGCCCAAAAAATCTTATAGTTTTTTATGTTATCGAAGTTAAATTGTTATCAGCTTAAATAGTTTATTATAACTCTAAGATGTTTTTTGAAAGCCTCATGGTAAACACAAAGTGAAAACCAACAGCACACATACATAAGATTAAAAGAACAGATTCAAATCACACCACAGAAAACCATCAAACCACAATGGAAGCCAGTAAGAGAGGAAGAATAAAGGATCTGCGAAATAACCAGAAAACAACTAACAAAATGGCAGTAGTAAGCCCTTCCTTCTCAACAATTGCTTTGAATGTAATAGATTAAATTCTCCAATCAAAAGGCATAGAGTGACTGAATAGATAAAAAACAAGGCCCATTTATATGCTGTCTGAAAAAGACTCACTTCACCTTTAAGGACACACATAGACTGAAGGTAAAGAGGTAGAAAAAGGTAGAGAAACCAAAAGAGCTCAAGGGTAGCTATGTTTATATTGACAAAATAGACCTTAAGTCAAAAACTGTAATACAGGACAAAGAAAATGATTGTACAACGATAAAGAGGTCAATTCATCAAGAAAATATAACGATGATAAATATGTATTCATCCAATACTGAAGCATCTAAATATAAAGGAAATATTAAAAGATCTGAAGGGAGAGTTACACTATAATGTATAATAATAGGGGACTTTAATACCCCACTTTCAGCAATGAGCAGATCATGTAGACAGAAAATCAACAAGAAAACAACACACTTGAACTAGATTTTAGACCAAATGGGCTAACAAACATATACAGAACATTCCATCCAACAGCAGCTGAATATATTTTCTTCTCAAGTGCACGTGGAACATTTTCCAGGATAGATAATATATTTGACCATAAAATAAGTTTCAACAAATTTACAAAGACTGAAGTCATATCAACTATATTTTCTGACCACAATGGTATAAAACTAGAAATCAATAAGAGGAGGAATTTCTGAAAATTCACAAACACGTGGAAATTGAACAACATGCTCCGAATAACCAGTGGGTCAATGAAGAAATTAAAAGGGAAATTTAAAAATATCTTGAGACAAACAAAACTGGAAACACAGCATACTAAAACTTAGGGGATGCAGCAAAAGCAACTCTAAGACGAAAGTTTAGATAAGCAATAAATATCCACATCAAAAAAGTAGAAATATCTGAAATAATCTAATGTTATACCTCAAGGAAGTAGAAAAACAAGAACAAACAAGTCCAAATTTAGCAGAAGGAAAAAAATAATAAAGACCAGAGCAAAAATAGATGTGATAAATAAAATAGAAAAATAATAGAAAAGATCAGTGAAACTAAGAGTCAGGTGTTGAAAAGCTAAATAAAATTGAGAAAACTTTAGGTAGACTATGAAAAATAAAGGGAAAAGACTAAAATAAATGAAATCACAAAGAAAAAAGGCATAACAACTGATACCAGATAAACAACAATGTACTGTAAGAGACTACTATAAACAATTATATACCAAAAAATTATACAAGCAAGAAGAAATAGATAAATTCCTAGACACATAAACCTATCAAAACTGAATCATGAAGAAACTGGAAATCTGAAAGGACCAATAAAAAGTAAGGAGATTGAATCAATAATAAAAGCCTCCTATCAAAAAAAAGAGCCCAGGATTTGATGACTTTATTGCTGAATTCTACCAAACATTTATAAAGAATTAATATTGATCCTTCCAAAATCTTCCAAAAAATGGAAGAAGAGGAAATACATCCAAACTCATTTTACAAGGTGAGCATTACCTCTATACTAAATCCAGACAAGGACACTACAAATAAAGAAAATTACTTCTTTTCCGAGAAAACACCAAATGGCGGATGACGCCGGTGCAGCGGGGAGGCCCGGAGGCCCTGGTGGCCCTGGGATGGGGAACCGCGGTGGCTTCCGCGGAGGTTTCGGCAGTGGCATCCGGGGCCGGGGTCGCGGCCGTGGACGGGGCCGGGGCCAAGGCCGCGGAGCTCGCGAAGGCAAGCCCGAGGATAAGGAGTGGATGCCTGTCACCAAGTTGGGCCGCTTGGTCAAGGACATGAAGATCAAGTCCCTGGAGGAGATATATCTCTTCTCCCTGCCCATTAAGGAATCAGAGATCATTGACTTTTTCCTGGGGACGTCTCTCAAGGATGAGGTTTTGAAGATTATGCCAGTGCAGAAGCAGACCCGTGCCGGCCAGCGCACCAGGTTCAAGGTGTTTGTTGCTATCGGGGACTACAATGGCCACGTCGGTCTGGGTGTTAAGTGCTCCAAGGAGGTGGCCACCGCCATCCGTGGGGCCATCATCCTGGCCAAGCTCTCCATTGTCCCCGTGTGCAGAGGCTACTGGGGCAACAAGATCGGCAAGCCCCACACCGTCCCTTGCAAGGTGACAGGCCGCTGCAGCTCTGTGCTGGTGCGCCTCATCCCTGCACCCAGGGGCACTGGCATTGTCTCCGCACCTGTGCCTAAGAAGCTGCTCATGATGGCTGGTATCGATGACTGCTACACCTCAGCCCGGGGCTGCACTGCCACCCTGGGCAACTTCGCCAAGGCCACCTTTGATGCCATTTCTAAGACCTACAGCTACCTGCCCCCCGACCTCTGGAAGGAGACTGTATTTACCAAGTCTCTCTATGAGGAATTCACTGACCACCTCATCAAGACCCACACCAGAGTCTCCGCGCAGCGGACTCAGGCTCCAGCTGTGGCTACAACATAGGGTTTTTATACAAGAAAAATAAAGTGAATTAAGCGTGAGAAAAAAAAAAAAAGAAAGAAAATTATAGGCCAATACCCATAGTGAATATATATGGTTCGAATATTTGTTCCAACAAATTCTCATGTTGAATTGTTATCCCCAGTGTTGGAGGTGGGGCCTGGTGGGAAGTGTTTGGGTCATGGGGGCAGACCCCTCATGGCTTGGTGCTGTCCTCATGATGATGAGTTCTCATGAGATCTGGTTGTTTAAAAATGTGTGGCACCTCCCTGCCCCCTCTCTCTCTTGCTTGCACTCTGGCCATGTGAGGTGCCTGCTCCTGCTTTTCCTTCTGCCATGAGTAAAAGCTCCCTGAGGCCTTCCCAGAATCCAAACACATTCTGGCACTATGCTTGCACAGCCTACAGAACCATGAGCCAAGTAAGCCTCTTTTCTTTATAAATTACCCAATCTTGAGTATTCCTTTTTGCAACGCAAGAACAGCCTAATAGAACATATATAAGAATCTTTAACGAAGTACTAGCCAACTAATTCAATAACACATTAAATATATTATGTACCAAAATCAAGTGGGATTTATCTCTAGGATCCAACGATGATGCAACATATACAAATCCATAAATGTGATAACACCACATTAATATAACAAAGGACAAAAACCATATGATCATCTCCTCAGATGCAGAAAAAACATTTGACAAAATTCAACACGCTGTCATGATAAGAACTTTCAACAAATTAGGTAAAGGAGGAACGTACCTCAATTCAATGAAGGCCATATATGAAAAGCCTACAGCTTATATCAGGCTTAATGGTGGAAAGTTGAAAACTTTTCCTCTAATGTCAGGAATAAGGCAAGGATGCCCACTCTTTCTTGTCACTTCTATTCAACATAGTACTGAAAGTGCTAGCTGGAGCAATTAGGCAGAGAATACAAGAGCTGGGAGCGGTGGCTCACGCCAGTAATCCCAGTACTTTGGGAGGCCGAGGAGGGCGGATCACGAGGTCAGGAGATCGAGACCACGGTGAAACCCCGTCTCTACTAAAAATACAAAAAAAATTAGCTGGGCACGGTGGCGGGCCCCTGTAGTCCCAGCTACTTGGGAGGCTGAGGCAGGAGAATGATGTGAATCCAGGAGGCGAAGCTTGCAGTGAGCCGAGATCACGCCACTGCACTCCAGCCTGGGTGACAGAGCGAGACTCCATCTCAAAAAAAAAGAAAAAAAAAAAAAAATAAATAAATAAATAAAAGGCATCCAGACTGAAAAGAAAGAGGTTAATTTGTCCTTGTTTGCAGATGACATGCTCTGATATACAGAAAACCCTAAAACAACTGTTTAGAAATAATGGACAAATTTGATAAAGTTGCAGGGCATAAAATCAACATACAAAAAATCAGTAGCATTTCTATACAGTAAAAATGAACTATCAAAAAGGAAGTCTAGGAAACAATCCCATTTACAATAGCTAGCAAAAAAAAGATACTTAGAAATAAATTTAAACAAGGAGGTTAAAAACTTGTACACTGGAAACTGAAACATTGATGAAAGAAATTGAAGAAGACACAAATAAGTGGAGACATTCTGTTTTCACAGATTGGAAGAATTAATAATATTGTTAAAATGTCCATACTACCCAAAGTGTTCTACAGATGCAATGCAATCATATCAAAATTCCAATGACATTTTTCACAGAAATAGAAAAAAACCTTAAAATTTATATGGAATCCCAAAGACCCCAAATTGCTAGAACTATCTTGGGCAAAAACAAGAAAGCTGAACATATCACACTACCTGGTTTTAAAGTATATTACAAAGTTATAAAAATCAAAACAGTATAATGCTGGCATTTAAAGCAGAAACATAGATCAAAGGAATATGACAGAGAACCTAGAAACAAACAGAATCATTTATGGTCAACTGATTTTGACAAAGATACCAATAAAACTCAACTGGCAAAGAACAGCCTCTTCAATAAAAGTTCCTGGCAAAACTGGATGCTCACATGCAGAAGAATGAAATTGGACCCTAATTTCACATCATATACAAAAATCAATTCTAAATGGATTAAATAATTAAATGTAAAACCTAAAACCTAAAACTGTAAAAGTACTAGAAGAAAACATAGAAGGGAAGCTCCATTACATTGGTCTAGGCAATGAGAACCAAAACTAGACAAGTGGGATAATATCAAACCACAAAGAAAACAACTAACAGAGTTAAGAGACAACCTATGGAATGGGAGAAAATACTTAGAAACCATGCATCTGATAAGGGCTAATATCCAAAATATGTAAGGAACTCAAACAACTCACCAGCAAGCAAACAACCTGATTAAAAAATTGGCAAAGGACCAAAAGAAGACATGCATAGCCAATAGGTAGATGAAAAAAAATGCTCAACATCACTAATCATCAGAGAAATGCAAATTAAAACCATGATGAGTTATCATCTCACACCTACCTGTTGGAATGGTTATTATCAATTAGACAGAATATCCTAGGGGCTGGCAAGGATGTGAAGAAAAGGGAATTCTTGCACACTGTTGGTGTGAATGCAAATTAGTATACCCATATGGAAAATAGTATGGAAGTTCCTAAAAAAAACAAAAATAGAATTACCACATTATCCAGCAATTAGACTACTGGATACTCTTTGGCATACTGGAACATAAAATCAGTATGCCAAAGAGATATCTGCACTCCAGTTCATTGCAGTGTTATTCGTAACAGCCAAGACATGGAAGCATCAACATATATAAACAATAAAATATTACTCAGCTTTTAAAAAGAAGGAAATCCTGTCATTTGCAACAACATGACGAACCTAGAGAGCATTATGTTAAGTAAAATAAGCAGGCACAGAAAGATAAATATCACATAATCTCACTTTAATATGAAATCCAAAGAAATTCAATTCACAGGAACAAGGTAGAATGGTGTCTACCGGGGTCTGAGGGGTGGATGCTGGGGAGATGTTGGAGATACAATATTTCAGTTAGATAGGAGAAGTGAGCTAAGAGATTTGCTGTACAACATGGGGACTACAGTTAATGTATTGTATTCCTGAAGATTACTAAGAGAGTGGATTTTGAGTGTTTTCACCATAAAAAATAAGTGAGGTAATGCATATATTAGTTAGATTTAGTCATTCCACAATATCATTCCACAATGTATCCAGGTTTCAAAACATCATATTGTACATGATAAATACATATAATTTTTTGTCAATTAAAACATAAATAAATTAATTTAAAAACTATAATCCAAGAAGACTTTAAATAATAGAATACTTGAATCAACATGGCAAGGTGTCACCATGTACTAGCCACAATGATCCAGAATAGCCTCAGAAATCTGAAGTTTAGTGCCCTTTCACTCAGATACTTACTTCTACATTTTACCATCTGTCACTAAAAATTTTCAAGAAGTGAACTCTTCCCAAGTTAAGACACTGGACACATTAACTGATGGGTATAATTCTAAAGAATGTATATTTAATGGGAGAGTTATAAGAGACTTCCTCTGGATAGAAGACTATCTTTGAATGCTTCATGTCATAGTTATTGCAACTATATTTTTGGCTAATGGACTTTTCTTGGTGATAGATATTGCACTTAGCACCTAAACCCAACCCTTGCATTTCAGATAACCTTCTGTACTGCATGATTTAGGCATCCTAGGTTTGTTAGGATGAACTAGAGGTTGGGTGGGGCACATATTGCTGATGACAGCATCAGTTATGGACTCACTATGAGCATCAGCTGTGGCCAAAGTATGGAAATGATGCAGGAGCTGGCCAATACCATGACATCAGAGGTGGGGAGTATTCTTTTAGGATCCTCCCATCTGCATTCGCCATCTTGAAGGGGCATGTCTGGAGCATAGGAAGAGAACAAATAATGCAAAAGCAGTGGGAATCATAAGACTTGCATTTGGTCACCAACAGGCCAGACCTCATCTGTGATTCTCTGATGACTAGGACTTAACATTTTGGAGATCCAGATTTTGGCAGAATAGGCATTTGATTCCTCCTATATCTCCATGAGGTTCAAAGTCTTCCAGGATTCCTCACCACCCTATTGTAAATAATATGGAGGTATACAGATGCTTCCATATAAGACAGAGCACACAGTCATAACCAAATGGGCACCCTTTCCAGCTGCAATATTCTAGGTGTAGCCTCTGAGTTCCCTGGGGCAGGGTAGGCTGTCCAGAGAGCTCTCTGGAACATAGGTCAGGACATCAGTGATTGGAGCAACTGCTTCTAGTAAAATTCATAGTTCATGGCACTTGCACCAGTGACAGGAAATAGAGCAGTTTGGAACCCATAGTGTGTTTACATGGCAAAGTGCTCTGGATTTGGACATGGAAGTTTACTCTCCATGTGGCCACTGGCAGGTAACTTTGCTTCTCATTGTTTTTCTGTTTGTTTGTTTATTTTGAGATGGAGTCTCCCTCTGTCACCCAGGCTGGAGTGCAGTGGTGCAATCTCGGCTCACTGCAACCTCTGCCTCCCAGGTTCAAGCGATTCTCCTGCCTCAGCCTCCTGAGTAGCTGGGACTACAGGTGTGCGCCACCACACCTGGCTAATTTTTATATTTTTAGTAGAGATGAGGTTTCACCACATTGGCCAGGCTGGTCTCAAACTCCTGACCTCAGGTGATCCACCTGCCTCGGCCTCCCAAAATGCTGGAATTACAGGCATGAGCCACTGTGCCTGGCTAACTTTGCCTCTCTTAATGCAGATATACGTTAGAGATCAAGTTTGGATCCAACTGCCACAATAAAGAGAATCACACATATTTTTGGTTTCCTGCTGCATATAAAAGTTATGTTTACACTACACCATAATCTATTAAGTGTGCAATAGTATTATATGTTAAAAACAGTGTATATAATTAAAAGTATTTTACTGCTAAAAATGCTAGTGATCATCTGACCTTCAGTTAGTCATAATTGTTTTGCTGGTAGAGAGTCTTGCCTCAATGTTGATGGCTGCTGACTGACCAGGGTGGTGGTTACTAAAGTGGCTATGGAAATTTCTTAAAATAAGACAACAATAAAGTTTGCTGCATCAGTTGACTATTTCTTTCATGAAAGATTTCTCTGTAGCATGTGATGTTGTTTGAATTTCTTTCCACGGAAGAATTTCCTTGAAAATTGGAGTCAATCTTCTCAAATCCCGCTACTGCTTTATCATAAGTTTATGTAACATTTTAAATCCTTTGTTGTCATTTCAACAGTCTAATGATACAACTTTCATGGATGAAGAGTTGCTATTTTTTTTTTTTAAGAGACAGGGTCTTGTCTTAACACCCAGGCTAGAGTGCAGTGGCAAGGATCATAGCTCACTGCAGCCTCAAACTCCTGGGTTCAAGTGATCCTCCTGCCCCAGCCTCCCAAGTAGCAAAAATGTTTTCAGCATCCTTACCAGGAGAAGTTTCTAATTCAAGAAGCCACTTTCATTGCTCATCCATAAGAAGCAACTCCTTGACTGGGTGCCATGGCTTATGCCTATAATAATCTCAGCACTTCGGGAGGCCGAGGTAGGAGGGGATCACTTGAGGCCAGGAACTTGAGATCAGCCTGGGGAACTTAGCTAGACCTTGTCTTTCCAAAAAAAAAAAAAAAAAAAAAAAAAAAAAAAAAAAAAGCCAAGGGCAGTAGTGCATGCCTGTAGTTCTAGCTACCAGGGAAGCTGAGGTGGGAGCATAGCTCAAGCCAAGGAGTTCAAGACTGCAGTGAGCTCTGATCATGCCACTGTACTCCAGCCTGGGCAACTGAGTAAGATCCTATCTCTTAAAAAAAAAAGAAGTAACCCTTCATCCATTCAAGTTTTATCATGAGATTCCAGCAATTCAATCACATTTTCAGGCTCAACTTCTAACTCTAGTTCTCTTGCTATTTCTATCACATCTGCAGTGGGCTCCTCTATGAAGTCTTGAAACTCTCAAAGTCAGCCATGAGAGTTGGAATCAATTTCTTCCAAACTCCTGTTAGTGATGATATTTTCACCTCCTCCTGTCGATCATGAATGTTCTTAATGGCATCTAGAATGGTGAATCATTTCCAGAAGGTTTTCAATTTATTTTGCCCAGATCCATCAGAAGAATCACTATCTATGTCACCTATAGCCTTATAAGATGTATTTCTTAAACAATGAGACTTGAAAGTCAAGATCACTTCTTGAGCCATGGGCTGTAGAATGTATATTGTGTTAGCAGGCATGAAAACAATATTAATCTCCTTGTACATCTCCATTGGAGCTCTTGGGTGACCAGGCACGTTGTCAATGGGAGTAGTATTTTGAATGAGTATTTTTTATTTGAGCAGTAGGTGTCTAGGTGTCAAAAGTAGACTCAAAATGTGTCTAGGTGTGAAAAGTAGACTCAAAATATTCAGTGAACCATGCTGTAAATAGATGTGCTATCATCAAGATGGTGTCTTATTTATAGGCATAGTAGATTTAGCAGAATTCTGAAGGGACTTGGAATTTTCAGAATGGTAAATGATCATCATTACCTTTAACTTAAAGTCACCAGCTGCATTAGCCCCTAACAAGAGAGTCAGCCTATCCTTTCAAGTTTCGAAGCCAGGCATTGACTTTTGCTCTCTAGTTATGAAAGTCTTAGATGGCATCTTCTTCCTACAGAAGGCTTATTTTTCCACACTGAAGATCTATTGTTTAATTTAGACATCTTCATCACTTTGCAAGATCTTCTGGGTAACTTGCTGCAACTTCTACCTTAGCACTTGCTGCTTCACTTTGCACTTTTATATTACGGAGATGGCTTCTTTCTTTAAACCTCATGAAATAATTTCTGCTAACTTCCAACTTTTCTTCTGCAGCTTTCTCACCTCTTTCAGCCTTCATAATATTGGAGGGAGCTAGAGCCTTTCTCTGGTTAGGTTTTTGGCTTAAGGGAATGTGGTGGCTAGTTTGATCTTCTGCCCAGACCACTAAAATTTTCTCCATATCAGCAATAAGGTTGTTTTGCTTTCTTATCATCCATGTGTTCACTAGAGTAGCACTTTTAATTTCCCTCAACAACTTTTCCTTTGCATTCATATCTTGGCTAACTGGCACAAGAGGCCTAGCTTTTGGCATATCTTTGCTGTTGACATGCCTTCCTAACTGTAATCATTTCCAGCTTTTCATTTAAAGTGAGAGACATAGAACCCTTCCTATCACTTGAACACGTAGAGACCATTGTGGAGTTATTAATTGGCCTAATTTTAATATTGTTATGTCTCAGGAAATAGAGAGGCCTGAGGAGAGGGAGAGAGATGGGGAAATGGCCAGTTGTTGGAGCAGTCAGAACACACACACAACATTTATCCATTAATCATTTTTTAGGGGCGCAGTTCATAGTGTCCCAAAACAATTACAACAGTAATAACCAAGATTATGGATGACAGATCATCACAACAGATATGATAATAAAACAAGTTTGAAATTTTTTTTTTGAGATGGAGTTTCGCTCTTGTTGCCCAGGCTGCAGTGCTATGGCAAGATCTCAGCTCACTGCAACCTTCACCTCCCAGGTTCAAGCGATTCTCTTGCCTCAGTCTCCCAAGTAACTGGGATTACAGGCATGCGCCACCACACTCAGCTAATTTTGTATTTTTATTAAAGACGGAGTTTCACCATGTTGGTCAGGCTGGTCTCGAACTCCTGACCTCAGGTGATTCACCTGCCTTGGCCTCCCGAGTGCTGAGATTGCAGGCATGAGCCACTGCGCCTAGCAAGTTTGAAATATTTTGAGAATTACCAAAATGTGACACAGAGACATGAAGTAAGCACATGCTGTTAGAAAAATGGTGCCAGATGACTTGCTCGATGCAGAGTTGCCACAAACCTTCAATTTGTATGAAACGCTATAGCTGTGAAGTGCAATAGAGCAAGGCTCAATAAAACAAGATATGCCTGTAGTGTCTAGTAGGCATGTTTGGGGGTGGCTTGAGAGGATGCTTGGTAAGGGAGGCTATCCAAGGAAACACCAAATAAGGTCTCTTGGAGATCATGCCCTTACAGCCCACAGAGTACATCTGATGGTGTCTGTGTTGATGGTTGATCATGATCTCTTTCCTAAGACCTCCTTGTCCAAGGGAAGCTCTTGAGAAAGGTGAAGACAAGCCTGAGATACCCAGAGCCCGGTGATGCCTCAGAGGTGGCTCACAGCCTCTGGTCTGATGAAGGAAGTTTTCTTCTCTGATGTCTCTTTCATTGAATGGCCCAGCAAGAAGCACTAGACTGGAGCATAACACTGCACACCTGCCTCTGGGCATGGCCTATCCTCCTGAAACCTCTTCACATTTGGCTTCATGTCCCAGTTAGCTACATGTGACCCAACCCTGGATCTAGCCCCAGGATCATTTCAGAGGAGTTGCGATTGCAGAGTGGGAGATTCTGTACCACACTGATTAATTTCCACCAACTCACAGTAGGATGACAGGGAAGACCCATAGCCACTCTGTGCCAATTACTCCTTAGCAACAGCAGCATGAACCACCTGTTCCACATCCCTTAGTGTTCCTCTTGATCTAAAGAAAAGAGAATGAACCAGCCCCTAAGGAAGAGGGCTTGGGAAAGATAAGGACTATTCAGTTAATGGAAGGTGCTGGAGTGTCAGATCCTGAGGCCCAAAATGGGTCCCATCAGAGGAGTAGCCATATTGGTGGGTGCTGGATAGGAGGAGCTTTGGGGTTGGTGCAGGCACTCACTCTCACTAGGATGCCTCTGGTCTCAGGTAATGGAGAGAAGTGAGGAAAAAGTGATCCTAGAGGAAACACCCTCTTCCAGTCACATCATATCCTCTCACTCTCTTGTGGCCTTGGGCTTGCTGGACTTCCTGGGACTCATTATCCTAATGATAGACAGTAATCTGAACCTTACAGAGAGATTGGGGAGCATAGGATGGCGGTGCACCAAGGCTAAGGAGACCAAAGCAGTGCTTGGGGGCCTCCCACTCTTTATCTCGGGTTCTAACTGCCACCCATCTCATGCTTAATGGGTCCTTCTGACTCCAGGGTGAGAAATGTTCTCCTTAGCATCAGGAGATGCTGCACATGAGCAGTTCCTCCCCCTGGGAGTACTGGTTCAGTGAGCAAAACAGCAAGGGGCTGGGCATCCTGAGGGCTGGCAGGGATACGTGGGCCAAAGAGGGAGAGGGAGGGTAGAGAAGCATAGCCAGGGAGAGAAATTGAACACCAGGACGCAAGACAAGTGGGGCATCTGTAGGGGCCACAGTGAGCTCTCAATGATCATCTGTAGTGGCAGCAAAAGAGGTAGGATCCCTGGGCATTTGTTCTGGTTTATTTGACAGGGACAAGGGGTTCAGACAGTAGAGAGGGCGGCATTCCTGTTGATGTTCTTATGCTGGTGACTTGAGGTCCTTGTGCTTCGGATGTGGGCACAGTCTTGGATAGAGGAGTTGGGAAGCAGGATGCACATCCCAGCCCACTCTCCCACTCACAGGATGCTCATGCAAACATTCCCACAGTAGGTAGAACAGCATATGTTATTTGCTTGACAATCTCGGTGAGATTCACATAAGTGTTTGCATAGATATAGTTTAGGCTGCTGCTGGCAGACTTTGATTTCTGGGGATAGCTGTGTTTCTGACAAGGAGAATAGAACGGTAAATAAACGCAGTTTCCTAGAGAACATTTTTCTCAAGCTGAAGCCTCCTCCAAGACCCTTGAACCCAGGTCTCAGTCATGATACTCCTGGATTCCTTCTTCATAGAACTACCTTCCTGCCCATCACCAAATCCTAGTGATTGGTCATATTTTAAATCCTGTCTCTCCACTGTACACCTTACCCCATTAGACCACAATGCCTGGGCTTCCTGGACCTTCTCCACACACCAGCAATCAGAACTCCATCTCCCTTACTAGTCATGGCCTTGGTGAAGTCACCACCAAAGAATCTACAGTCTGATCCTGAGAGCTCAAAGAAGCATGAGACATCTTTCAAACTCTCTCCTAGTCTCTGAATAGTAGAATTCAGAGATGAGGATCAACATGCCTCTTGTCTCTCCCTCTCTTCTGCTCACTGTCACTGTCTCTAGTCTTCCTGCCCCTTCTTTAGTTCCCTTTCCACCACCACTCTCCTTGCCCCTTTGATGATAACCTTAACTTGGCTCTGTGTACCCCAACTTTTGCTTGTCTTATGTCCTATTTCCCTACACTTATACCCATTCTACACCTACACCTACCGTCATAACCACTTCTGAATCTTTACTCCTCACAAATGTGCATAAATCAAATAATAATTGTCTTGCTTTCCCCACTGGATTCTCAGCCCTGGTGCGCCTTTCACTATGGGATGTGCCATTTCTCTCTAAGTATTGAGAAGGAACAGCAAAATATGCAGGTTTCTTCTTCATTCCCATTACTATTCCCAGGGCCAGCTAAGGGGCTGGAGGGCCATGGTTTAGGGACAGTCCAGAGTCTACACAACATTGTGGTCAGAGCTGGATATGCAGAGAGTTTCCAACTCCTAGGTCCTACTCAGACTGGACACAGGCCCTCCATTCCCCCTACCCAATTCCCCCTCACCCATCCAGCAGCCCATCACCTACTCTGCATCCTCTTCTTGTCACGGTATCCTCCCTGGGCCTGCAGCAGCAGCACACAGAGAACCAGGACAGGCAGCAGAGTCTGGGGTGCCATGACTCTGATCAGATCGTGAGCCCTATGTCTGGCCAGGTTGTCACAGACTTCCCTGCAGAGCTGTCTACGGAGAGTGAAGGAAGGAAAGAAGGAATGATCTTTAGCTCCTCACTGCCTCTACTGGCCAAGTCGGAGCAGAGCAAGAGAGTCCTTCCTCTTTTTGCTTGCCCCTGGCCTTGTCGTTCGTCATGTGGGATAGGGCTTCCGCAGGAATGACGCCTCCTCCTTTCACATAACCAGTCTTGTGTTCTTGCCGATAGAATGAAAGATATCATTTATTTCTGCTTTCTAATTACAAAATGTTTTATGGAAAAAAGAAAAGAAAAAATATATTGTTAAAAAGAGTTGCTTAGAATTAACTGATGTTTCATTGCATTATCTTTTAGTTTCTCTCCATATTTAATATAAACAATCCTTTTAATATAAACAACTTTTGTTATCTATTTTTGCCACCCTTATTTAATCATGTAAGTATTTCTCAAAATGTGGATTTTCATAATTGCACAGCTCTCAAATGCTAATAATCAAGTATTTGTATTGTACTAATTACTAATAATCTAGAGAATGTCATATTATTTTTATTTATAAATCTTTGATTTCTTTAGACTAAGAGAGCTAGAATTCCTGAGTGAAAGAGTAAGTAGCTGTTTCATATATAAATGTATATAAACACATACACAGATATACATATACAAATTTAAACACACATAAACACACAGAAAGAGAGACTATTGTAGGGCATGGGACAGAAGGGCTAGTGGAGAAACATAGTAAATATCTTAGAGCTCAGACAGGGGGAGAGACCTATCAGTCAAAGGCTTGGCAGGCTGTCCAGGAGGAGGTGGTCACTGACCTTGAATATCATGAAGGAAATGAACTCTCAGAAGTGAAGATGTTTCTTCTTCCCTAACAGGAGAAAGAGGGGACAACCTAGGGTCACTGGACTCCCAGTAGGCATGCAAGCTGGGAAGAAGATCACCCTCTTCCTCTGATGATGATAATCTTCTAAAGATTTGAACCTCTTTCTGACATTCTGAACTCCTAATGCAGACTCCTTCAGTCCACAGTTGTAATTTACATTCAAAGGAAGCTCTCTAGCCTTTCCCCCATATCTCACCTTATGCACCTTCCTCTGTATCCTTTGCGATATCCTTTATAATTCAAAAATTCTGATATTTGTACCTATAGTTTACAGAGTGGTATTTGACCCTTCCCAAAGGCTCTCTCTTTCCTAGTTTTTCTTTTTGTCCACTCATAAATGAACAATTTAGAGACTGGACACTGTCATAACTATCCTAGCAAAGAGGGGTTATATAGAGGAGAATCATCATCTCAAATAGAAGCTGCATTTTCCTTACCCAAGCATCTTGCAGCCAGTGCCACAATGTAAATATTTTGGCTAACAGACTTGTCACTACTAGGTCAAGACCCTAAGAAGATGGCAAGTCTCTTTCACACTCTTTTTCTTTTCCACCAGCTCAGTATAGATGACAACAAGGTTCTAGAGCCTAGTGAAGCCAAAAGGTGAAAGGAGCCTGGGTCCTTGACTTCTTTTATCACATGAAAAAAGGATACCCATTGTTTTAGAATACTCATTTTGAATTATTATTTGAGCAAGAAATAAAAAGTATATTGTATTTCAGTTATTATGTGATGGAGGCTTTCTGTTAAAGCAGTCTAGTCAACATTGTGGCAGGCTCAAGTACTGACATTTATAAGGGGAAAGATTTATGGGTATATAGAAGGTCTATACTTTATACATTCAAATTATTGATAGAGTAGTAAATTTAGTAAAGAGATGGGTAATTTGAACATTATGATTAATAAGCTTGACTTAATTAAAATATACAGAAGTCTGCATAGAAAAACTAGAGGAACACATTTTTCTCAAGCACAAATAAAACATGTACAAAAAGTGACTATACATTAGGCTATAAAAAAAGTCTGAACAAAATTTTAAAGAATTACATCACAAAGGACATAGTTTCAGACTATAATGGAAATAATTAGAAATTAGTCTAAAAAAAGACAATTACTCAAAACTGAACAGAAATTTCAAATTAAAATATATAAGTCAGAGCTTCCAGGTGGCTACCACTGAACACTTAGAGGTTGTTGGAGAGCAGCATGCTCATGGAGGGCATGGAAGCTCTCTAGCCTTTCCCCATATCTCACCTTATGCACCTCTTCCTCTGTATCCTTTGTGATATCCTTTATAATTCAAAAACCTAGAGGAAATGGATAAATTCTTGAACACATACAACCTACCACACTGAACCAAAAAGAAACAGAAGAACCTGAACAGACGAATAACAAGTAAGGAGATTGAATCAGTAATAAAAAGTCTCCCCTGAAACAAAAGTCCAGAACCATATGGCTTTACCACCAAATTCTATGACCCTTTAAATATAAATTAATACCAATTCTTCTCAAACTATTCCAAAAAATTGATGCGGCAGGAATTCTTCTTAGCTCAATTTTATGAGGCCCACATAACCTTAATACCAAAACCAGACAATAACAAGACAGCATAAAGAAACCCACAGGCCAATATTCCTGATGAAAATAGGTGCAAAAATCCTCAACAAAATACTAACAAACCCAATTCAACAACACATCAAAAAGATAATGTGGCATGATCAAGTGGGATTTATCATACGAATGCAAGAATGGCTCAATGTACACAAATCAATAAATGTGATACTTCACATCAACAGAATCAGGGACAAAACCATACGGTAATCTCAGTAGATACAGAAAAAGCATTTGATAAAATTCAACACCACTTTATGATAAAAACTTTCAATAAATTATGTATGAAAGGAAAGCACCTCCACATAATAAAGATCATATATGACAAACCCACAGCTAACAATATACTTAACGGTGAAAAGCTGAAAACTTTTCCTCTAAGAACTGAAACAAGATATAGAGGAAAGGCTAGGGAGCCTCCATGCCCCTCCATGAGCATGCTGCTCACTTTACCCACTCTTATTCAACGTAGTACTGGAAGTCCTAGTTAGATCAATCATGAAAGAGAAAACAATAAAGGACATCAAAATTGGAAAAGAGGAAGTCACATTTACCCTGTTTGCAGACAAGCTCTTATGTAGAGAAAAACTTAGACTCTACCAAGAAACCTGTAGAACTCATAAAGAAATTCAGTAAAGTTACAGGATACAAAATAAACATACAAGTCAGTGGTGTTTCTATGCACAATGAACTAGTTAAAAAAAGAGACCAAGAGGGCAATCCCATTTATAACAGCTACAAATAAATACCTAGGAATAAATTTAACCAAGGAGATAAAAGACTTCTACATTGAAAACTACAAAACACTGATAAAAGAAATTGAAGAGGATACAAACAAATGGAAAAACTTCCCATGCTCATGGATGGAAGGAGTTAATATTGTTAAAATTACCATACTACCCTAAACCATCTACAGAGTCAATGCAATCCCTATTAAAATACCAGTGACATTCTTCACAGTAATATAAAATAAATCCTAAAATATGTATGGAACCACAAACATCCTAGAATAGCCAAAGCAATCCTTAACAAAAAGAACAAAGCTGGAGGGAACAGGTTTCAAGACTTCTAAATATACTACCAAGCTCTAGTAACCAAAATAGCATAGCACTGGCATAAAAACAGACACGTAGACTAATGGAATAGAATAGAGAACTTAGGGCCAGGTGCAGTGGCTCATGCCTATAATCCCAGCACTTTGGGAGACCGAGGCAGGTGGATCACATGAGGTCAGGTGTTCGAGATCAGCCTGGCCAACATAGCAAAACCCCATCTCTACTAAAAGTACAAAAATTAGACGAACATGGTGGTGCATACCTGTAGTCCCAGCTACTCTACTCTGGAGGCTGAGGCAGGAGAATCACTTGAACCTGGGAGGCAGAGGTTGCAGTGAGCCAAGATTGTGCCACTGCACTCCAGCCTGGGCAACAAGAGCAAGACTCTGTCTCAAAAAAAAAAAAAAAAAAAAAAAAAAGAATAGAGAACCTAGAAATAAATCCATGCGTCGATAGCCAACTGCTTTTTGACAAAGATGCCAAGAACATTCACTGGGGAAAGGATAGTCTCTTCAGTAAATGGTGCTAGGAAAACTGGATATCCATATGCAGAATAATGAAATTAGACCTTCGCCTCTCACCCTATACAAAAATCAGCTAAAAATGGATTAAAGATCTAAAGGTAAAACCTGAAACTGTAAAACTACTAGAAGAAAACACAGGGGAAATACTTCAGGACATTTTCATGATCTTACAAAAAGATTTTTAATATAAGATCTCACAACCATGGGCAACAAAAGCAAAAATAGGTAAATTGGATTATATCAAACTAAAAAGCTGCTGCACAGCAAAGGAAACAATCGACACATTGAAAAGACAATCTACAGAATGAGAGAAAATATTTTCAAAGTATTTGATGTGGTTTGGCTCTGTGTCTCCACCCAAATCTCATCTTGAACTCTAATCCCCATGTGTGGAGTGAGGGACCTGGCAGGAGGTGATTGGATCGTAAGGGCAGTTTCCCCCATGCTGTTCTTATGATAGCGAGGGAGTTGTCATGAGATATGATTGTTTAAAAGGTGCAGTTTCCCCTGCATGAGCTCTCTCTCCTGCCACCATGTAGGACGTGCCTTGCTTCCCCTTCGCCTTCTGACATGATTTAAAGTCTCCTGAGGCCTCCCCAGCCATGTGGAACTGTGAGTAAATTAAACCTCTTTTGTTTATAAATTACCCAGTCTCAGGTAGTATCTTCATAGCAATCTGAGAACAGACTAATACATTATTCATTTGACAGGGGATTAATATCCAGAATATACAAGAAACTCAAACATCTCAACAGCAAAAACACAAACAATCCAATTTAAAAAATGGGCAAATGATCTGAACAGACAATTCACAAAAGAAGACATACAAATGACCAACAAATATATGAAAAAAATGACTTCATTGTTCTCTCAACATCACTAATCATCGGGGAAATGCAAGTGAGAACTATAATGAGGTATCACCTCACTCCAGTCAGGATCGCTACAATAACAACAAAATGACAAAAAATAACAAGTGCTGTTGACCTTGTGGAGGAAGGGGAACTGTTATACACTGTTGGTGGGAATATAAATTAGTACAGTCACTATGGAGAATGGTATTGCAATTTCTCAAAAGCCTACACATAGAACTCCACTACCATATGACCCAGCAATCCCACTACTAGGTATTTATCCAAAGGAAAGGAAATCAGCATATCAACATATGTACCCCCATGTTTATTGCAGCACTATTCACAATAGCCGAGATACAGACTCAACCTAGGTGTCTAACAACCGAGGAATGGAGAAAGAAACTATGATACAAATATACAACACAATCCTATTCAGCCACAAAAAGGAATAAAATCCCGTGGTTCATGGCACCATGGCTGAAACTGGAGGACATTATGTTCTGTGAAATAGCCAGGAACAGAAAATTAAACAACACATAGTCTCACTCATATCTGGAGAAAAGTCGACCTCATGGAAGTAAAAAGTAGAACAGCAGGTACTAGAAGCTAGGAAGCATAGTGGGAAGGGGAAGATAGGGAGAGATTTTTTTGTTTTTTGAGACAGAGTCTTGCTCTGTCGCCTAGGCTGGAGTGCGGTGGGACGATCTCGACTCACTGCAACTTCCGCCTCCCAGGTTCAAGCCATTCTCCTGCCTCAGCCTCCTGAGTAGCTGGGACTACAGGCACGTGCCACCATGCCTGGCTAATTTTTGTATTTTTAGTAGAGACGGGTGTTTCACCATGCTGGCCAGGCTGGTCTTGAACTCCTGACCTTGTGATCCACCTGCCTCAGCCTCCCAATGTGCTGGGATAACAGGCGTGAGCCACTGTGCCCAGTGGGAGAGATTTGTTAAAGGATACAACGTCATAGCTAGACAGGAGGAATAAGTTCTAGTGTTCTATAGCACTGTAGGATGAACATACATAAGAATAATATAATTTCAAATAGCTAGAAGGAAGATATTGAATGTTCCCAACACAAAGAAATGATAAATGTTTGAGATGACGGGTATGCTAATTACCCTGATCTGATCACTATACATTATACATATTGAAACATCACTATGTATCACATAAATATGTAAAATTACTACTTGTCAATTTAAAAACTTTTTTTTTTTTGAGATGGAGTTTCTCTCTTGTTGCCCAGGCTGGAGTGAAGTGGCATGATCTCGGCTCACTGCAACCTCCGCCCCCTGAGTTAAAGTGATTCTCCTGCCTCAACCTCCTGAGTAGCTGGGATTACAGGTGCCCGCCACCACACCTGGCTAACTTTTGTATTTTCAGTAGAGACGGATTTTTACCATGTTGGCCACTCCTGACCTCAGGTGGTCCACCTGCCTCGGCCTCCCAAAGTGTTAGGATTACAGGCATGAGCCACCACGCCTGGCCTAAAAACATCCAAAACCTACACCACAGATCTGGTTTTTCTGCACAAACAGAAAAGAATAAGAGGAGTTGCTTGATGTGCCATCTGAAATAAAGATGCAACAACATCCAGATTAATTTTGGGATCTTTGTAACAATCCCCAAATCCTTGAAGCTTCCATCTGTTTGCTATTTTCCTGGCCTAATTTTGTTTTTCTTGGTGAATAACTGTATGACCATTATAATGAAATGTGTCAGCTTGGGCTCCTCTGAATTTCTCTCTGGGTGTTTTACCCAGATCTTCATAGCTAGATTATCAGCTGGTCCCATCCATTAGTTTCCCCCTCACTCCTGAGCCATTTCTCAAACATGCACACTTAGCTTAACTTAACCTAAACTGTTTTAGGTTTGACAATACAAATCTGTTTAGGTTTGCATCACCTCCCCCATCAAGTTGAGCTGGTTAATGGGATGAGAATAACAAACCTATGCTTCCTTTTGGCCTTCAAATCAAACCTAGCAGTGAACATCACATTTACATGAAATGTTTCTGCACTCACACTGAATGACTGATAGCAAATAATACAGAATTAATTAAAATCATGCATAAAATAGACATAATTAATATATGTAAATAGATTAGAGTAGATATTGGCATCATTTATTTCCAGATTTTGATGGCTATGTTGTGTTTATGTAGAAGAACTTGTCTTTCTTTAGAGAAAATGTACATGACAGCATTGGGGGTGATTGGGCACCATTAAGTAACTGACTCTCAAATGTTTCAGGGAAAAGAAGTTATTTTTACTGTACTTTCAGTTTTTCTGCTACTTTAAGATTGTTTCAAAATAAAAAGGAAGATTAAGGTATGTGGAAGCGAGAGGTATAAGTGTAAACATCCAAATAGTAGTTCTAAAAGAAAAAGATTTAGCAGGTTAAAAAATATTTAATGAAACAATGCATTGAAGTTGCCCCAAATGAAAGAACTATTAAAGATCTCAGACTGGAAATGATCATAAAAGAATAGAGAAAGAAAACTTGCATATCTAGCCACATTATAAAATGTAGGAACATCAAATACAAATAAATTTTAAAATATTCTATAGAGAAAGATTAGATCACCCAAAGAAGAAGAATAATCAGACTGAGATTAGACTTTCAAATAGTGACAATAGGACAAGAAATCAATAGAGTAGCATTTTCAAGATGTTTAAGGTAAAAACTTTTCAAGTGAAAATTTACATCCTGAACTATGAGGGCACAATAAAATTGTTCTAAGACATATGAAACATCAGAATGCTTACCACACAAAGACCCTTTTTGAAAGCCTGCTTGAAGGATGTGCTCCACTAGGAAAATAAATCTAGAACCACTATACAAAAGTATATGGGCAATATAAGTGAATATGCTGGGGATTCCCAACGCTATCCCCAGGTTCAGTGCTTTACTAGGAGGACTCACAGGACTCAGCACATGGTTTTTCTTGCAGCTATGATTTATTACAGTGAAAGACTACAAAGCAAAGTCAACAAAGGGAAAAGGTGCAAGGGGCAAAGTCCAGAAGAAATCAGGTGCATGCTTCCAAGTGTCTTTTCCCAATGACCAGTGGAGCCACACAGGGCATGCTGAATTCCCCCATCGATCAGTTGTGACAACATGTGTGAAGTGTTGTCTACCAGGGAAGCTCATGAGAGACAAACACAGTGTCCAAGGTTTCTATTGGGGGCTGGTCATATAGCAGCTTCTGCCTAGCATGTACCAAAATTCCAGACTCCCAAAATAAAAGCAGATATCTACCATAAACCAAGTTGTTTGTACAAATGGTTGAGGCACAGTGAGCCATACTTGTTTGTTCTGAGAACAATGGGAACTTTCTCAAAATTCAGGCTTATGGATGCCAACCAAGAGCCAACCTTGTAAGCAGGACTTTTAAAGATAGCAACTGCAGGCCTGCCATGTCAACAATTTTGCATAGTGAGAAGTCAATTCATAAAGTTTGGTGTTGTCTAAAAATTTAGGGATTAAGAAGAAAGTGGAAGGAAGAGATAGAATAAGAGAACACCAATATCTATTATAATCATGAACTAAAAACTGTCTAGAAAATATCAAGGTCAGAAGGTAAACTAAAGGGAACAGTTAGCATACTGAAAGAGCTGTCTTGTTTTAGGAAAACTTAGAAGTTTTAGAAATCTTTAAGTCTATGTGGAAAAGTAATGTGGGCTTAAATAAAAAATCCTCTAAGGGATCAGAATACAATAATGGCTTTTAAAATAGTAGAAGATATTTCATTCATCCAATAGATGTCTGAAGAGAGAAATAAAAACAAATATTTAAAAAGCATGATAAATTAAAAATATGAAATAAGATGCCAGAGATAGGCCCTAACATAAGATTGTTTTCTATAAGAATATTTATTAAAGGTAAATGGGTTAGAGACATTTATTAAAAGACAGAGATTCTCAGATTAAAATTTTTAAATGATTCAACAATGTGTAATTTCCCAAAAGTAAACAAGTAATTTAAAATAAAGGAATAAAAAAGGATGCCCCACCAAATATGAATTAAAAAGAAAGATGATATAACAATTTAAATATCATAATATAATTAACATTCAACATAGAGGACATGACACAATTTAGACAAGAATATTTTATACTGGTAAAGAAAAACAGATCAAGAAACCTTAACAATTGTATATATGTGTACACACACACATACACACAAAATGGCCTCAATAAATGAAAATAAATTATCTATACAAAGTTGTAGATTGAGCAGTTTTTTTTGTTTGAGACAGAGTATCACTCTATCACCCAGGCTGGAGTACAGCGGTGCTCTCTTGGCTCACTGCAATCTCTGCCTCCTGGGTTCAAGTGATTCTCATGCCTCAGCCTCCCGAATAGCTGGGATTACAGGTGTGTGCCACCGCACCCAGCTAATTTTTGTAATTTTAGTGGAGACGGGGTTTCTCCATGTTGGCCAGGCTGGTCTTGAACTCCTGGCCTCAAGCAATCCACCCACCTCTGCCTCCAAAAGTGCTGGTGTGAGCCATCACACCCGGCCCAATTGAGCAGGTTTGAGTACTTAGTTACAATGACTTAGATTACAAAGAAAGCCTAAAAAATTCCAAATGACTAATGCCATACAATATTTTCTTTTGAAAATGCAGGAAAATAGAAAATCAATACCAAAAGCAAATCCCATATGTCTGAAAAACAAATAACGCTACTTAATAATCCATGGCTCTCATACTTAAAAATACTTACAAAGTATTTAAACTGGATGATCATAACTATACTTACATGCCTGCCTTCCTCCCTCTTTTGTGCTATTTTTCTTTCCTTTTCTTTTTTGTTGAGACAGAGTCTCGCTCTGTGACCCAGGCTATAGTGCAATGGCATGATCTCGACTCACTGCAACCTCCGCCTCCTGGGTTCAAGTAATTCTCCTGCCTCAGCCTCCTGAGTAGCTGGGATTATAGGCACCCACCACCACGGCTGGCTAATTTTTCGTATTTTTGGTAGAGACGAGGTTTCACCATGTTGGTCAGGCTGTTCTCAAACTCCTGACCTCTGGTAATCCACCCGCTTCAGCCTCCCAAAGTGCTGGGATTACAGGCATGAGCCACCACGCCCAGCTGTGCTATTTTTCATGCATGTTACATCTTTATGTTTTAAGCCTATCAATACAATTGAATGATTATAATCATTGTTTTATACAGTTGTCATTCCAATCTGTTAAAAATTATTAATATCAGATTTTATATTTACCTACATAATTACTTTTATCTGTTCTCTTTGTTTCTTAATGTAGATCTCATTACTACCTGATGTCTTTTCTTTTTAGCTTTAAAGCTTTTCTCTAGTATTTCTTGAAAGGCAGACCTGGTAGCAACAAATTCTCTCAGTCTTTGTTTTTCTGGGAATGTCTTTATTTTACCTTCATCAGGAAAGGATAGCTTTGCTAGATATAGAATTATTGGATACAGTATTTCAGATACTGCACTGGGAAATTCTTAACTAAAATAGAAGAGTATACAGATTGTCCTAAATTCTGCATAGCTTGATCCAGAATCATGAGTGGCAGGAGTCCTTGGCACTCCTGGGCTACTCATTAGTGACTGTGCTCCTCAGCTCTCCAGCAGCTGGGCCACACAGAGCAAAAGACTATGATCGTCATGCATGGAACATCATTTTGCTGCCATATAAATAAATATCTTAGAAATCCATAATTCAATCACTCTAGGTTTGGCACCATTTTCAGTCCCTGTCAAAATTTCCTTCAGTTTGTTCCCACACCTTTTTACCTTGGTTCCAAAGCTCTTTGTATCTGTACTGGTCCACCTTCCTCAGCCAAGTCCCTGGAGTCCAGACATATACTTCCTGCCCCTCAGTGCACTCAACATACAGGCATATCTCATTTTATTACACTTTGCTTTATTAATTAATTTTTGCTTTATGGATGTTGCATGTTTTACAAATTGAAGGTTTGCAGCAACCCTGCATTGAGCAAATCTTTTGGCACTATTTTTCCAACAGCATGTTCTCACTTATGTCTTTGTGTCACATTTTAGTAATTCTCAAAATGTTTCAAACTTTATTATTATTATTCTTATCATTATATCTGTAAGGTGATCTATGATCAATGATTTTTGTTGTTACTATTGTAATTGCTTTGGAGTGCCACCAGCTGTGCCCATAGGACATGGCGAACAATAAATGTGTGTGTGCTCTGACTGGTCATTTGCCAGTCTTGCTCCCTCTTCTCAGCCCCTTTATTCCCTGAGACACAACAATATTGAAATTGGGCCAATTAATAACCCCGCAACAGACTCTAAATGTTCAAGTGAAAGGAAGAGTCCCACATTTCTCACTTTAAATAAAAAACTAGAAAAATAATTAATCTTAGTGAGGAAGGCATGTTAACAGCTGAGATAGGCTGAAAGCTAGGCCTCTTGTACCAAACAGCCAAGTTGTGAATGCAAAGGAAAAGTTATTGATGGAAATTAAAAGTTCTACTCCGGGAACACAGGAACGATAAGAAAGCAAAACAGCTCTATTGCTGATATGGAGAAGGTTTTAGTGATCTAGACAGAAGATCAAACCAGCCACAACATTCCCTTAAGCCAAAACCTCATCCAGAGAAAGACCCCAACTCTTCAATTTTATGAAGGCTGAGAGAGGTGAGGAAGCTGCAGCAGAAAAGTTTGAAGCTAGCAGAGGTTGGTTCATGAGGGTTAAGGAAAGAAGCCCTCTCTAAAACACAAAAGGGCAATGTGAAGTAGCAAGTGCTGATGGAGAAGCTACACAGCAAGTTATCCAGAAGATCTAGCTAAGATACTGTTGGCCCTTTAACAACACAGATTTGAACTGTGCGGGTTCATTATACATCCTCAAGGAACTTTATGATGATCCACTTCCATTTAATAAATAGTAAATATGTTTTTCTTCCTTATGATTTTCTTAATAACATTTTTTCTCTAGCTTACTTTCTGGTAAGAGTAAATGGTACACAAAATACATATAGCATACAAAATATGTGTTAATCAAATGTTTATGTTATTAGTAAGGCTTCTGGTCAACAGTAGGCTATTAGTCAGGCATGATGGTGCACACCTATACTTTCAGCTACTCAGGAGGTTGAGTGGGGGAAGATTGTTTGAGCCAGTAGTTTGAGACCAGCCTGGGGAACATAGTGAGACCCCATCTCAATAAAAAGAATATTTCAGGCATGGTGGTGTGTGTCTGTAGTCCTAGCTACTCGGGAGGATGAGGAAGGAGGATCGCTTGGAGCGGGGAGTTTGAGACAAGCCTAGGGAACATAGCAAGACCCTGTCTCTAAAATTAAAAATAAAACAGTGGGCTATTAGTAGTTGGGTTTTTGAGAAGTCAAAAGTTATACATGGATTTTCTTTTTAAATTTTTTTTGAGATGGAGTCTCGCTCTGTCACCCAGGCTAGAGTGCAGTGGCACAATCTGTGCTCACTGCAACCTCTGCCACCTGGGTCCAAGTGATTCTCCTGCCTCAGCCTTCTGAGTAGCTGGGCCTACTGGTGCCTGCCACCATGCCAGGCTAATTTTTGTATTTTTAGTAGAGATGGGGTTTCACCATATTGGCCAGGCTGGTCTCGAAATTCTGACCTTGTGATCTGCCTGCTTTGGCCTCCCAAAGTGCTGGGATTACAGGCGTGAGCCACTGCACTTGGCCTATACATAGATTTTTAACTGTGCAGGAGTTCAGTACCCCTAACTCCCATTTTGTTCAAGGGTCAACTGTAATTGATGAAGGTGGCTACAATAGACATCAGATTTTCAATGAAGACACAACAGCCTTATATTGGAAGAAGATGCCATCTAGAACTTTCATAGATAGAAGTCAATGCCTGGCTTCAAAACTTCAAAAGACAGACTGACTTTCTTGCTAGGGGCCAATGCAGCTGGTGACTTAAAGTAATAATGAGCCAAAGCTCATTTATCATTTCAAAAATCTTAGAGCCCTTACAAACTATGCTAACTCTGCTCTTGCTCTGCTCTATAAATGAAACAGCAAAGACTGTGTGACAGCATGGTATACTGAATATTTTAAGCCCACTGTTGAGGCCTACGGCTCAGAAAAAAAGATTTTGGTCACTCAAGAGCTCTGATGGAGCTATATGAAGAGATCAATGTTTTCATGCCTGCTAACAACATTCATTCTTCAGCCCATGGACCAAGAGATAATTTTGACTTTCAAGTCAAAATTATTTAAAACATACATTTTGGAAGGCTATAGCTACCATAGATAGTAATTTCCCTGATGGATCTGGGCAAAGTAAATTAAAAAATTCCTGGAAAGGATTCACTATTCTACATACCATGATTCATGGAAGGAGGTCAACATGGCAGTATTAACAGGAGTCTGGAAGAAGTTGATTCCAATCCTTATAAATGACTGAGGGTTTCAAGACTTCAGTGGAGGAAGTCACTGCAAATGTGATGAAAATAGCAACAGTGAGAATTAGAAGTGCAGCCTGAAGATCTGACTGAATTGCTGCAATCTCATGAGAAAACTTGAGTGGATGAGGAGTTGCTTCTTATAGATGAGCAAAGAAAGTGGTTTCTTTGAATGGAATCTGCTCCTGGTGAAGATGCTGTGAACATTGTTGGAATGATGACAAAGGATTCAGAATATTGCATAAACTTAGATAAACCAGCAGCACAGTTTGAGAGGATTGACCGAAATTTTGAAAGAAATTCTATTGTGTATAAAATGCTATCAAGCAGCGTTGCATGCTATGGAGAAATCTTTCTTGAAAGGATCAATCAATTGATGTGGCAAACATCATTGTTCTTATTTTAATAAATTGCCACAGCTACCCCAACCCTCAGCAACCACCACCCTGATCAGTCAACAACCATCAACATTGAGGGAAGACCCTCCACCAGCAAAAAGATGATGACTTGTTGAAGGCTCAGATAATCATTAGCAATTTTTAGTAGTAAAGTATTTTAAAATTATGGTATGCACATTATTTTTTATACATAATGCTATTGAACACTTGACAGACTACAGCATAGTGTAAACATACCTTTTTAATATTTTAATAAGTAATAATGAAATTCATCATAAGAAAACTATTAGAAACTGTTTAGAATATGAAAGAGGTACAGTTGTATACTGAAACATATACAGATTTGTATCAGAAGTTTGCAAATTTTACTAGCTTTTTCAGAGAAACAACTTTCAACTATTAAATATTTCATTTTCTAGTTTAAATAAATATATAAATAAAAGACTTCAGGAAAACATACTTTTCATATGCACTGGGAAACCAAAAAAGTGCACTTGGCTCACTTTATTGCAATATTACCTTTTTTATGGTAGCCTGAAACTGAACCTGCAATATCTCCGAGGTATGCCTGTATCCTAGGAAGAATTTTATATTGACATCTCCTGTCACTGCGTATAATATTCCTGCAGACAGGCTTTGAGAGAAGGTTTACCCCTTGGAAGTCCCTGCCTCCTGCCCACTTGACTGTTCTCTTTTCTCATGAGCTAGTGATCTCCAAATCATGTGTATTGTGTGCCCAATATAATGCCCTTCCCTGACATTTGGTGAACAAATCCCTCTGCACCTCAACCAACAAGCTCATGGCAAGAACTTGGTGCTGGATTTGGTCACGTCGCTTCCTTCATTTGTTAGGTGGTCATCTACTTTTTCTAAAATTCTTCCTATTCAGTCTCTTTTTAGCTACATAAAAGTCAGAGGGCATTTGGTGGGAGATCTTGTTATGATTTTATTGGTAAAAGAGAATCAATACTGAGAAAGATAGAATGTTAAATAGGACAGACAAGAGGTCAAAGGTCAATGTAGACTGTTCCCAACTTCCTACATATGAATGGACTGAGATGTATTTGAGAGACTTTGGGAACATGTACTTTGGGTCTGCTGGGGGTGGCCTGAGCTGCAATCCAGGTACACAATGTTCTTCCCAGCTTTTCAGAGGATCCCACCTGCACCTTAGAAAATTGAGTACATCTGGATGGGTGAATATCAAAGGAAAGAATCTGTGATACAGCCAACATGTAGTTTCTGGGTAGAAATTAAAAATCGGTCACAACCAAAATCACCATTAAGTTCCTGGCCTTTGAACATTGTTTTTCTGCTCTTCTGCCCCCAGTTCGAGCCCCACTTCAAACAACTTCATAATAAAAGGCCAGACAAAAGAGCTGTCAGCCAGTTACTACAGACACTCAATGCAGACACCTTCAGAGGTAGGTGGGGATAAAGGTCTTGAGACATGAGCTTCTATTTGTGGCTTGCTTGGATTAATTCCTAGCCCAGATGGTGTCACTATTCCTGTGAGGTAGGGATTATTGTTTCTTTTGTTCAAATAAGAAAATTGAGAGGGGGTGACATGAGCTGTCTGAGGTTCCATAGGTAAAAGGGACAGAAACTAAAGATTTCAGCATTCCTGACACTAAATCCAGCACTCTGTCCTCTTTAACATTATCTGGAAAGCCAGATTGGTGGAGAGCAGTAGTTCTGTGTCTTTCTGATCCTGGGGGATCTTTGAATTGTCCTGCAGTTTGTCTCAGGATGACCAAAAAATTCACAGCACTCTGTATATGAGAAGTTGAGAAGTACCCAGCCTGGGCATAATGATGTTTCTTTTGTCTGGGATCATTTAGTACACTTGAGGGTGTGCAAAACAGGAGACTAGGCATCCTCAGATTCCTGAACACCTTTAAAGGGCAAGGGGAAAGAAAGAAAGAAAGAAAACTAGAGTAAGAATGAGGCCGTGTGAATGAACAGATTTCAAAGCTCTGGAAAACTTGGGTCTAGGGTGGTATTTTGGAATACAAAGAAACAGCCTCATGGAATCCAATGCTTTGGATTTATGGTGTTCCTGTCACTGTATATCAGTATTCCTCCTTCTTTATGCAAAGGGTTGGTACCAGGAATCCAGAGGCCTACTGCAATCTATGCCCACTTTCACCCACTTACCTCATCCCTCACATCCCTGGCTGTAAGCAGATAACAGAGTATCTTCATGGTTCACCTGTCTTGCCATGTGCTGGTATATTCACATAATCAGAAGAACACTCTGAGGTTCTCAAGGACTCAGGCTCAAGGAATGAGTATCTTGCCATTGCTAGCTAGCAAGAGCAGGAGATTAGGGAGAGAAACGAAAGGAGAAGAGAAGCCCTTAAATTGTAGATCAGATCAGATATTTGTGTGTGTGGGGGTTCTACTCTTAGATGCTTATTCCTGCTCTCCAAGCTTCTCCATTAAGAACCTGTGTCTCTGCCAGCTTACCTAAGCATGACTTGATGAAGTTGCCAAGCTAAGATGTTGCTGCTTTTGCCTCTGCTCGAATCTCTTAAAAGTGATTTGTCTAAAAGTCAATACATCTAATGACATGTGCCTAAAACTTGTATTTTTCACCTTCCAAATTTCACAGAAGCTAAGAGGAGAATACATTTTCAAAGTCTCCTCTGAAAAATTTGGCAGCTTTAAAATTTTTCTAGTATTACCTCTGCTTTTGAGCAGAGTCATTTTGGTGGATTCATCTAGAGCAGCATTGTTCAGTAGAACTTTCTGTGATGATGGAAAGGCTCCGCGCCTGAGAAATAAGGAATGTTAAATAGGACACACAAGAAGTCAAAGGTTGATGTAGACTATTCCCATCGTCCTATGTATAAATGGAATGAGAAGCATCAGAGAAAGACTTTGGGGACAATAGCCACTAACTACATGTGACCATTGAATACTTGAAATGACTGGAAACTGAATTTTGATTTAATTTAATGAGTTTGAACAGTCATAAGTGGCTAGTGGCTACCACATTGGACAGCACAAAGAAATCTCTTTTGCTTCATTGAAAATTTCTGAACAAATATAAAGACTTTCAGGCAGAGGGAAAATCACTGCCTTGTTCATGCAATGATGCAATTCATGTCAGAATTTTATCCTTTTCTTTGACTCTTATTTTCCTTCCTATTTGGTTCTAGAAAAGTAGAGCAATAGAGAATGAGGGGGGTAGATGGGAGAAGGCTGGGAAGTTTCCATTGTAATTAGGTTCCTCTTCCACTCTTCTATTATTTATAGTTCAAATTTTTCTCTTTTCTAATTATAGTGGCTTAAACACTTGAAAATAATGTTAAAAAGTAGTCTTAATAGTGCATATCTTTTTTTCCTATTTCTAATTTTAATGGGAGTACTTTCAGTTTTATAATGTGGAATGCTGGATTTTGGATTGCAATAGTTAAATTTTTACAGTGTTAAGAAAATGTCTATCTATTCCTTTTTATTAAGATTTTTCTGCTGTTCCCATACTCTAGTTTCCCTTACCCCTCAGCTGTCACTCAGCTGAAGGCTATTTTATTTTCTTCCATTTCCTTATTTTTCTCCTTACCACTGATTACCATCTATGCATTTCCTTATCTTGTTTAACTAGAATGCCAGCTGTATAAATGGGAGGATTTTTGTCTGTTTTGTTCACCACTATATTCCAATACCCAGAACTTGGAATATATTCCAATACCCAGAACTTGGAATATAGTTAGGCACTTAATAAGTACTTATTGAGTGAATGAACTCCCCCTGTCTCCCTCCACACACAGAGGCATAGAATCTAAACAGATTAAAATGCTAAGTGTAAAAAAAAAAGTAAAAAGAAAAAAATTGTAATTGAAAATAGTTTTCAAATATCCAGAGGAGGATATTCTGAGCTTAATGCTGACAGTTAACATTTATGAAGTATATACTATATTCCAGGTCCTATGCTTAGTGTTTCATACATATTATTTAATCTTCCCAGTGACCCTATGAGATGAGATGAGTATTGATATTTTTTTCTGTAATATGGATGGGGAAAACCAGGCTCTGGGGATTATGTGGCTGGCCCAGGCTCCACGGCTAGGAGTTGGTGGGGTTGGGATTCTAATTCAAGCCTATCTGACTCTGGGGCCCATGTTCTTTCCTCTTAAAATACCCATCAGCAAATAGTGTGGTGATGAAAATTACCTTTGTATAGCCTAGAGTAGAACAAGGGGTGGAGGGACATGCATTTGATATCCGGTAGGTGGAAATGTAACCTAACCCTTAGTGAGAGAAATGTGGCGGCAATTATCCAAAGCCTGGGAAAGACAATGTCTTTTGCCTAGAAATCTTTCTTCATTAACTCATGCTATAAAAATAACAATATATGTACCAAAGCTTTAACTATAAGGAGGTTCATCAGGACATTTTTATAACGAGAAGAAATTGAAACTATTCAGGTCTTGATGATATGAGGAAATGATAGTAATAAGTATGACTGAATTCTTGTCATGACTTGTATGATGTGAGCATATTTTTGCCTCCCCTGTATATTTCATTCAGAATTGTTAGTTTATTTCCTTGCTTCTTCAGGAAAATTTAGGTAGGTCTCCACAAATTTTATGTGATTCTCCAGTCATGAAACATCTTCTCAATATAATAAGTAAAATGTGCAGGCCCATGAAATTAGTCACAACTACATAAATTGTTCAGAACTATGGATTCCTCCCTCCCTCAGAAGCTCCAGTTATGGAACAGGATGTGGTGAATCTCTCTCCCCCGCCTCCCACCACCCCCACTCTGGCTCTTTGTAATTCTATTCCTCCACCCACTCTGGACTAAAGCAAGTTTCTGTCTCCTAGGGAGTAGAGGGAGGACGGACCAATAAGAGTAGTAGGAAAGTTCTTGTGTAATAGATACTATCATGAGCTGGTTCTGTGCTTCTGGTCTTGACTCTTTCGTGGGAGATTTCAAGGGTTCATTGGAAACATGAAATGTCGTCTGGCCATTTGCAGTTCAGATACTTCACAAATTAGAGCCCTCTTCTCTGCTACTACAGGCCGCTTTGGCCAGATTTAAAGTCACCCTTTAAAGTCTTCAGTCATGATTCAAGTCTACTGTGTTCCCATAGACTTCTAGGATCACATAGCAAGCTCAATGAGTCGTATTCATAAAACCTTTTCTCTCAACTTGGAATTAGGAGGCAGCATTCCGGCTTTCACGAGCAAAGCTTTTTACCAATAAAATTTCCTTCAAAATCTTCTCTACAATTCCTCCAACTTTGGACCATCTTAGTGCATTAAAGTTTTGAGTCCCCTAACAGTTCTTGGCCATCATCTTTTCTCAAGTCCTGTTATCTATCTGTAATTCCCTCTTAAATTGCTTTAGTGCCTTTTGTCTTAGGATCTTCACTAAAACTTCTTTACATCATCATGTTTCATATGCTTCAAAATAAAATATCAGGACACTTGATGTGTCCAATTTCATAAAAATAATGACTACAACATAAAAGTATAGACATATATTGATTATCTCTAGATGGTGGAATTGCTAATGCTTGTTTATTTCCTCTTTGTATTTTTAATTTTACATATTATATAATCTGAGGATTTATTGTTTTTAATCAGACAGGAGAAATTCATTTTAATAAGAAATAATTTTGCAAAGGAAGGGGTATGTAATATGAGATGAGAAGAAACCTGGGGAAGTCACTGGCTAGCCTGGGAGTTGGTTGGTATGCTACTGGGTACTAGAAAGGGAAAGAATAACATGATAGTCATAAGCACTTTACCCCTGTTGCTTACCCTGTTCTCCTCAATCCATTTTCTACGTCTAGCAGTATTGGGAAAAGACTTGCCTTCTGCCAGAACTTAACCCAAATACACACAGAGAGCACCATGAAGCCCTGGATTCTTCTACTCGTCATGTTCATCTCTGGAGTTGTGATGCTTCTGCCTGTGCTGGGAAGCTTCTGGAACAAAGATCCCTGTGGGTGGTGTGAAAAGGGACGGGGTGCTCTGCCCAGTCCTGGGATGTCTATTGTAGCTGATCCAGGGCCTGCATGTCAAGAATCAGGCTTTAAAGGATCTCTCCTTAAGTAGAGATATTCAAGCAAGATTAGGTTAGATATTCCCAATTCCTTTAAGTTTTCTCTTTCAGCTCTGAAAGCAACACTAGGTATGTGAAAAGGGAACGTATCTTTTGTCTATATTCCATCAGCTAGCAGGAAATAATATTTTCCAATATCAGACCAGTAGAGGAAAAACCAACACAGAGCTTCCCTCCAAGCCCATATTTTCAGAACCTTTGTGCCTCAGTTGGGTGAGCCTTTGATGAATGCCAAAAGGGTAATATTTAACACGTTAATTTAGTTGGAGGGGAAGAGTCTTTTAGAACATGAAAAATGGAAAAGACAAATAAAGGCTCCTTAGTGGGTCAAAGTTTGGGTTCATATGATAAGAAAATGTGGACAACAAAGACACTGAGCAGGAGGGTTGTGGGCCAGGGAAATAAAATTTATGGAGAGACTGACTTCTTAGGTGGCATCATCAGGGAAACAAATAGAAGGGGAGAAAAATGGCTGGGCACGGCGTCTCACACCTGTAATCCCAGCACTTTGGGAGGCTGAGGTGGGCGGATCACGAGGTCAGGGGTTCGAGACTGCCCAACCAACATGGTGAAACCCCGTCTCTATTAAGATACAAAAAATTAGCCAGGCATGGTGGTGTGCTCCTGTAATCCCAGCTACTCAGGAGGCTGAGGCAGGAGAATCGCTTGAACCCGGGAAGTGGAGGTTGCAGTGAGCTGAGATCATGCCGTTGCACTCCAGCCTGGGCGACAGGGCAAGACTCTGTCTCAAAAAAAAAAAAAAGAGAAGGGGAAAAAAAGTAAGTTTCTATTCTCCCTTGGCTCAGTTTCCCACTCTGCAAATTGGCTTTGGAAATTGGAGTTAGAGGATATTGCAGGCCCTGAAATCTAAGGTTACATGAGAATAAATTTGGTGGTTGGTGTCATATATGGTCAGGGTGTCCCAGGTCCTATCTTTAGAGTCTGAAATGCTGTAGGGACATGTAGATGGAGGAACACAGGCCATGCAAGGATGGTCTTGTGACAAGACACTGGTTATAATTTGAGGAAGGGATTTTCTTGGAAGGCAGAGAAATACTTTGTGGCTTGGAGCTCAAGTTTCAGAAGGGATTGTTAAGCTTAGAAAAGGTTTCTTGTCTGAGTTGTGAATAGACGGACCCTGCTAACTTCTTCCATCTCAGTTCTAGATATGATAAGAGAAACTGAGCAGTGCTGGGTACAGCCTCCATATAAGTACTGTGAGAAAAGGTGTACTAAAATAATGACTTGTGTACGTCCAAATCATACATGCTGCTGGACCTACTGTGGAAACATCTGCTTAGACAACGAGTGAGTTGGTTGGGGTGGGAAGGCTAGGGCCTGGGCATGCTTCATCACTGGTCCTTACCGACTATTCAAAAGACCGCAGCCACCCAAATCCTGGTTAAAGAAATAGGCAGCAAAAGACAATGTCCTCCTATCTCCAAACCTAGGCTGCTCCTCACTGCAAAATAAACCAAGACACCAACATGAGGTCCTCTACTTTTTTCTTCACTCTTATTCAGTTCCCTTTGCTTCCCTCAACATATCACCCAACAGTTCATACATCCCTCCTTTATCCAAAGTTCCAATTACTAACCCCTTAGTTGGGCGTCTCCATGGGCGCTCTACTCTCAGCCAGGCCCAAGGAGACCTGGTATCTATCTGTCTGTTCAGTTGGCAAACTTCTTGGGGGAAATTGCTTAAAAGTGGGTAACTTCTGATTTAGCAGAAGAATTGCTGTCCTTTTTCATCTGGGGCCTAGGATGCTATTAATTTTAGAAATGGATTTATCCCAGGATTCTTGACTTTTGACTAACTTTTCTCTTCTAGAGAGCCCCTTAAATCAATGCTAAACCCCTAGATTCTATTGGCCGATCACTACTGTGGGCTGAAGGATGACCATCTGGTCTAAGAAGAGTGCTGCCTACTTCCTTCTTGGGACACCCACTGGCTCTAGCTGGTAACCTTTCTGCTATTTCCTTGACCTCTTTACCCTGAAGCTTTTGTCAAATAAACTGCTACATCAACCTGAGGGCTCTGCATATTTTTTTTTAACTTCCTCCCTATGACTTAATTTCTCTCATTGCAATCCTCAGCAGTCCCAACAGTTGTTTCCACTCAATCATGGGCAGAGGTGCCCAGTTCTGCCTTCCCAGTTAGACCCATGTATGAACCAGTTTGGTTAATTGCTGGAGCAAATATTCAAGCAGATTTTTACAAACCTCATGGGGTAATACAGTTAACCCATGAAAGGTTATTCTCATTCACAATGCATTTCACTGAGGGTGGTCAGTGGGCAGTCATCCCTGCCATGATTCAAGGAATGTAGCTCCTTAAATCTGTAGCTCTGTCATCTCGCAGGGGCTTCTCTACTGGTTCCTCTACATTCAACCAGCAATAGGGAAAGAAAGGTATCATGGGGGCTCACACAGAAGCTTTTAAAGGGCTAGGCCTAGAAGCAAAGTTTATTATTTTAATCCACATTCCATTGACCATAATACAGTCATATGGTCCCACATATTTGCAAAGGAGATTGGGAAATGTAATCTAGCTGTTTTCTCAAGAAGAACAGAAAATGGGATTTGGCAAGTACTTGGCAATCTGTGACCTGTCTACTCATGCAAAGCCAGACTCCTCAACACAGACCCAAGACCCTGGCCTCCATATCACCCTGTCCAATGAAATACATTTAATCAAATTGTTAAAAGCCTAGGTTAAGGAAGGAATTCTGAAAGCAGCAAGAGAAAAGCAACTCATCACATATAAGGGAACCCCCATACAATTATCAGTGGATTTCTCAGCAGATAACTTGCAGGCCAGGAGGGAGTAAGACAACATAATCAAAGTAGTGTGAGAAAAAACTTGCCAACTAAGATTACTATACCTAGCAAAATTATCCTTTAAAAATAAAGTACTGATAAAACATTTCCTAGACAAAAACTGGGGGAGTTTGTCACCACTAGCCTGCCTTATAAGAAATCTTTAGAGGGTTCTTGAAATTGAAATGAAAGGTTGGGCACAGTGGCTCACACCTACAGTCCCAGCACTTTGGGAGGCTGAGGTGGGAGGATTACTTGAGGTTAGGAGTTTGAGACCAGCCTGGCCAACATGGTGAAACCTCATCTCTACTAAAAAAAACACAAAAGTTAGCTGGGTATGATGGTGGGTGCCTGTAATCTCAGCTACTCTGGAGGCTGAGGCAAAAGAATCACTTGAACCCAGGAAACAGAGTTTGCAGTGAGCTGAGATCGCACCACTGCAGTCCAGCCTGGGCGACAGAGCAAGACTTTGTCTCAGAAAACAAACAAACAAACAAAAACAAATTAAATGAAAAAGCACTGAATAGCAATGCAAAAGCATAAGGAAGCATAAACCTTATTGAGAAAGGTAAATATATAAATACAGAATAATGTAAAACTGTGAAGGTGATGCATGAATTACTTTGAACCTTAATATGAAAGTAAAAGATAAAAATTTGTTAATAAACACACAATATAAAAAGAAGCAAACCCTGACTACAGGTACTCAAAGTGGGTGGTTATGGGAGAAGTCAAAGTAAAGTTTTCGTTTGCAGTTGAAGTTACCAACTTAAAATAGGTGGTTATAACTACAAGATATTTTACACAAGCTGGGAGCTAACCACAAAGGAAATATCCTACAATAGATATAAAAGATAAAGAGAAATGAGTCAAAGCAAATCACTACAGGAAATCATCAAATAACAATGGAAGACAGAAAGAGAGGGAAAAGAATAAAACAACCACAACACAGGCAGAATAAGTTCTCACCTTTCAGTAATTAACTTGAATGTAAATGCATTAAATTCTCCAACCAAAAACAGAGTGGCTGAACAATTATCTAAAAAAGATCCATCAATATGCTGTCTAAAATAGACTCACTTCAAATTGGCTAGAAGTAAAGGGACGGAAAAATATATTTCATGTAAATGATAATCAAATGAAAGTAAGGGTGGATATACTTATATCAGACAAAATAGACTTTAATAAAAAACTATCCCTAGAGACAAAGGAAGTCATTATATAATGATAAAAGGGTCAATTCAACAGGAATAAACAATTGTTAAGACATGTGCACTCAACATCAGCTTAAATATAAATATATAAATATATAAAGCAGATATTGACAGATTTCAAAGGAGAAATTGATAGCAATCCTGTAATAGGCCACTTCAATGCTCACTTTCAATGATGAATAGGATTTCCAGACAGGTAATCAATAAAGAAAGAGCTAACTGGAGCAACACTGTTTACCAGATGGACCTAACAGACATATACAGAACATTCTACCCAACAACAGCAGAATACATATTCTTCTCAAGAGCAAACAGATCTTTCTCCAAGATTGATTACGTGTTAGATTAGAAAACAAATTTTGACAAATTTAAGAAGATTTAAATTATGTCAAGTGTCTTTTCAGACCACAGTAGAATGAAACTAGAAACCAACAGCAGAAACAAAACTAGAAAACTTTTAAAGATGTGAAAATTAAATAACATTCTCTTGAACAACCATTGCTTCAAGGAGGAATAATAAATACAATTAGAATATACCTTAAGACAAATGAAAAGGAAAACACAGCATACCAAAACTTATGGAATACAGCAAAAGCAGTACCAAGAGGGAAATTCATAGTAATAAACATCTACATTTAAAAAAGTACAAAGAGGCCGGGCGCGGTGGCTCATGCCTGTAATCCCAGCACTTTGGGAGGCCGAGGTGGGTGGATCACGAGGTCAGGAGATCGAGACCATCCTGGCTAACATGGCGAAACCCTGTCTCTACTAAAAATACAAAAAGTTAGCTGGGCGTGGTGGCAGGTGCCTGTAGTCCTAGCTACTCAGGAGGCTGAGGCAGGAGAATGGTGTGAACCTGGGAGGCGGAGCTTGCAGTGAGCTGAGATCACGCCACTGCACCCCAGTCTGGGTGACAGACCAAGACTCTGTCCCAAAAAAAAAAAAAAGTACAAAGAGCTCAAATCAATAACCTAACTTTATACCTCAAAGAACTAGAAAAAGAAGAAAAACTAAGCCCACAGTTAGCAAAAATGATAAAATCAGAACAGACATAAACAAAATAGAGAATAGAAAAATAGTAAACATGAAGTCAATAAAACTAAGAATTGGATTTTTGAAAAGATAAACAAAATGGACAAATCCTTGGCCAGCCTAAAAAAGAAAAAAGTAGAGAACATTCAAATAAGTGAGAAATGAAAGAGGAGACATTACAACTGGTGCCACAGAAATTTTTATTTAAATTGGCTAACCTAGAAGAAATGAATAAATTCTTAGAAACATACAATCTCCCAACAAAGAAAAAAATTCTCAACAAAGAAAAACCCAGAACCAGATGGTTTTACTGAATAATCCTACCAAACATTTAAAGAATAGGGAATATGAATCCTTCTCAACTTCTTCCAAAAAAACAGAATCAGAGAAAACTTCCAAATTCATTATATGAGGCCAGCATTACCCTGATACCAATGCCAGACAAAGATACTACAAGAAAAGAAGACTACAACCCATATCCCTGGTGAGTATTGATGCAAAAGTCCTTACCAAAATACTAGTAAACCGATTTTAACAGCACATTAAAAGGATTATATGCCACAACCAAGTGGGATTTATCACTGGGTTGCAAAGATAGTTCAATACACACAAGTCAATAAATGTAATACACCATATTAATAGAATGAAGAAAAAAATCATGACTATCATAATAGACATAGGAAAAGTATTTGACAAAATTAAATAACCTTTCCATGATAAAAACATTCAACAATATATTAATAAGAATAGAAAGAATTTCCTCAACATCATAAATTTCATACATGAAAAGCCATAACTAATATCATATGCCATAGTGAAAAACTGAAAGTTTTTTTTTCTAAGATCAGCAATAAGGCAAGGATGTCCAAACTCAGCACTTTTATTCTACATAGTACTGGAAGTCTTATCCAGAGCAATTAGACAAGGAAAATAAATAGAATGCATCTGAATTGGAAAAGAAGAAGTAGTAAAATTATCTCTGCAGATGACATGGTCTTATATGTAGAAAACTGTATATAAAAAGACTCCATCAAAAATTATTAGACTAGCAAATTCAGTAAAGTTGCAGAATAGAACAAAATAAACACTCAAAAGTCAGTTGCATTTATATAGTAACAATGGACAATCCAAATAGATTTTTTTTAAAATCGCATTTACAATAGTTAGGAATAAACTTAACCAATGACTTGTACACTGAAAACTACAAAACATTGCTGAACAAAATTAAGAGAGAAAAACAATTGGAAAGATATCTTGTGTTCAAGGATTGGTAGACTTAATATTGTTAAAAATATTTACACTACCCGAAATAATGTACGAACTTAATGCAAACCCTATCAAAATCCAAATGGCATTTATTGTAGAAATAGGAAAAAAATTCTAAAGTTCATGTGAAATCTTAAAAGACTCCAAATAGCCAAAACAATCTTGAGAAAGAAGAATAAAGCTAGAGGCATCACACTTCTTGATTTCAAAACATATTTCCAAAGTCACAGTAATCAAAACAGTATAACACTGACATAAAAACAGATACGTAGACTGATAGAACAGAATATAGAGTCCAGAAATAAGCCCTCATATACAAGGTCTAATGATCTTTAATAAGAGTTTCAAAACTGTACATTGGGGAAAGGGTAGTTTCTTCAATAAATGTTGTTAGTATGGACCCTTATACCATACACAAAAATTAACTCAAAAAGAAGTTAATTTTTTATAAACATCTATAAAACTCCCAGAAGAAAGCAATTAAAAAATCATGACATTGAAAAGGGAAATGGCTTTTTAGATATGATACCAAAGCACAGGCAACAAAAGCAGAAATAGAGAAATAGGGTGACGTCAAACTAAAAAACTTATGAAATTGGAGAAAATATTTGCAAGAGAGATATTAGATAAGAGGTTAATATCTAGAATATATTTTAAAACTCCTTTAACTCAATAACAGCCCCCTGAATAATAAATAATCAAATTTTAAAAATGAGCAAAGGATTAAACAGACATTTCTCCAAAGAAGATACACAAATGGCCATTTATTTGGAAAAATGCTTAAAATTATTAATCATCAGGAAAATGCTAATCACAACCACCATGAGATATCATCTCATACATTAGGACTACCACTATTTCACACACACACACACACACACACACACACACACACACACACACACCTCCCATAAAACAAAAACAAAACAGAAGATAACAAGTGTTGGCAAGGACATGGGGAAATGGGAACCTTGTGCACTGTTGGTGGGAATGAAAATGGTGTAGTGGCTCTGGAAAACAGCATAGAGGTTCCAAACAAAATTAAACATAGAACTACCATGTGATTCAGCAGTCCTACTTCTTGATATATATCGATGAGAATTGAAAACAGGATCTTGAAGAGATATTTGCATGCCCATGTTCATTTAAGCATTATGCAGAAACGCCAAGATGTGGAAGCAAACTAAATGTCCATTGATGGATGCATGGATTTTAAAAAATATGGTAAACACACACCCACATACATACACACTAGACTATTATTCAGCTTTCACCAAGATAGAAATAACAGCTCTATCAGGTGACACAACAAGAATGAACCTGGAGGACATTGTGCTAAGTAAAACAAACCAGATGCAGAAAGACAAATGCCGCATGATCTCACTTATTTGTGGGATCTAATATAGTCAAACCCGTTGAAACAGATAGTAGAGTGGTGATAACCAGGAGCTGGAGGGAGGAAGAAGTGGGGAGAAGTTGTCAAAGGGGTACGAAGTTTTAGTTGTGCATAATCAATATTTTTTTGAGATCTGATGAATAGCAATGTGACTATAATTAACAATACTTTATTGTATAGTTGAACTTTGGTAAGATAATGTATCTTAAGCATTCTCACCAAAAAAAAAGGAAAAAAAGCAAGAAAGGAATAAAGGGGAGAAAGAAAATGGTAACTATCTGAGATGATAGACAAATTATTGTGGTGATTATTCCACAGTGTATATGTATATTAAATCATCAAATTGTGTACCTTAAATATATATATTTAAAATATATACATTTAAATATATACATTTTAAAAAGTCAAATGTGCATTTAAAAATACATTTAAAAACTATATGTGAGGCAGAAACTGATGGAACTGCAAGGAGAAATAGATGAATCCATTACTGTAGTTGGAGACTTCAACATGCCTCAGTTATGAATGGGATCCAGCAGGCAGAAAATTAGTAAGGACACAGTTGAACTCAACAGCACCATCAATCAGTCGGATATACAGGCATACCTCGTTTATTGCACCTTGTTTTATTATGCTTCGCAGATATTGCATTTTTTACAAATTGAAGGTTTGTGGCAACCTGCATTGAACAAGTCTACCCGTGCCATTTTGCCAACAGCATGTCCTCACTTCATGTCTCTGTTTCACATTTTGGTAATTCTCACAACAGTTCAAACATATCCATGGTAGTTTTAATAATCTCCCTACAGGGTGAATTCATTTGCAGGCATTGCAAATAAACCCAGGACACAGGTACAATCAGTTGTATACATCATGTCTCATGTCAGAGATGTTTATAATTGTCATTGTTGTGGTCATTTGAGCACTAGCATCCTGCCCTTCTCAGAGCCCAGAAAGTGTGAGACATATTAAAAGTCACACTTGGGACTGCCTTGGACTCTGAGAGTGGAAATACACTTGTCTTTTCTTCAATTATAGCAAATGAGGTGCATCTTATAACCACTTATGCTAATGAGAAACAAACATGGTAAACCCATTCTTTTGTTACCAGAGGAGGAGACCCTAGAGAGAGGTTCTGAACCTGGCTAGGAGCAGTGTGGGGATGAAACATGAGTATGGGCCTGATACTGATGGTAAAAATATGATTAGGAAACCAGATGGGAGATTCCATAATTCCAACTGCTTGCTTAACCTTTGTGAACAGGTTAGCATAGGGTGGGAGCAAGACGGTGGAAGGAGAAGCTTGTCTGTGAATCTGAAAACATATTGCCTACTCCTCTTTGCAGAAGAACACAGAGTGTTTCCCAAGGAAAGTGTGAAACAGCGTGAACCGAGCTCCACTCCTAGGAATATACCAGGGGAAGAGCTGGTATGATGGGCTGGATTTGGCTAAATATAGAAACTTTAGTGTAGCTCAGTATAGTATACAGGTACACAAGTTGAGGGTGTTTAGAAAGGCCAGATTCAGGGGTAGAGAGAGAGGGAGAGGGGGGGATAGAGAGAGAGAGAGAGAGAGAGAGAGAGAGACTGCTTTTACCAGAAGGAAAGCAAAGAGAGAGGCTTGGTGAAAGAAAAGAGAGAGAGGTATAGCAGTCAAAGACAGTGGAATATTTAGGAAAGATAAAGAGATGATTTTTAAGGGAATGTTACCATATGATAGTGATGTAACCTCCTCCTCCTATTTTAATTTTACCATCAGTAAAATTCCCAATATTTATAGAATTGGATTTATGTTTCTTTGTGAGTACAGCGATGTTTAACGGAGGGCCCATAAAAGATATTGATTGTTTGGCACCACTAGGGAATGCCTAGTTGTGTGTAGGTCACACACACATACACAGATACACAGACACACACACAGACACACACAGAGACACACACACCCCATGGAGATGCACTACATGGAGCATATACACCAAAATGATAACATGATAATTTCAGGGTCATTAAATTGCTGGTAATTTTCTATTTGCTTCTTATTGTTTTTCAGTTTTTGAAAAATTTTCTACAATAAATATGGATTGCTTTTGTAATCATAAAAAGAAAATAATGAGGAGTATATGGAGGAATGGGTAGAAAGCTCAGTCTAGTAGACACAAAAGCCCACAATTCTAAGCTTTCTCCACATGTACCTGCAAACCGTTGCCCCTTGGCCAATGCTTGGGTTCAGGTATATGCACACCAATGACAAGGTCCATTTTTTGGAAGATATATCTTAGGAAAAGCCTGCACAGGTCTGGAGATGGGCTTAGAGCCATTTGGAAAGGGTGTTCTTGGGTACTTGCTACCCATGGTAATCTAGAAGCGGCAGTGCAGTCTCCAGGTGAGCATCCTCTTGGTTCCATAAGCTTTTTGCTCTATGGGGAAATGACAGAGCTAGAGGAGGGCCCCTCAAAGAGAGGGCCTTCTTGTTTTGGTCTATGTGTGGCACAGCCTTCTCCATTTTTCCTCCCTTCTTCCTCACTATTCCAAGAGGCACCCATCACTAAGATGCACATATACTTAATATCATAAACCTCTAACTTCTATGACCCCTGGTTTGCTGTGATTCATACTAGATGACCCAAGCCCTGAGACCACATGGGTGGTAAGGATAGGACCTGAAGAGGGGAGAGAAGGTGGTACATTCAATCTGCCTGGTGCTGAACTCACTGCTTTGATGAGTATTGCACCCTTTTCAAGCTTCATCCAAAGACTTCCTTACAGACCACCTTCCAGACCTGTAAGAATTAACTGAGAAATTTCCAGGAACTTTTACTTACATTTCCCCCGCAAAACGAAAGAAAACGTCAGGTCATCTGAAGTTGGGAAGGCTTTGGCACGGTGGACACTGCCACTCAACTGATGTGTCAAGAGTTTGAGAACCACAAGCGGGCAAATCACTTGAGATCAGGAGTTCAAGACCAGCCTGGCCAACATGGTGAAATACCATCTCTACTAAAAATACAAAAATTAGCCAGGCATGGTGGTGCACGCCTGTAATCCCAGCTACTTGGGAGGCTGAGACAGGAGAATTGCTTGAGCCCAGGAGGTAGAGGTTACAGTGAGTCAAGATCGAGCCATTGCACTCCAGCCTGGGCGACAGAGCAAGACTCTGTATAAAAAAAAAAGAATTCGAGAACCAGTTGTATGTAGCTTTGATCACTTCCAAGGGAGAAAAAAAAATTACTTATTTCTTAATGCATTCACTTTGTGCTGAAGAAAAGGGAGAAGATGGTGAAGTCTGGATACTTATGAGCTATGACACTAGTAATAGTGGAAAGGTCAAGAGGTTGGAAAGAAGGTTAAAGAAGGACTCTAGAAGACGACTGGAGTGAGTGATTGACAGTAGAGAGAGAATAAGAGTCAGGGAGAGATAAGATATGGGTGAGAGTCTAGAGGAACTCTCAGGCTCTTTTGGGATCTCGAGTTCTATGAGTATGGATTTCACTGGATGACTTCATTAGAGTTTGGGATGATAAAAGTAGATTTCATTTTGGCCAAGGGGAAATAGGGAAGCTCTAGAGGCCAGCACATTGTGGATCCTGTGGGAGACTGCAGGAGCAGATCAGGCAAAGGGAGTGAGTTTAAGCAAACACAGGACTTGGAGAGTACAAAGAGGACGCTTTCTTAAGAAGCAGTTAAATCCATGGATTCTGGAGTCTAGAAGGGTTGTTAAGTTTGAAAAGGGTAGATTCTCAAGGTTCCTCAGCCTGTTGTACATACCTACCTGCCCTGACACAATCCCAACAGGTGGATTATTATTCAGGCACTTCCAAATGGATTCATATATGGATTTCTACATTGACCAGAGAGAGATGTGCCTGGACTGACAAGTAAATGGCCAAGGTTACCTGGCCTTGTGATCCATCAGTGGGAGATGGGAAAGGAAGAGAGGGAGACAGGGTTACCTCCTTGCTTCACCTGGACCCACTTCCATGGGAGAGAATATCCCAGCCTTGATATTCCAATCAAGCAGACCTAGGATTTCTGCTTCTACTACTCCATCTCCAGCACCCTTAGCTTCCCTCATTAAAGCCACGTACCTGACTCTTCTTTCTGTCCAAGAGCTTTGACTTCTTCACTGACTTCCCATCCCTGCCACTCATCACATAGCCACTTTTTCTCGACCAGGTCCCCAAAGACCTCTCCCTTCTACATGTACCCAATATCTGTAGGAAGCAACCACCCGTATATGGGCATATCCCCATAACTGATCCACAGGTGCCCTCAACTTGCTTCTCCATTTATCCTTACCCTCTTTTTTCCTTTCTTAAGACCATTCCTCTGTTTCCTCTAGTTGTCCTTAATTTCCTTCATGGAAGGATAGCCTTCAAAGTAGCAGTACTCAAAGGTACTATTACCTATTCCTCGGTTTAAGAAGTATTAGATTTGTCCTTTTTGCCTAGTTGATTTCATTTCCACTAGTGGTCATTTACTCTTTCAGGATCCACATAACCTGTAATAGGCTCATTTTAAAATTTAATAACTTCCATTAAGTAATCAACAGGAGGTTATAAAATTGCTACTGTGTGCCTGGGTTGATACCTCTCTATAGGAAAAGGGACTAGGTATTCATGCACAGATGGATAAGGTAGCTACATGCCTTTCAGCATTATAAGTTTTATAATATAGACAAGTAGAGTCCAGAGTAGAGCATGATAACAAAGCATAAGGGGACTCACAGTCAGTACCTATGAGTTAAGGGGAGAGGGTAGAGAGGAAGTTGATGGTGAGAGGTTCAGAGTAGGGTCCCTGGGGCATGCTAAATGTAAACATGGCCTTGAGAAACAGGAAAGGATTGGGGCTGGACACGGTGGCTCACATCTGTAATCCCAGCACTGTAGGAGGCTGAGGCGGGCAGACCACCTGAGGCCAGGAGTTCGAGACCAGCCTGACCAATATGGTGAAACCTCATCTTTACTAAAATACAAAAAGTAGCCAGGCGTGGTAGTGCATGCTTGTAATCCCAGCTACTTGGGAGGCTGAGGCAAGACAATCACTTGAACCTGGGAGGCGGAAGTTGCAGTGAGCGGAGATTGCGACACTGCACTCCAGCCTGGGTGGCAGCACGAGACTCCGTCTCAAAAAAAAAAAAAAAAAAAAAAAAAGAAGGAATTGGGACACTTTTGAGTGTATATATATTTTTATCCTGGAGAAAATAGACCCAGCCCAGGCTCTCTCTGGACCCTGACAGAGAGGGAAGAAGAGAAGGAATGAAATCCTGTTTTCCTACTTTGACATCATGTGCTCTGCCTGGTCCCCAGTTCTGACATCACACTGGACTGTGAACTTGGTGTTCAATTTGGAATTTCTGTACTTTCTTTTTTCCTTTTGCTCCCTCTTATAATGGATATAAAAGGTCTGGATTCTTTTCTGGAGTCTAGAATTTCCCCATAGGTTCTTGCTCTGTCTCAAGTCAGAGGATCTCTTCTATTTTCACATAGTGCCCTGAAGAGTCTTTTTAAGTCTAGGAGCCCTCCATCTGCAGTACTGTGGATTTTATCAGGAGCATTCCCCAGGGGGGGAAATATCTGTTTTGACTTCTGTGGGAACACAGGAGTTTTTTTGTAATGGATAGATGAAGGTGGGGTGGGGTGTATCCCATGGGTATAGCAGGGGTAAGCAATAGATTTATTAGTTACAACTAACAACTATTGTTCCAAGCAACAAATATTATTAATAGTTGTTCAAAGAAACACTAATCTAGGCTGGTGTGTTTCAACCCAAATAAGCAGCAGCATGGCACCTGTCTCCTGGAACTATTTTGTTCCTTGTCAGTCTGCTCCAGACACTCCTCCTTTGTGCTAAGTGCAGAGGCCAAGAATCCAGAGCATCACTCCATGCCCTATTCCTACCCTCACTCGGATCAACCTCTGCCTTATTGCTTTTGCTACCTGGGACACTGCATCATCGGAACATCACTAATGTCCCATCTGCATGGTTTGTGCCCAAACCAAGAGGAGAACAGATCAGCAGTATCTCAGATATGAGACATCCAGTGATGCTGTTGCATCAACAGAATAGTTAGGGAGCTGATCTCTGTGCCTAGGCCCTGCTGCTGGGTTTCATGCCAAGCAAAGGCAATGTTGCTTGTGTCAACAGGGACAAAATGAGAAGGGCTTTCAGAAGTCCCCCCTAACTAAGGACAATTTTCCATTATCTGAATGCCCCACAATTAAAGCTTTATTCATTAGGGTTAATTTATTTATTTTTGAGACGGAGTCTCACTCTGTCGTCCAGGCTGGAGTGCAGTGGCACGATCTCAGCTCACTGCAACCTCTACCTCCCAGGTTCAGGCAATTCTCATGCCTCAGCCTCCCAAGTAGCTGGGATTACACGTGCATGCCACCATGTCTGGCTAATTTTTGTATATTTAGTAGAGATGGGGTTTCGCCATGTTAGCCAGGTTGGTCTTCAACTCCTCACCTCAAGTGATCTGCCTGCCTTGGCCTCCCAAAGTGCTGGTTGGGGCCTCCCAGTGGGAATCTCAGTATCCCCAGCCAGGGGTTTATGGATGGGGCACTGATAACCCTGAGAGGACCTCCTAGGAGGAGGGACAGCTGTGGTATTGTGGATCAATGATCTGTCTTTTCTGCCTACTGGCTCTGGAGAGTCAGGGCAGCCCAGATGAGGGTGATTCCCCCAGTGTGGCACACCCTTCAAGGGGCAGAAACTCTGCTTATTTAAGCAGGTCTCTGACCCTGCTCCTGCTGACTAAGTGAGACCTCTCAACAGGAGTCTCCACACACCTCATGCAGGAGTGTTTCAGCTGGCGTCAGGCCAGTGCCCCTCTAAGACAGAGCTCTCAGAGGAAGGAGCAGCTTGGCATCTTTGCTGGTCTGCAGCCTCCACTGGTGATAACTCCAGGGATGGGAGGGACCCAGGCAAATAGGAACTGGAGTGGACCACAAGCAAACTGCAGCAGCCCTGCAGAAGAGGAGCCTGACTGCTAAAATAAAAGCAAACAGAATGCAACAGCATCAATGAAAAAGGCACCATAAAAAACTCCATTCAAATGTCAGCAGCCTCAAAGATCAAAGGTAGATAAACCCATGAAGATGAGAAAAAATGCTGAAAACTCAAAAAGCCAGAGTGCCTCTTCTCCTTCAGAGAGTTGCAACACCTCTCTAGCAAGGGCACAGAAATGGGCTGAGACTGAGATGGATGAATTGACAGAAGTAGGCTTAGGAAGATGGGTAATAAAGAACTTCACCAAGCTAAAGGATTATGTTCTAACTCACAGCAAAGAAGCTAAGAACTATGATAAAACATCACAGGTGCTGTTAATCAGAATCACCACTTTAGAGAGGAACATAAATGATCTGATGGAGCTGAAAAACACAACATGAGAACTTCATAATGCAAACACAAGTATCAATAGCTGAATAGACCAAGTGGAAGAAAGGATATCAGAGCTTGAAGACTATCTTGCTGAAATAAGGCAGGCAGACAAGATTAGAGAAAAAAAGAATGAAAAGGAATGAACAAAACCTCCAAGAACTATGGGACTATGTTAAAAGACTGAACCTAGAAATGATGGGGTACCTGAAAGAGACTGGGAGAATGAAACCAAGTAGGAAAATACACTTCAGTGTATCATCCAGGAAAACTCACCCAACCTAGCAAGACAGGCCAACATTCAAACTCAGGAAATCCAGAGAACCCCAGTAAAATACTCCATGAGAAGATCAGCCCTGACACATAATCATCAGATTCTACAAGGTCAAAATGAAAAAAAAAATGTTAAGGGCAGCCAGAGAGAAGGACCAGGTTACCTGTAAAGGGAAGCCCATCAGACTAACAGCAGACATCTCAGCAGAAACCCTACAAGCCAGAAGAGATCGGGGGCCAATTTTAAACACCCTTAAAGCAAATAATTTCCAACCTAGAATTTAATATTTGGCCCAGCTGAGCTTCCTAAGTGAAGGAGAAATAAAATCTTTTTCAGACAGCAAATGCTGAGGGAATTTGTCACCACCAGGTCTGCCTTCCAAGAGCTTCTGAAGGAAGCACTAAACATGGAAGGAAAAACCAATACCAGCCGCTACAAAAAACACACTGAAACACACAGATGAGTGACACTATGAAGCAAATGCATAAACAGGTCTGCAAAATAACCAACAGGCATCATGATATCAGGATACAATTCACACATAACAATATTAACTTTAAATGTAAATGGGTTAAATGCCCCCAATTTAAGGACACAGAGTGGCAAGCCAGATAGAGTCAAAATCCACCTGTGTGCTGTATTCAAGAGACTCATTATAATAAAAAAGAAAATAATCAAAATCCCAAAAATAAAAATACAATGATAAAAATAAAATAATCAGTGTATGCTATTTAGAGAAGCCTGGACCCAGCTGAAGAGAGGTTGATCAAACTGAAAGATAAGTTAGCAGAACATATCCAGACTAAAACAGGGAGAGGAAAATAATACTAGAAAGTATAGAAAAGAATGAATGTGACATATAGCATATAGTGAGAGAACTAACATATGTGTAATTGGAGATGCAGAAGGAGAAGAAAGACAGAATAGAGCAAAGAAAGGGAAAATGGCTGAGAATTTGGTAAACTGATATAAGACATCAAGCTACATATTAAAGAAGCCGCCTGAGACCAGTGAACACCTAGGCACATCACAGTAAAACCATATGTAGGTATATCTGTTTTAATTTTACTTGAAGCCAAAGCAAAGAGAAAAATCTTAAAATCTGACAGAAAAAAAGACATGCCTTTTTAAGAATAACAGTAATACTGATAGCTGTCTTCCCAATGGAAATAATGAAAGGGAGAAGACAATGGAATGATATCTTCAACTTGCTGATGGAAAATAATGCTAACCTAGAATTCTATACCTAAGAAAAAAATCTTTCAAAAATAAGACCAGAACTAAGGTATTTTCAGAGAAAGACTGAGAAAATTCATCACCAGCACTTTCACATGGAAAGAAATATCAGGCCAGGCACAGTGGCTCACACCTGCAATCCCAGCACTTTGGGAGGCCAAGGAGGGTGTATCACTTGAGGTCAGGAGTTCAAGACCAGCCTGGCCAACATGGTGAAACCTCGTCTCTACTAAAAATACAAAAATTAGCTAGGTGTGGTGGCACATGCTTGTAGTCCCAGCTACATGGGAGGATGAGGCAGGAGAATTGCTTGAACCCAGGAGATGGAGGTTGCAGTGAGCCAGGATCACGCCACTGCTCTCCAGCCTGGGTGAGTGAGACTCTATCTCAAAAAAAAAAAAAAAGAAAAGAAAAGAAATGAAATATCAGAGATTTATGCAGGCAAATGATGAACAAGAAAATGGAAGAAGGAATGAAGAAAAACAGAAAGGGAAAATATGTGGGTAAATCTAATCTGTGGTTCCCAAGTCAGGACAATTGTGCCCACTAGGGGACATTTGGCAATGTTTGAAGACATTTTTAATTGTCACAACTTGGGGGTTGGTGCTACTGACATCTAGTGGATAGAGACCAAGGATGCTGCTAAACATCCGTAATGCGTGGAACAGCCTTTTACAACAAATAATTATATGGCCCAAAACATCAACAGGGCCAAAACCGAGATATCTTTATTTAAGTTACTATTGATTATACAGTCAATAGTAATTTCCATGGAATTTAGATTTATGTAGAATTATGGTACATTAAAAAAAAACACAAAAGATGTGAGTACTTGGAGGTAAAATGTTTGAAAATTTTTGCATTGCCTGGGATGCAAATTTTATTTTATACCCTAATAAGTCCAAGATGAATTTTGTAATGTAAGAGAATAACTAACTAACAAGTCAATGAGGGGGGCAGTGTTAATGAAATTATAGGAAAAAAGCTTGATTAATCCAAAGTGCAAGAAGGATAAAAAGAAAAATAGAACAGCTGTTGGACAATAGAAATTGCATAGTAATTGGTTGATACAAACCCAAATATATCATTTATTGCATTAAATACAAACAGACCTAATATTACAAATAAAAGACAAAGACTGTCAGAGTGAATAAACAAAACGAATGCAGCTTAAGACATCTATCTTAAATATAAGGTTTGAAAGATCTACCTTAAGGTTTGAAAGTTGAAGGATGTAAGCAAGTATACTATGCAAATGCTAACAAAAGACTGTGAGTATGAATATGTTAATATCAGACAAAGTAGCCTTTAAAGCAAGAAGCATTATTAAAGATAAAACTGGACATTTCATGATGATGAAATTGTCAATCCACCACAAACAAATAGTAGTTTGAAATGTGATTTATCTAGTAATACGGCATCAAATATATTAAGCAAAAATTGGCAGAACAAAAAAAAAGAAATAAAAATCACAGTGGAAGTTAGAAGGAAGAAAATAATAAAAAGAAAAAAGTGAATGAAGTAAAAACATACATTAAAGTATATATTTAAATCTGTAAGTTACACTATAGATTTAAATGTCAAAAATATAACGTAAGATGCTAGAAGATAACACAGAAGAATATCTTCATAACTTTGGGGCAGGAAATCCTTCTTAAATGGGAAACAAAAATACTAACCATAGGGGAAAAGATGGATAAATTGAACTACATTAAAATAATAATTTCTGTTTATTAAAAAATAAAAGAGAGTGAAAAAGCAAATTACAGAGTGAGAGAAGATATTTGTAATATACATATTTATCAAGGGACTCATATCCAGGGTATATAAGAATGTGTAATAAATAAGAAAAGGGCATAAAATTGAAAAATGAGCAAAAAGATTCAACCAGCCAATTTATAAAAGACAATATCCAAATGTTCAATAAAAGGTAATAAAAAGGTGCCCAACTTGATTAGTTATCAGGAAAATGCAAATTCAAATCACAAAACACACACATAACAGAAGGGCTAAAATGAAAAAGATTTTTTAAGGCAGGGCGCGGTGGCTCATGCCTGTAATCCCAGCACTTTGGGAGGCCGAGGCGGGTGCACCACGAGGTCAGGAGATCGAGACCATCCTGGCTAACACGGTGAAACCCTGTCTCTACTAAAAATACAAAAAATTAGCCAGGTGTGGTGGTGGGTGCCTGTAGTCCCAGCTACTTGGGAGGCTGAGGCAGGAGAATGGCGTGAACCCGGGAGGTGGAGCTTGCAGTGAGCCAAGATCACGCCACTGCACTCCAGCCTGGGCAACAAAGCAAGACTCCATCTAAAAAAAAAAAAAAAGTTTTTAAGAAACCTAAATGTTGCAGAAAAATCAGCATCACTGGAAGTCTCATATTCTGCTGATGAGAATGTATACTGATATAACCAATTTGGAAAACTGTTTGGCAGATCTCCTAAAACTGAACATATGCATATCCTATGACCCAAAAATTCCACTTCTAGGTATATACCCAACAGGAATATCTATATGTATGCCCAGTGCCATATATAAAAGTGGTCATAGAAACATTCATAAGACTCTAACTTGGATACAATCCAAATATCTATCAAAAGTGGAATGGATTAAATATTATATTCATTCAATGGAATATTATATAACAATGAAATTGAATGAACAACATCCACAATATAGACGGACTTTCCAAACATGATGTTGAGCAAAAGAAGCCAGACACAAAATAATACACACTGTATTATTCCATTTATATAAAGTTTAAAATAGGCAAGTCTAATTGATGGTGATAAAATTTAAAATAGCGATGACCTTTTCTTGGATGAGAGAAGAGGAATATTATCTGATGATCTCTTTCTTAATCTGGGTGGTGTCTAGATGGGTATGTATGTAGTAAAAATCCACTAATGATTTATGCACTTGTGTGCAGTATACATAAAGAAAACAGTACTTGCTCCCAAAATCATTTTATAGAAAATAAATTATTTCTGCAATATTTGATTAAATGAAAAAAGTTAGAAACAGCATGTATAATCTGAGGCATATTTGATGAAAAACACATATATATAGATTATATATGAGTAGAGGTAAAGATTAGATATAAATTCAGATGATATATGTATTGATACAGTAAAAAAATCTGGACACGTAGTAAATTATCAACAGTTATTATCTCTAGGTAAGGAATAACTACTATCTCATTACTTCTCTTTGTTCTTTTCTGTTTTTCAAATGTATATTTTTCAAATTTCAAAAATTAAAAAAAAGTGTGGAGAATTTATTTCTGCAATGAGAGGTGTATGAGCTATAAGAAAAAGGAAGTACTTTGTGAGAAGCCAGTGCCCACCCAGGGAGTGATGGCCAGAGGAGTGGAGGAGGCAGAACCAGATAAGGTAGTGAGAGTCGAGTCACACATTCTCCAAACTCCTCATCTGGAACCCTTTTCTACCCCCAGCAGAGCCTGGTAAAATCCTGAGTCTCCTGCCAGCTTTACTCAGATGTCCAAATTGCTGATACTCCTTGGCATTGTGGTTCTGCCAGTGTCAGGAGAATGGAAAGAAAGAGTTTTTTCCTGTAATGGAATTTTCAGATTACTGTATGTATTCTGGCTGGGCTTCAAAATGAAGAGTGGGTGGAAAACAAAAAGACTTTTACAGTCCTATTGCAGAGAGGTGCCAGGGGCTGGCAACATAAAAACACAGCTTTTTAAAAAAGTCAGAATCCCTGAAGAAAACTAAATGTTTAATTCTCAGGCTTGAGGATCTCCTGATGCTGCAAGTAATGCAATGTTTTTATCTGTGTTTGGGGGACAGTGGTGGCCTCACTGAGTTTTTGTCTAGGAGGACACTTACCAAGGAAGAGCTCCACCAGGTTCAGAGCCTGCATGGAGGGTTCCTAGCTCATAAACTGAGGAGGACATAAACTTAGGAGTTTATGTCCTCAGTTAAGAGTTCCAAAGAGGAACACCAAATTGGGAAAGGACTACTAATTATTTCTTGAAACATGCCCTTTTATTAGGATTGAGTATTTCAAAACATTGGGCATAAAAAGGAGAAATAAAATGCATGCTTGATGGAGAGAAGTTTGGAGCCACTGGGATAACAAAAGTGAAATCTTCAGAAGAATTGAAGGTAAGGTGGTGAGTAGATATTGCATGATGAATATGGGTAGGGAAGAGCTGAGTCTTTCAGGGCCATTTCAGCCAGAAGTGGAGAGGTGAAGGTGGAAGGAAAGTTTTTTCCCTACTTTGAGATTCAATTCTTCCCATCCTGTAAAATGGGGGACTAGAAAGTGCCTCAGAACTAGTTGCTCTAAGAATTGAACTCAGGTTCTGTGAGTTTAAATTCCATAGAGGTGACGTCATAGCAGCTGAGTTGTTGAAGGGAGGATGATTGGGGACTGGAACTTTACTCCAGAAGCCAACAACAACAACAACAACAACAACAAAGAAAACCACCCAGATCCTTGCGCTGGGGAGAGGAAGAAGGGAAATCAATGGAGTGGGTCCTGGAGCATTGGAGGGGCTGATAATAGTGAGAAACACCCTCCTGGGTGTTACTGCTCATATACTCCTCAATTTTATCAAAGCCAAAACTGAAATGCCACACAGATTCTCACTGATAGGCAGAACCTTCTGCAAGTTACACTCAGAATCTCAAATTCATCATTAATGCAGTAATGTCTTCTGCGGAAATGTCTGCATGCTTCTTGAAGATGGTAAGATCTAAGAAGCACCTTTCCCTCTTCATCCAGTTCTCAAAAATTATGGACTCTTAGGTTGTGGGGAGACAGACAGCAGGATGCTATGCCTCCTCAGTCCCAGCCAATCCAATCTGGGGCCTCTGCTTCTTCATCCTATCCCCAGACTCCCCACACTCCTCTTGTAGGTCTGCTTGATTTAGCCAAACCCTAGGAGATCTGGCATTTATGTCTCTGCTCATTGAACTTAAAACATCCTGGGAGAATCCTTGTGTGGGCATCTCTTGAGCCACAGAAAAACATCCCTGCCCACAGGGTTTGGGAGGATTAGTTATGCTTAAATGGATATGTTTTTACCAGATTGTGTGGCTACTGAATTCCTACCCCTTCTCTCTTCTAGAGAACAGCAAGTTGGACTAGAAAATCAGCAATATGATTTCCTGCATTGAGCCCCGAAACCACCAGTGAGAGTTGGAGGATACCTTGGCAATCTTGGAAGAACCATACATGATCTCCTGCCCAGCAATTTACTCTTAAAAAGGTGGCTGGAGCTAAAGCCATAGTCAAGGTTAATGCTCCTTTTTCTTTATCCCACATCAGATAGCGTTTAGGCTCTTTTTCATCAAATATAAAAATCCAGCCCAGTTCATGGCTCATTTGGCAGCAACCCTGAGATGCTTTACAGCCTAGACCCTAAAAGGTCAAAAGGCCGTCTTATTCTTAATATACATTTTATTACCCAATCTGCTCCCGACATTAAATAAAACTCCAAAAATTAAATTCCGGCCCTCAAACTCCACCACAGGACTTAATTAACCTCACCTTCAAGGTGTACAATAATAGAGTAGAGGCAGCCAAGTAACAACATATTTCTGAGTTGCAATTCCTTGCCTCCACTCTGAGAGAAACCCCAGCCACATCTCCAGCATACAAGAACTTCCAAATGCCCAAACCGCAGTGGCCAGGCATTCCTCCAGGCCTGCATCCCCCAGGAGCTTGCTACAAGTGCCAGAAATCTGGCCACCAGGCCAAGGAATGCCGTAGCCCAGGATTCCTCCTAAGCTGTGTCCCGTCTGTGCGGGACCCCACTGAAAATCAGACTGTTCAACTCACCTGGCAGCCACTCCCAGAGCCCCTGGAACTCTGGCCCAAGGCTCTCTGACTCCTTCCCAGATCTTCTCGGCTTAGCGACTGAAGACTGATGCTGCCCGATCGCCTCGGAATCCCCATAGACCATCATGGACGCTGAGCTTTAGGTAAATCTCACAGTGGAAGGTAAGTCCGTCCCCTTCTTAATCAATATGGAGGCTACCCACTCCACATTACCTTCTTTTCAAGGGCCTGTTTCCCTTGCCTCCATAACTGCTGTGGGTATTGACAGCCAGGCTTCTAAACCTCTTAAAACTCCCCAACTCTGGTGCCAACTTAGACAATATTTTTTTAAGCACTCTTTTTTAGTTACCCCCAAGTGCCCAGTTCCCTTATTAGGCCGAGATATTTTAACCAAATTATCTGCTTCCCTGACTATTCCTGGACTACAGCCACATCTCATTGCCACCCTTCTCCCCAACCCAAAGCCTCCTTTGCCTCTTCCTCTCATATCCCCCCATCTTAACCCACAAGTATAGGACATCTCTACTCCTTCCCTGGCAACCGATCACATGCCCATTACCATCCCATTAAAACCTAATCACCCTTACCCTGCTCAATGCCAATATCCCATCCCACAGCATGCTTTAAAAGGATTAAAGCCTGTTATCACTCGCCTGCTACAGCATAGGCTTCTAAAACCTATAAACTCTCCTTACAATTCCATTTTACCTGTCCAAAACCTGAACAAGTCTTACAGATTAGTTCAGGATCTGCGCCTTATCAACCAAATTGTTTTGCCTATCCACCCCATGATGCCAAACCCATATACTTTCCTATCCTCAATACCTCCCTCCACAACCCGTTATTCTGTTCTGGATCTCAATCATGCTTTCTTTACTATTCCTTTGCACCCTTCATCCCAGCCTCTCTTTGCGTTCACTTGAACTGACCCTGACACCCACCAGGCTCAGCAAATTACCTGGGCTGCACTGCCGCAAGCCTTCACAGATAGCCCCCATTACTTCAGTCAAGCCCAAATTTCTTCCTCATCTGTTACCTATCTCAGTGTAATTCTCATAAAAACACACGTGCTCTCCCTGCCGATCGTGTTCAGCTGATCTCTCAAACCCCAACACCTACAAAACAACTCCTTTCCTTCCTAGGCATGGTTAGATACTTTCGACTTTAGATACCTGGTTTTGCCATCCTAACAAAACCATTACATAAACTCACAAAAGGAAAACTAGCTGACCCTATAGATCCTAAATCCTTCCCCACTCCTCTTTCCGTTCCTTGAAGACAGCTTTAGTGACTGCCCACACCCTAGCTCTCCCTGACTCATCCCAACCCTTTTCATTACCCAAAGCCTAAGTGCAGGGCTGTGCAGTTAGAATTCTTACACAAGAACCAGGACCACGCCCTGTAGCTTTTTGTCCAAACAACTTGACCTTACTGTTTTAGGCTGGCCATCATGTCTCCGTGCAGCAGCTGCTGCCGCCCTAATACTTTTAGAGGCCCTTAAAATCACAAACTATGCTCAACTCACTCTCTACACTTCTCATAACTTCTAGAATCTATTTTCTTTCTCACACCTGACACATATACTTTCTGCTCCCTGGCTCCTTCAGCTGTACTCACTCTTTGTTAAGTCTCCCACAATTACCATTGTTCCTGGCCCGGACTTCAATCCGGCCTCCCACATTATTCCTGATACCACACCTGACCCCCATGACTGTATCTCTCTGATCCACCTGACATTCACCCCATTTCCCCATATTTCCTTCTTTCCTGTTCCTCACCCTGATCACATTTGGTTTATTGATGGTAGTTCCACCAGGCCTAATCACCACACACCAGCAAAGGCAGGCTATGCTATAGTACAAGCCACTAGCCCGCCTCTTAGAACCTCTCATTTCCTTTCCATCGTGGAAATCTATCCTCAAGGAAATAACTTCTCAGTGTTCTATCTGCTATTCTACTACTCCTCAGGGATTATTCAGGCCTCCTCCCTTCCCTACACATCAAGCTCAGAGATTTGCCCCTGCCCAGGACTGGCAAATTGGCTTTACTCAACATTCCCTGAGTCAGAAAACAAAAATACCTCTTAGTCTAAGTAGACATTTTCACTAGATAAGTAGAGGCCTTGCCTACAGGGTCTGAGAAGGCCACCGCAGCCATTTCTTCCCTTCTGTCAGACATAATTCCTTGGTTTAGTCTTCCCACCTCTATACAGTCTGATAACGGACCAGCCTTTATTAGTCAAATCAGCCAAGCAGTTTTTCAGGCTCTTGGTATTCAGTGAAACCTTTATATCCCTTACAGTCCTCAGTCTTCAGGAAAAGTAGAACGGACTAAAGGTCTTTTAAAAACACACCTCACCAAGCTCAGCCACTAACTTAAAAAGGACTAGACAATATGTTTACACTGCCGGCTTACACTGTTTCTCCAAGCCATCACAGCTGATATCTCCTAGTGCTATCTCCAAACTGCCACTCTTAACTCTTAAAGTAAATAAATAATCTTTGCTGGCAGGACTATGCTGAATCTCCTTATTAGGAGATTCTCTAATTAGATGGCCTGGGTCCTTCCAATTCTTAGACCTTTAATACCTGTTTTTCTCCTTCTCTTATTCCGTTTAGTTTTTCAATTCATACAAAACTGTATCCAGGCCATCACCAATAATTCTAAATGTTTCTTCTAACAACCCCACAATATCACCCCTTACCGCAAAATCTTCCTTCAGCTTAATCTCTCCTACTCTAGGCTCCCACGCCGCCCCTAATGCCGCTCGAAGCAGCCCTGAGAAACATCGCCCATTATCTCTCCATACCACCCCAAAAAATTTTCGCCTTCCCAACACTTTACCACTATTTTGTTTTATTTTTCTTATTAACATAAGAAGACAGGAATGTCAGGCCTCTGAGCCCAAGCTAAGCCATCATATCCCCTGTGACCTGCACGTACACATCCAGATGGCCTGTTCCTGCCTCAACTGATGACATTCTACCACAAAAGAAGTGAAAATGGCCTGTTCCTGCCTTAACTGATGACATTATCTTGTGAAATTCCTTCTCCTGGCTCATCCTGGCTCAAAACTCCCCTACTGAGCAAATTGTGACCCCCACTCCTGCCCGCCAGAGAACAACCCCTCTTTGACTGTAGTTTTCCTTTACCTACCCAAATCTTATAAAATGGCCCCACCCTTATCTCCCTTCGCTGACTCTCTTTTCGGACTCAGCCCGCCTGCATCCAGGTGATTAAAAAGCTTTATTGCTCACACAAAGCCTGTTTGGTGGTCTCTTCACACGGATGTGAGTGAAAGTTCTATCTTCAAATTCACAGATTATTCCTCTATACTCTCTATTTGGCTGTTAAGCTCATCCATTGAGTTTGTATTTCAGTTATACGCTTTTAAAATTTTCTAAAATGTCCATTTGTTTCTTCTTTATATCTTCTATTTCTTTGCTGAGACGTTCTGTTTTAATATCTTTGTTTGTTTATAATTGCTCCTTTAAGCTTCTTTATGATGACCTCTTTACAATTTTTATCATATAATTATAACATCGTTGTCATCCCAGTGTTGGCACCTATTAATAATCTTCTGTCATTTTGTTTGAGATTTTTCTGGTTTTTGATATAACAAATAATTTTGTATTGAAAGTTGGAAACTTTGGGTTTTATTTTATGAGATTCTAGATCTCATTTAAACCTTGATTTCTTCTGTCACCCTTCCAGCAGGGAAGAGTGGAGCACCACCTCATTACTGCCGGATGGGGGTAGAAATCAGGTTCCCCATTGAGTCTTTGTTGACAACTGAGTTGGGGGAGTGGTTTCCTCTCATTACTTCTGGGCTGGGGTGGGAGGTCTAGCTCCTCAATAAGTTCCACTGATACCTCTCTAGCAGAGAGGGATAGAAGTATCCTTCTGCTCCCCACACGGCCTCCACTGACAGCACACGCATTGGGGGAAGGCAGCATCATTACTGTCTGGTGGTGACCAAAGTCTGGGCTCTTTGCAGGGAGACTGGGGCTCCTCCTTTCAGCCTGGTAAAGGCAGAAGTTGAGGCTCCTCTCTCAGCTCTGATGGGGGTGGAACTACGTGTTTGGCTATACTAGTGGTTATTGTTCAATGTTTTCCGTCTTATTAGGCTGCCTCTTTCCTGGTCCTTTGGCAAGAGTGAGCAGGCTGGTTTTTTGTTGTGTTGCATTTTGTTTTGTTTTTGAGGCTTTTATTGTCTCTGTTTCTGTGTTTCTGGGTTTCCAGCTTCTCTAGCACCCAGTCTTGAATATGTGAGGCAAAAAGAAAACTCAGTAATCCCGCTGCCGTGCTGTTCTTCAGGTCTTAAGGTTTCTGGCTCGTCTGCCTTGCCCTTATTACCTTTCAGAATCTTCTTGTGTATTTAATGTCCAGGATTTTTAGCTGAATTTCATCAGAGGAATAGAGAAAAGTCCATCTAGTTCATTTTCCCAGAAAAGTAGAAATCTCTGTCCTATGTGTTAGATTTTTTTAAATAAATAACTTAGGAGAAAAATTAGGAGAATGATCTCAAATGTTAGCATTGGAGAGAACTTCTTAAGCAAGAAATGTAAGACATAAAGAAAAATTAATAAGCATTATTGATTACATAACTCTTTAAATTTTTATAGAACAAAACACATAATAAATAAAAATCAAACTACAGGCTGAGGGAAATATTTGCAATACATATGACTAGCCAGAAGTTATTTTTTCTAATAAACACATTGATGAGAAAATGACAAACATCTCAATAGAAAAAGATTTGCACAAGCAGTTCACGAAAGAGAAAATTCAAATGGCCGATAATTAAAAGCACTTGAAGATTGCTGAGAGTAGGTTTTAAATGTTTTTGTCACAAAAAAAGATAGGTATGTGAGGTGATGGAGATGTTAATTAGCTTGATTTAATCATTTCACAATATAAGTATATGTATATGAAAATATCACACTAATATATATAAAATTATTTGTCAATTATAAATTTTTTAACTAAAAAACTTTAAAAAGCAAAGAAGATTAATATCAGTAGTAGTTGGGGATATGCAAATTAAGCAACTCTGCAATTTCCATAAGACTAGCAGTAATTTAAGAGCAGAGATGTTGAACAGAGTGTGGGCATCTATTTAAGGCAATTTTCAATCTACATTTTTATATGGATGGACTTACATGAGGTAGAGTTAAGTGAAAAGAAGCAAGTACAGTAGTAGTGAATGTATACATCATAATTTCATTTTGTTTTCCAAGTATCAGAACCCATATACATACATGATTGTATATATTTGGACGCAGAGAAAGATGGTAAGGGTACAAAACAGCCCATTAAAATTGGTTATTAATTATCAACCAAGGCTATTAATATTGAGGGAGTTAGAAATGGAGAGATGTGGCTTAGAAATTATTACCTTTTCTTTATATGTTCTTTGTACTGTTTCACTTATTGGGTATTTGATGTGTGTAATTTTATAATTAAAAATTCATAACTAGGACTCTTAGAAACTATTCCCAGTAAATCACCCCCCCAAAATATTGTCTAAAATACTTAAAATGCATGACTCTTTAAATCAATGAGTCAGTTGGCAAGAAAGAGGAATTCTTAAAAGCCAAAAATGATGTGAAGGTCTGACTCCAGAGAGATAAGGAAGTGCTTTAGTTAGAGGCTTCCCTGGGAGTATCTGCCAATGCCTGGTAATCTGCAGTTTGAATTTTAGTGGGCCCCTGGCAAGGGCAAGAAAAAAGAGCTAAGCCCTAAGCAATGTGAAAAGTCAGATCAGAAATCTCACTCACAAGGATCACCAAATGCTGACACCTTAATAAATGGATGAAACAGAAATAAATGGATGAAACAGAAACACACACATGCACAACTGTGGTGAAGGAACTTGCCTGTCTTGGCTTTGGCTCTGAACAAAACAGGAAAAAAGACTACTCTGGGCTGGGTGCAGTGGGTCATGCCTGTAATCCCAGCACTTTGGGAGGCAGAGGTGGGTGGATCACGAGGCCAGGAGTTCGAGACCGGCCTGACCAACATGGTGAAACCCCATCTCTACTAAAAATACAAAAAAATTAGCCAGGCGTGGTGGTGCGTGTCTGTAATCCCAGCTATTCAGGAGGCTGAGGCAGGAGAATCACTTGAACCCGGGAGAAGGAGGTTGCAGTGAGTTGAGATAGTGCCACTGCACTCCAGCCTGGGGAACAGAGCGAGACTCCATCTCAAAAAAAAAAAAAAAGACTATTCTGAGAATTTGTAACTGCAACCTTGTTTCCTTTCATAAGAGCAGAGTAGGAAAATTGGCACATGTGCATGGTCTGATAAATCTAAAGCTATGAATTTAATTCAAAATTGCATGAGTTGTTAGGGAAAAATTGAGGACAAGTTGATTCGGAAGAATTCTCCTTTAAACACAGGAATCCAAGAAATTCCACAAAGTATTGTTACATACATAAACTTCCATTAAATATGTACTCTCACAATAAAAAAAATCACACAGATCTTAAGAAAACAAGATGAAAAAAATCAAGAAAAACAACCAACAGCAGAGGTCCACAAAGACTTCAGATATTGGAGTTACTGTATTGTATTGTAGCGAGTTATTGTATTGTAGGAAAGGAACATAGAAAAAGGATTCCTGATTCTGTCTTTGGGGTAGGAAGGGCACGTGATAAAAACTTTCATTCAAAAGGTAAAAGACAAGCCAATAAGGGTTTTAGAAGATTACCCTTGATCCTGGAAGATGTTCATAATACATATAACTGAGGAAAGACATGACTCCAGTAGAAATCAGCAAGAAAAAGTCAGAAAACCCCAGAGAACAATGAGCAAAACATTTGAAAAGAAAATCAAAGAGAGGATAGCCAAGTGGTTAATAAAGATCTAAAAAGGTGCTCAACCTCATTAGTAGTCAAGAAATTTAAATTAAGTCCACAGTGATGTATTTCCATACTCGTAGCAGGATGGTAAAAATGAAAAGATTGTGACAGTTCTACATACAGCATGGTTATGGAACAATAGGAACTCTCAACTACCAATGGCAAGGCTGTGAATTGGTACAAACTCTTTGGGAAATAATTTGGTATCAGCTTGAGAAGCTGAAGATATGCATACCCTGTAACCCATCATTCCCTATGCTGAATGTATAACCTACAAGAACACCTGCCCACGTGCTCCAGCAAATGCACACAGAGTGTTCATAGCAGCTTTATTCTTTTTTTTACATGAGTAAATTGTTTAAAATTTTTTTGACATTTAAAAACATTTATTAATTCATTTAACGTAATAAACTTATTACATGTTGATATAAATAACATTTTTATTTAGAAAATCCTAGTTTTTTATTATACTTTAAGTTCTGGGATACACGTGCAGAACGTTATTACATACATGCTATGTATACACACAGCAGCTTTATTCTTAACAGCTGCAAACTATAAACAACTCAGTAGAGATGTGTGTAGTCATACAATAGATGGCATGGCAATGAAAATTGACAAAATACAGCTACACAAAACAATGTGGATGGAATTCATTAATATAATGTTGAACACAAAAAGCCAGGCACAAAAGAATACATTCCAAGTGACTCCATTGATATAGAACAGAAGCAGACAAAAACAAAAACATATTTAGGGGAATACATATGATCTTGAAAATATGAAAAAGAAAGTCACTACCATTAGCTGCCTTTGAGAGCATAGGAAGGGGTTGTGACTGGAAAAGAATGAAAAAGGAGCAGAAAGTGTTGGAAATTTTTTACTTGATTTCAGTGATAGTTTAATGAGTGGTCACTTCGTAATAGTTCGTTAGACTGAACATTAATGTTTCATGCATATTTTTATTTTTGTGGTGTTTTTCACAATACATATTTTTACAAAAAGGAAAAGTAGCTCTTCCTTGTTTTGTCTCCTTTTCTTTACTAACTGAACTAGTCAGTCCTAAAGCCATTAGATAGGCACATTTAGCAAGGTAGGCGTTTGCCCCAAGGGGAAGGGAGCCACGGCTGGCTCCGTGTGGGCATCAGAGCTGGAACAGGTCAAGGAGGGTGTCTCTGTAGGAGGGCTGCTGGCCTGGTGTGCTGGAGCCAGGGGTAGATGAGAATGCCCAGTGAAGAGGCAAGAAGCAGCATAGCATGGAGACCAGCCTGCCCATGTTGAGAAAGGCATCCCCCTGGGGCTAGAGGGGCAGACTGGCATAGAATGAGAGCCTGAGTGGGGTGAGCAGAGTGTCCAGGCAGGGGAGCAGATGAGGGAGGAGCCTTAGAGCTGGAGCAAAGTGAGGAAGCTGTCTCCATAGGGAAGAGGCCTGATGTGGACTGTCCGAACTGAAGGAGGGTGAGGAGGGTGTCTATGGGGGTGGGTAGCCAGACATGGAGGGTCTGAGCCCAAGGAGATGAGGAGGATACATAGAAGTTAGAGTGGTCGGCTGTGGGGAGTTGGGCCAAGCATAGTGAGGAGGGGTTCCACAGAACAGAGCTGTCTTGTGTCAGGAATCAGAGCCTAAGCAGGGTGAAGAGGGCATCAATGCATCCAGCGATTCTCCTGCCTTAGCCTCCCTAGTAGCTGGGACTACAGGTGTGCGCCACCACGCTCGGCTAAGTTTTGCATTTTTAGTAGAGACGGGGTTTCACCATGTTGGCCAGGCTGGTCTCGAATGCAACCTGATATGGCTGTTGGAGCCCAAGTAGGGTAAGTTGGGCATCTTTGAGTGGCCCAGTGTGGAGGGGCAGAGCCTGAGCAAGGTAAAGTTTGATATTTTAAATTAAACAAGCATATAATATGTATCTAAACATTTTCAAAAAATTAAAACAGGAGTAGTAGTGATGGGTTATATTATTATTCACAACTATTCATTCCATCTTTCCTTTAAGAGGACACTCCTGTCCATTACCTTGCAATTTTAGAACGGCCCGTGGAAGGAAGACACATTTCTGTCTCATTGACTTTGGGTTTGCTGTCAGCTGTGCTTTGCCTATTGGAGTATGAGCAGATGTAGCATATGCATAGTGAGTTTTGCACTGTGAGTTTCTGCCAGCTCCTTTGTGCTTTCTCTCTGCCAGGAGAAGGGGCCTAATCCACATAGAGGCTGCTTCTTTTGTCTTGGTCCCACAGCCTCAAGTAGAGCCCCCACTTGGAACAAAGCAGTAGACAATTTGCCTAGGAAGTCTTTTGTTGTGGCAAGCCATGGAGAGCTCAAAGTTCTTTGTACACCAAAGTAATAAAAATACAGTTGATTCCCATTACTTGGGGGTAGTTATGTTCTGTAAAGTCACTGTGAACACCGGATTAGCAAATACTGAGCCATTGCTCCTAGGGAAAATGCAAGCCTCTGACCACACATTTTCATCATTTGATCAATACATAACCTTGTTTTTATATGTGCTTCTGTCTGAAGACACATGACAGAGATGGTAATTAGAAGGTGCACACAGAAGACTTCTGGGAAGCTGGCTACTTTCTATTTTTTAATCTGTGTGGTTAATTATTAAATAAAACTCTACATACTTTATTTATTTATTTATTTTTATTTTTATTTTTTTTGTTTTGTTTGAGAGGGAATCTCTCTCTGTCCCCCAGGCTGGAGCATAGTGGTGTGATCTCGGCTCTCTGCAACCTCCACCTTCTGGGTTCAAGGGATCCTCCTGCCTTAGCCTCCTGAGTAGCTGGGACTACAGGTGTGCACCACCACTCCAGGCTAATTTTTGTATTTTTAGTAGAGACAGGGTTTCACCGTGTTGGCCAGGCTAGTCTTGAACTCCTGACCACAGGTGATCTGCCTGCCTCAGCCTCCCAAAGTGCTGGGATTACAGGCATGAGCCACCGTGCTGGCCCTGTCTTTATTTTTTAAACATGTATATAGGCCAGGCGCGGTGGCTCATGCCTGTAATCCCAGCACTTTGGGAGGCTGAGGCAGGCGGATCACTAGGTCAGGAGATTGAGACCATCCTGGCCAACACAGTGAAACCTCATCTCTACTAAAAATACAAAAAATTAGCAGGACGTGGTGGTGGGTGCCTGTAATCCCAGCTACTCGGGAGTCTGAGGCAGGAGAATCACTTGAACCCAGAAGGCGGAGGTTGCAGCGAGCCGAGATCGCACTACTGTACTCTAGCCTGGCGACAGAGTGAGACTCCATCTCAAAAAAAAAAAAAGACACCTTATGTAATATATATTATTGTTTCATTAACATTGAATTGTGGCTGAAAGCCCTGTAACTCATGCCTGAACCAAGCTTATCTGACACAAGTAATTTCTTTGTAAGGCACATTGCAGGCCTCTTGCTCTTAGGACACTTGACAGCACTTTAGTAATTCTTGGCAGCCATTTTAAACAGCAAACTCACCAACAAAAAGCACAAAAATGTGAAAAATGTGACACTAAGTAGACTGCAAAAAGGAAGCTTGTTTATAGTAGTAGAAGAGCTTAAACAAGCAGAGCGTTGCCTTGTTTGACTTCAGCTGGGAATGTGTACGTTGGGGGACTCAAATTTTTTGCCATTCTGCACATATCCCTGAATGACCACAAAAGCATCATGAGTATTGATTTTTGGGTAATAAATAAATTTCAGCAAGTAGGCAAATTGGCAAGTACAGAATCTGAATAATGAGGACTGAGAGTAGATAACTTGTAATAAAATTGTAGAAATGAATCCAAATATGTCATTAGTGCCCATAAATGTCAATTAATAGGTAATAATTTCTGGACTGGATTTTTACAATGTAGATTTACACGATTTGAAGGATAAACTTAAAACATAAGTAGAATGGTTGAACGCAAAAGAATGGAAAAAAGACTAGGCAAATGCAAACAAAGAAGAGAGAGTATAGTTTGATTAATATTAGGCAATAGAAAACTCTAAGGCTGGGCACATTGGCTCACGCCTGTAATCCCAACACTTTGGGAGGCCGAGGCAGGCAGATTGCTTGAGGCCAGGAGTTCAAGACCAGCCTAGGCAACATGGAAAGACCCCGTCTCTACTAAAATTACAAAAATTACAGGTGTGGTGGCACATGCCTATAATCCCAGCTCCTTGGGAGGCCGAGGCACAAGAATCATTTGAACCCAGGAGAGGGAGGTTGGAGTGAGCCAAGATCGTGCCACTGCGCTCCGCCCTGGGAGAAAGACAGTGAGAGACTGTCTGAAAAAAAAAAAGAAAACTCTAAGACGAAGTTTTATCTTTAAGGATAAAGGATGGCTTGCTAGATAATGGTAAAAGACTCAGTTCACCAGGAATACATTTGTATTTACCTAAACCAATCAAATCAGGATATATTAAAGCAAACATTGACATCATTATAGGCATAAATTGAGAAATCTATGGCTGTATTGAGGGCCCTTGACACACCTTTCTCAATCATTGACAGATCAAAAGGACAAAAAATGTAAAAGATTTAAAATATTTTAGCAGCACAATATGGAGATATGTACGGAGTGTTCTGTACTCAATATTTAGAGACAATCCTTCTCCGGTATCAGAATGTAGATATCTGACTAGGCAGCATTTAGAAGAAAATATCTTTGGACGAGGCTTACTAATTTACTTACTTACTCAGCCTGAACTTAGGGCAAGGTGTATTAAAGTGACTTATGGAGCTAGTTGTCCTCCTCAAGGTCTGCTTCCTAGTAACTGAGGCTAGAGGCACATATCTGGTTGAGTAGCCTTGCAACAGAACATGCTATGCTATGGGGATGAGGAGGGGTGTGAGCTAGGAGCTCTCAGCCATGGAAACAGGGCCTGGGGCTGGGCAAGCGCCTAACTGGGGAGAACTAGAGGGTAGCGAGATGTAATAGAGTCATAGTGGGCCCTTACCTGTAGTTCCTAAATATTGTAACCTGGGAATTCACACTGCTCCCCCAGCTCCTGGCCATCTGTAGACCTTTCAATTGCAAAATGCTGCTCAGTTTCCTGCAAAGTGCAACCTCTGCTATTTGGGGAAGCTGGGCAAAAAGATAGGTTCTGGGTGGTATGGGCATTTTAACAATATTAATTCTTCTAATCCATATGAAATATGAATATGAAATATCTTTTCATTTATTTATGTCTTCTCCAATTTCTTTCACTAATATTTTGTAGTTTTCAGTGTACAGATCTTTCATATCCTTTGTTAAATTTACTCCTAAGTATTTTTTATGCTATTGTAAATGGGATTGTTTTAATTTGTTTTTCAGGTAGTTTGTTGTTAGTGTATAGAAATGCCGCTGATTTTTGTATGTTGATTTTGTATCCTGAAAGTTTAATAAATTGCTTTATCAGTTCTAACAGTTTTTTTGGTGTGGAGTCTTTAGGGTTTTCTATATATAGGATCATGTCATAAGTAAACAGAGGCAATTTCGTCGCTTTCTTTCCTATTTGGATGAATTTTATTTATTTTTCTTGCTAATTGCTCTGGCCAGGACTTTCAGTACTATGTCGATTAAAAGTGGTAGAAATTGGCATTCTCGTCTTGTTCCTGATCTCAGAGAAAAAACTCAACTTTTCACTGTTGGGTATAAGAGCTGTGGGCTTGTCATATCTGGCCTTTATTGTGTTGATGTACATTCCTTCTATACCTAATTTGTTGAGATTTTTTATCATAAAAATGTTGAATTTTGTCAAATGCATTTTCCGCATCTACTGAGATGATCATATTATTTATATCACTAATTCTGTTAAGATGGTTCACCACATTGATTGCTTTGAATATGTTGAACCATCCTTGCATCCAAGGGATAAATCCCACTTGATCATGGTAAATGATACTATTTTTTTCTTTTATTTTGAGACAGAGTCTCGCTTTGTCACTCAGGCTAGAGTGCAGCGGCACGATCTTGGTTCACTGCAACCTCTGCCACCCAGGTTCAAGTAATTCTTGTGCCTCAGCCTCTCAAGTAGCTGGGATTATGGGGATGTGTCACCATGCCTGGCTAATTTTTTTTGTATTTTTAGTAGAGACAGGGTTTTGCCCTGTTGGCCAGGCTGGTCTCGAACGCCTAGCCTTAAGTGATCTGCCCTCCTTGGCCTCCCAAATTGCTGGGATTACAGGTGTGACCCACCATGCTTGGCTGTGAATGATCCTTTTAATGTACTGTTGAATACAATTTGCTGATCTTTTTTTTTTTTTGAGAATTTTTGCCTCTGTGTACATCATGGATATTGGCCTGTAATTTTCTTTTCTTGTAGTGTCTTTGCATGGCTTTGGTATTAGAATAATGCTGGCCTCATAAAATGAGTTTGAAAGAATTCCCTCCACTTCAATTTTTTGGAAGCATTTGAGGAGGATTAGCATTAGTTCTTTAAATGTTTGGTAGAATGAAGTCATGAAGCCATCAGATCCTAGATTTTTCTTCGATAAGAGACTTTTAATTACCAATTAAATCTCCTTACTTGTTGATCTATTTAGTTTTTCTGTTTCTTCATGATTCAGTTTTGGTAGATTATATGCTTCTAGGAATTTCTCAATTTCTTCCAGGTTATTCCACTTGTTAGTGTATAACTTCAGAATCCCTACCAAAATTCCAGTTGCATTTCTTATAGAAATTTAAAAAATCCTAAAATTTGTATGGAGTCACAAAAGACCCCAAGAATCTCAAGCAACCTTGAGCAAAAAGAACACAGCTGGAGGCATCACACTACCTGATTTTAAATATACTACAAAGCTGTAGCAATCAAAACAGCATGGTACTGTCATAGAAACAGATACATTGACCAATGGAACAGAATAGAAAGCCCAGAAATAAATCTATACATTTATGGTTAACTGATTTTTGATAAAGGTGCCAAGAACACACAATGGAGACTGTCTCTGATAAATGGTCTTGGGAAAACTGGAAATCCACATGTAGAAAAATAAAATTGAACCCTTATTGCACACCATGCAAAAAAATCAACTCAATGGATAAAGAAAACATGGTATATATACACCACTCAGCCATAAAAAATAATGAAATAATGTCTTTTGCAGCAACTTGGATGGAGCTGGAGGCCATTATTCTAAGTTAAGAAACTCAGGAATGGAAAACCAAATACCATATGTTTTCGCTTATAAGTTGAGTTAACCTATGGGTATGCAAAGGTATACAGGTGGTATGATGGACTTTGGAGACTCAGAAGGGCGGAGTGTAGGAGGGCAGAGAGGGATAAAACAAACTACATATTGGGTACAATGTACACTACTTGGGGACTGGTGCACTAAAATCTCAGACTTCACCACTATACAATCTATTCATGTAACCAAAAACCATTTGTGCCCCAAAAGCTATTGAAATACAAAATATGCATATATTTAAAAAAATCAACTCAAAATGGACAAAAGATCTAACTGCAATGGCTGAAACTATAAAACTCTGAGAAGAAAACATAGGGGGAAAGCTCCATTACATGGGTGTGGGCAATGATTTCTTGGATATGACCCTAAAATCACAAGAAACAGAAGTAAAACTAGACAAGTGAGATTACATTAAATTACAAAGCGTTTGCATAGCAAAGAAAATAATCAACAGAGTCAAGAGACAACTCATAGAGTGAGAGAAAATATTTGCAAACCATACTATGATGAGGGGTTAATATTCAAAATATATACGGCACTCCATTTACTTGATAGTAAGAAAACAACTCAATTTAAAAATGGGCAAAGGACTTGAATAGACATTTCTTAAAAGAAGGCATACAAAGGCTGGGCGCGGTGGCTCACGCCTGTAATCCCAACACTTTGGGAGGCCAAGGCAGGAAGATCACTTGAGGCCAGGAGTTCAAGACCAGCCTGGCCAACATGGTGAAACCCTGTCTCTACTAAAACCACAAAAATTAGCTGGGCATGATGGCGCATGCCTGTAGTTCCAGCTACTCGGGAGGCTGAGGCACGAGAATTGCTTGAACTTGGGAGGCGAAGGTTGCAGTGTGACAAGATCACACCACTGCACTCCAGCCTGGGTGACAGAGCATGACTGTCTTGAAAATAAATAAATAAGTAAGTTAGTAAATAAATAAATAAGGCATTCAAATAGCCAATAGGTTTATGAGAAAATGCTCAACATCATTAATCAACAGGGAAATGCAAATTAAAATCACAATGAGGTATCACCTCATGCCTGTTAGAATGTCTGTTATCAAAAAGATTAAACATAACAAGTGTTGATGAGGATGTGGAGAAAAGGGAATTCTTTTTTTTTTTTTTTTTTTTTGAGATGGATTCTCACTCTGTCGCCCAGGCTGGAGTGCAGTGGCACGATCTCGGCTCACTGCAAGCTCCACCTCCTGGGTTCACGCCATTCTCCTGCCTCAGCCTCCCGAGTAGCTGGGACTACAGGCACCCGCCACCACGCCCGGCTACTTTTTTGTATTTTTAGTAGAGACGGGGTTTCACTGCGTTAGCCAGGATGGTCTCAATCTCCTGATGAGATCCGCCCGCCTCGGCCTCCCAAAGTGCTGGGATTACAGGTGTGAGCCACTGCACCTGGCTGAAAAGGGAATTCTTGAACACTGTTGGTGGGAGTATAAATTAGTACAGCCATTATGAAGAATAGTGTGGAGCTTCCTCAAAAATACTAAAAGTAGAATTACTGCATAATCCAGCAATCCCATATTTGGGTATATATCCAAAAGAAATGAAATCAGTATGTTGAAGAGATATTGGCACTGCTATGTTCATTGCAGCATTACTCACAATAGCCAAGATATGGAATCAACCTAAGTGTTCAGCAATGGATAAATGGGTAAAAAAGTGGTATATATACACAATGAACTACTATTCAGCCTTTAAAAAGAAGGAAATTCTGTCATTTGCAATAACATGGATGAAGATGAAGAACATTATGCTAAGTGAAACAAGCCAGGCAGAGAAAGACAAATATTGCATGTCTCACTTACATGTGGAATCTAAAAAGTTGAACTTGTAGAAGTAGAGAGTAGATGGTGGTTATCAGAGGCCGTTGCCAGGGGTCAGGGTGGAGTGTATGGGGAAAGGGAAGATGTTGGTTAAGGGGATAAAGTTTCAGTTAGACAAAGGAAAGAAGTCTCTGAGATCTATTGCATAGCATGGTGACCATAGTTAACAATGTATTGTACATTTCAGAATTGCTACAGAAATGTTCTAATTTAAAAAATGATAAGTATCTGAGGTGATGGATGTGTTAATTACCCTGATATAACCATTCCGCAATGTGTACATACATCAAAACATTAAATTGTAGCACATAAATATAAATAATTATTATTAGTCAATTAAAATAAATTTCTTAAAGTGCAATGAAAGCAGTGATGAAAGAGGTATGTCTCAAATTAAAAATAAAAATGGAAGTAAATTATAGGAAATGAGAAATGAATGAAATTGACCAATGATCCATTTCAAGTTGGAAAAAGAAAGGCAAATAAAATCTAATGAAAACAAAAAGATTGTGGGTAGAGAATCAGACATGGAAAATAAAAAAGGAATAATATTAAACTTAAAATTAACGATTTAAGGACAATAAAGTATGGAAATTATGAAGACTTTTTTTTAAAGTAGGTTCAATGATGGGGCTCTGGAGAAACTCCTACCCAAGCAGGCTCAGAAACCAAGGAACCAACTGGATTTGAAAGCTGTCCTAGGAGAAGTTGGAAAATACGAAAAATCTTCCCACCAACATTTGAAGTGGCTTAGATTCTTAGAGTTCCACAAATGTAGGCTAATTACTTTCATTTCTCCAAATAGCATGCAGTCTTACCACTGCACATCTATTAGAACGACTAAAATAAAAGCATTTACAATACCAAACGCTAACAGGTGTGTGGAGCAAGTGGAACTCTTAGGAGAGTAGTGCATGCATTACTAATGAAAATGCAAAATGGTACTGTGACTTTGGAAAAGAGTTTGGCAGTTTCTTACAAACATACACTGGTCACATAACCCGGCAATACCACTTCCTGGTATTTATTTAAGAGAAATGAATACTTAGGTTCATAAAAATACCTCTATACGAATGTTTGTATGGGCTTCATTCATAATTGCCCCAAACTGGAAATAACCCAAATTTCCATGAACAAGAGAAAGGATGAACCTGTTGTATAGCCATAGAATGGACAAAATTCAGCAATAAAAAAGAACAAACAACACACAACATAAATGAATCTCAATGCATTATGTGAACATGTAAATATTAATTTTTTAAACTGCTACATAATTTTTTAAAATATATATAATCACTGGGGTAGAAATATACTAATTTGATACCCACAAGCATCTATTTAAAATATATGGAAAGCAATTCTTTAACAGTTAGAAAATTTAAAACATTAATTTTTTTCATTGAACTCATATTTTCATTCCTCTTACCCCCCAGACTTTCAGTATAATGGAATATAATCTTATGCTCAGAAGTCTTTTATTCATGTCATTTTCTTTTTTTAATTTAACTTTTAAGTTCATGGGTACGTGTGCAGACTTGTTATATAGGTAAACTTGTGCCATGGGGGTTTGTTGTACAGATTGTTTTGACACCCATGTATTAAGCCTAGTACTCATTAGTTATTTTTCCTGATCCTCTCCTTCCTCCTACCCTCCAACCTCCCATAGGCTTCAGTGTCTGTTGTTCCCTTCTATGTCTCCATGTGTTCTCATCATTTAGCTCCCCCTTATAAGTGAGAACATGCGGTATTTGGTTTTCTGTTCCTGCATTAGTTTGCTAAGGATGATGGCTTCCAGCTCCACCATGTTTCTGCAAAGGACATGATCTCATTCTTTTTCATGGCTGCATAGTATTCCATTGTGTGTATGTATCACATTTTCTTTATCCAGTCTACCATTGATGGACATTTAGGTCAATTCTATGTCTTTGCTATTGTGAAGGGGAAAGGACTCCCTATTCAATAAATGGTGATGGGATAACTGGCTATCCATATGCAGAAGACTGAAACTGGACCCCTTCCTTGCACAATTTACAAAAATTAACTCAAGATGGATTAAAGACTTAAATTTTAAACCCAAAACCATAAAAATCCTGAAAGACAACCTAGGCAATGCCATTCATGCTATTTTCCTACTGCTATGCAATTAAAAACATATGCATAAATTAAAATTTAAATTATTTACTGTGACCATGAGACTCCAGGAATCAAATTTTTTCTTATGAATTAATTTTTAAAATCCATTTGTTATTTCAATGATATAATAATAATGAACATGTAAATAAACACATTGTAAAAATTGAGAAACACAATTTTATTGATAAATACAAATCTATAGGAATTCATCTTTTAATATGTAAGTGTACAGGGACAAAAAGTTTTAAGTATGACATTTGGTTCTTTGAACTTCTAGTAAGTTGCCAAATATCACATGATACTCATAATCAAAAATTATTTTAACCCTCCCTCTCCTAAAGGGAGAAGGATGGCAGGTTGAAGATGAAATCCACTGAAGAGGTAAGACCTGGGTCTTTAGCACCCTGTGTGCCAGGCCAGAAGTGGCCCTGTGAAAGGTCATCTGCAGACCCCCTGAAAATCAAGCAGGATTGGATTTGGAAATTCTCAATAAAGGAAGAGTTAAAGGCTGATGTGACTATAAAGAGATGATGCTAAGTAGCTGATAGATCCTGTAGTTCAACTTGATACCTACATAGAAGCTGGATTCATCTGATACCAGAGAAGTAAAATTTCAAGGCCAAAACCAGATCTGAGTCTTACTGTTTCAGTCTGGTCCTCTTCAGTGCTGTAAATTCTAGATATACAATGGATGATGACTGCATATTTCTTTCATGGACTATTTTCAGCATCTGGAGACCTCACTATCCTATTATGTCTTTGTGTGAAGACATGTTGTTTTGTAATTATCGAGAGTGTCACATTGAACTCTCTGGTTATGCATGGGTCACCATCTGCTCTCACATCTTCTGTGATCAGCATGGCAGTGGTGACTTTTGTGGTTCACCTGCTATCTGTCCTGCCTGCAACAGTACACTTTCTGGAAGGCTAGATATTGTCCGCACTGAATTCAGGAATATAAAGCTATGGTATTGGCTGGACTGTGACTGGAGATAGTGTTGGGCATTAGCTCCCAAGTACTTGGCCTTCTGGACATTACATCAGGTGTGTCTCTATCAAGAATACAATTTCAGGAAAGCTGAAGGCCATATGAAACAGATGGAGAAGACATACACTCAGCAAATACAGAGCCAGGATGTTGAATTGACCTCTGTGAAAAGGGAGATAACCTCCATGAGGAGAGTGCTAGAAGAATACAAGAAAAAAATAACAGTGACTTCTCTGAGACACTTATGAAGCACAATCATCAGTATTGAAAGCTCCAAGGCCTCTATGACAGGCTTAGGCTATGAAACATCACTATTCCACACCACAAAGATACCCTTGAGCCATCCATGATTGTACTCTGATGTTTTTGGCTTCCCATTAGGGAACAACTCCAAATTTTCTGTGGACAGTATACCAGTTGGAAATTGGGTAGTGGAAATGGAGATTTTCAGTTCAGACCATTTTTCTTGGGTTCTCCCACAGCACCTGCGCACAGCAACAGCTTTTTTAGTTTTGCCTCTACAAGATGTGAACTAGAGCAGTAGCAAGTCTCTAGCAGGGCCTTCACAGTAAAAAGAATTTGAGCCATGCATGGTGGTGCATGCCTGTAATCCCAGCTACTCAGGAGGCTGAAGCAGGAGGATGGCTTGAGTCCAGAAGTTTGAGGCTGCAGTGAGCTAGGATGGCCCGGCTGCACTGCAGCCTGAGTGACAGAGTGAGGTTCTGTCTCTAACAAGAAAAAAGGTAAAAATGATTTAGCTAACTTTACAGAATGTTTCTCTGTTCAATTTCAGTGATTTCATTTAACAAATCTTTATTCCAGATGGGAGTCACCAACCTCCCTGTGCTTTTACGTTTTTGAAATTGCCTTCACATTATCAACTTATAAGAAATTCAGTGGCGGTGGAGAGTGGCTTTAGAAGTCTGGTTCCTTTGTCTCTATTATTTAAAGCATGAGCATTTTAAAAGTCAGTTTTATCGTGAACTGTTGAGTTTTCATCGCTAGTGAGAAGGTCACAGCAGTATTCTGTGTTTCAGTAGACCACTGTTTCTGTATGGGCCGTTTCTGACCGAGCTGTGTGTTTATGCATAAACACCTGTGTTACATGTCTGCATGTCACTTTGAATTCTGGAATTTTCACATATCTGTGTATGTAAGCGTGTTAATTTACACTGGTATTTGGCTGTATTTGCCCTTATATTTATGTGAAAATTTTGGTCTTGGAAAATGGTGGGTGATCTGTGGCTTATTATTTGAGTGTGTGTATTTTGAATATATTTATGTATTTACCCTCATAGTAACTTGTTTGGAGGCACACTTACACTTATGTCAGTGAATGAGAACATGATTCCATGCATATATGTTCAGTCCCTACTTGTATTTGAAAATAGTTAACATTGATAACGCTATTTTGTAAAGTTGATTTTTTTTTGGCATTTACAGTTGGCCCTCCATATCCACACGTTCTGCATCTGCAGGTCCAATCAACTGTAGATAGAAAAGATTTAGAAAAAAACAATAAAAAATAACACAACAATAAAAATAATACAAATAAAAACCAATACAGTATAACAACTACTTGCATAGCATTTATAATGGTAAGTATTAAATACCTACCAATCTAGAGGTGACTTTAAAGTATTTGGAAGAATGAATGTAGGTTATATGCAAATACTATGCCATTTTATAAAAGCGACATGAGCATCTAAGGATTTTGGTATCCATGAGAGTTCCTGGAACCAATCCCCCAAAGATACCAAAGGGTGACTGTATTTTAAACTAAAGTTACTTATTTATTTGCCTTTTTGTCAACTATTGCCTTGGGTTTACTTATTTAGGAATGCACTTCTACTGCAGAACATTTTGCAATGTTATTTATTTTATTTTATTATTTTTTGTTTTTTGTTTTTGAGACAGAGTCTCGCTCTGTTGCCCAGGCTGGAGTGCAGTGGTGCAATCCTGGCTCACTGCAACCTCAGCCTCCCAAGTTCAAGCAATTCTCCTGCCTCAGCCTCCCGAGTAGCTGGGATTACAGTCATGCACCACCATGCCCGACTAATTTTTGTATTTTTTAGTAGAGACAGGGTTTAACCATGTTGGGTAAGCTGGTCTTGAACTCCTGACCTCAAGTGATCCACCTGACTCAGCCTTCCAAAATGCTGGGATTACAGGCATGAGCCACTGCACCTGGCTAGCAATATGTTATTGATCTCAAGAGATTATATTAAAATAATATTAAGCATTTAAAAATTATTTTAATGATCTAATTTAATTATTAATCAATAGCTTGATTAAACACTCCTTCAATTTTTATAAAGTCATAGAATTGGACACCTGGTATCTTGCAAAAGGATTTGTTTTTTTAGCTGGTAGAATACTAATCACAAATCACAAGTGATTTTCTTAATTTCCAGAAAGTTAACTAAAAAGGCTTTACCAGCATCTACCAAACGATTAATAATGTGATTAGTTATACATGTTATTCTTTCATTTAGTGACCTTATCTAATCTGAAATGCTCTGTAAGTGCTGGAAAGTTTGAATACTATGGTTTCAAAATATAGGAAAGTTTGAAAGCATTTTATAAAAAATATATTTTTTTAAAATTTTGTGATTACTTTCATAAAATGCTTTTATCTTACTGCATACTTTAAATATATTTTTTAAAAAACTTGATGGCACAGATTTAACTAATTGGCAAAGTCAGTCCTCCATCAGCCAAATCAGTCAAACTCATTTCTCCCACAAAAGAATGTCTTCATTTTTCAATTCAAATCAATGTCTTAATCTACATCCCCGTGGCAACTATCACACTCCTGAATCCTATTTCTAGGGTAGACAGCAAAAGGCACAGTGGCTTAGTGTGAGTTTGCCACCTGAATGAAACCGGTGCTGACCCCTTGGTATTTCTTACTCACACTTTCTTTCCTTTGCTTCCATGGAAAGCATCCTCAGGAAAATGCATTCTTGAATTGTTCCTTTGTTTGGAATTCAGAAGTTTTTACACTTTGAAGACATGTGAGAGATATGTAAGAAGTATGCTTTTTTTAAAAAAAAATTTAAAGAGGAAGGACTTAATCAAAGAGAAGAAGAAAAGGAGAACTTCAGGGTGGCTCATTGTCAAGTAAATCAACTTCAGGAAAAAGTAAATATGTAGTTTAATAATCAGTAATGTCCTCAGATCCCTCTGTACCTGTGTACCTCCTGGAAAATCTACCTGTATCCTGAGGGATATGGGTACCCCAGCCTGAACAAGCCTAATCTAGTCAAATCCACTCATTTTTCAAAAGGGTAGACGGAGGTAAAATTTCAAATGGGTAGACGGAGGTAAAACTAGCCCAAGTTGACACAGTGATTTGATGGTGAAGCGTGGATTTCAATCAAAATCTCTTCATTCCTGGTGTGTGTCCTTCCTTCCTTCCCTCCCTCCCTTTTTCCCTTCCTTCCTTCCTTCTCTCCTTCCTTCTTTCCTTCTTTCCCTCCCTCTTTCTCTTTCTTCCTTTCCCTCCCTCTCTCTTCTTCCTTCCTTCCTTTCTTCTTCCTTCCTTCCTTTCTTTCTCTTTCTTTCTTCCTTTCCTTTCCTTTTCCTTCCTTCTTTGTCTTTCTTTCCTTCCTTCCTTCCTTCTTTCTTTCTTTCCTTTCTTTCACTCTCTCTTTCTTCTTTTTTCTCCCTCTCCCCTATTCTCTTCTCCTCTCCTCTCCTCTTCTCTCCTTTCCTTTCCTTTCCCTTCCTCCACAGGGTCTCACTCTGTCACCCAGGCTGAAGTGCAGGGGCATGATCATGGCTCATTGAAACACTGACTTCCTGGGCTCAAGTGATTCTCCCAGCTCAGCCTCCTAAGTAGCTAGAACCACAGGTGTGCGCTGCCATGCTGGGCTAAGTTTTTTTTTTTTTTTTTGAGACAGAGTCTCTCTCTATTGCCCAGGCTGGAGTGCAGTGGCGGCGATCTCGGCTCACTGAAAGCTCTGCCTCCCGGGTTCACGCCATTGTCCTGCCTCAGCCTCCCGAATAGCTGGGACTACAGGCACCCGCCACCACGCCCGGTTAATTTTTTGTATTTTGTTTAGTATAGACGGGATTTCACCGTGTTAGCCAGGATGGTCTCAATCTCCTGACCTCATAATCCGCCCACCTGGGCCTCCCAAAGTGCTGGGATTACAGGCGTGAGCCACCGCACCCAGCCCATGCCCAGGTGGGTCTTGAACTCCTGGGCTCAAGTGATCCTCCTGTCTTGGCCTCTCAAAGTGCTGAGATTACAAACATGAGCCACCGTGCCCAGAACCTAGTGTGTTATTTATATAGCACATTTGTGTCCGTGTATTCCAGGTCTGTCCTAGTATTCCAGGTCTGTCCTAGTATTCCAGGTCTGTCCTAGTTCTTCAGAGCCCCCACTGAGCAACTCTTGCAATTATGCTCATTTGTTACCTATAAGACCTGTGTTTTGTAGTCTCTTGCCCAAACAAACCCCAGTCCAACCAAAATGGATTCATTCTGTGTCAAAGTTGCCAGATTTAGAAAATAAAAATAGAGGATGACCAATTAAATTTGAATGTCAGATAAACATCAAATACTTTTTTAGTAGAACTATGTTCCTTATATTGCATGGGATATACTTATGCTAAAATTATAAATGGACATCCTCTATTATGTTTGGCAATTCTATTAATCTGTGTTTCTCCCCTGCCTCCATCCCACGAGATCTGCTTTCTTCTAACTGACTGCAGGCTAATCTGATTAACTGATTCTCAAGACTGGGTTAATAGATGTTTTCAGGTTAGAGGGTAAAATTTCAAACCCATAGAGTGACTTGATAATAAAAATTTAAAGCACCAGAGGGCCTTTTGGCTAATCTTTTAGGGGAACTAAAGGAATGATTTACACAGTCTCTAACTAGGGAACTCAAAAGCTAAAATGGTAATAGGAACATTTGTTGGCATTCACTATTGCCATTCATTATTTGTTAACTGGCTAAAATACAATAAACACTGATTTACAAGCCACTTGTCATGCTTTACAAAAATAGTTCAAGTAATTCTCATGTCTGTGAGGTAGGTGTTATTATTGTTTCCTTTATGACAAATTGAGGCTCAGTGAAGTGAAGTGACTGAACCCAGGCCACACAGCCGATAAGTGGTGGATTCAGGATGTGAACTCAGGTCTAACTCTGAATGCTACGTTTCCTACCACTCCGTACCACTTCATTAAATCTTCATGCTATCTCATCTTAATCCTCACAATGACAACAAAGCTTCCAGGTTAATTGTATTATTCCCATTTTCCAGATGAGGAAATTGAGGATCCAAGATATGCTGTTATAAGGGATTGAGCGAGGCCCAAAATCAAGATCACTATGTTTGGGGTCATAATTTCCATGACCAGAGAGTATAGGCACTATTGTAAAATTTGAAGAGGATACATGATTAGAACTCCCCCAACAAAAAAGGTTGGGGAGATAAATTGTCACAAGTCTTTACTTTTAGGCAGCCACATGGTATGGCTTCAGGAACTCTGGAAGATACTCTATTCCAAGATACCTTCATAGCTTTCTCAGTATCGGAAGTTCCACCAATACAGATGTATATTTTGGCATAAAGATGTTTTCTCTGTCTCTTGCTTCCTCTTTCTCCCTCTACCCACCTCTTGCATTTTTGAAATGCATGCACTCTAAGAGTTAATACAGTAAAGGATTATTAGTTTTTCACACCTTAAAATAAAAAATACATAAGGATCATGAAGACACATATGGGAAATGGGGGCTTGAGTAGGCGGGGGAAGCTCATCTGTTCATCTGGTTGTCTGGGAGTATCATAAGATCCTAGGCTTGGATAGTCACAGAAGGAATAAAAGGAATTTCTCTGTTAACCCAAGGTCATCTGAGATTGTTCTTGCTTCTGGTGCACCAAGATCCAGTAGAGTGTGCCCAGGCCCTCTGGGAAATCTCATACCATCCATTTCTGTCATCAGTGGAGCAAAGAAAAGATGCTCACTAGTGTCTGGGGTTGCCCCTGGAGTGACTGTGGGCAAACCAGCTCTGCAACTGTTCCAAATAAATCCTTGTGATCATTCAAGTGTGGCCTTTTACCCAGGAACAAGACAATAGGCAAGTGTCTGTGTGGCACAAGGTACAGCACCATGGCAGGGTATGGGGATTGGTCAGGGTCCTGAAACGGAATGTCTTAGACACACCTTAACTCACCATCTGACCTCAGACAGACTCCTTCCCCATGCTGGTGTCAGTCTTCTTACCTGTGAACTAAAGGGACCTGGTGGATCATCTCTAAGGTTCCCCTGCACACACTTTGTGTCTCTCTCTGGATTGTGCTTAACTCCCACCTCTCTTCTCATCCATACAGGCACTTTCCTCTCCATAGCCCCACCTTCTCCTGGAGGAATGTAGCTTTCCTGCTGCTTCTCTCCCTTGCTTTGGAGTGGACTTCTGCAATGCTGACCAAGAAGATCAAACGTGAGTTCAAAAAAGCTGCAGCCATTCTTCCTTAGAAAGCATTATTGGGGATGAGGGTTAGACATGAGGCCAGTGCCAGTGTCAGATGAGGCCCCCTCTACTGTGGATTTGGGGCCACAGAAAGCTACCCCTGCTCACGACCCTGGCCCTCCACATACTTTCCTTACTTGCTCCCCCCAAATTATTTCCCTAACTTTTCCATATTTTTATATATGTAAGGAGACTATATATATAGTTTGCATCTACTAGGGATGATCCCCAGAGATCTGGTCTCATCTGTCTTATGATATCACTCAACACATAATTCTTGGGTGATTACATTCATTCCCACTGTACACACACACACACACACACACACACACACACACACGCAAGTTTAATTGTTTTTTAATTAATAAGTCACTAGGCATGAGCCTGAGGGGAGAGGACCAGTGAGGAGGCTGCTGCAGTAGTTGAGAAGAGACAAGGGGTGAGATCAGGTGCTGATCTGAGGGAGTGGTAGTAAAGAGAGGCAGGAGACAGGGTTTGGAGAGAGGTTTAGGAGACAGAATTGACCCAAGTCCATGAGTGATGGGATACTGGGGTGGCGGAGAGGAAGGAGTGAATCTCTGGATTCTAATAACAAACTGGACCTGTTGATGCCAAATGTCAAGATGCGGAATAGAAAGTAAGGTAGTGCTTGGGCATAAGAAGATAATAGTTCTGTTTTAAATATGTTGGAACAGAGGTGCTTCTGAGATGCCCAGATGGTGTTTTTCCCAGGCAGGTCGAAATAAAAGTCTTTAGTTTGGAATAGAGGATGAGTCTGGAGGAAGAGATGGGAATCATAGTTGGGATCGTGGGAACGAGTGGGATTACCCAGGAAGTATGTGTCAAGTAATGTCAGAAGACAGCTGAGACCAGATCTCTGAGAAGCATCCCCAGTAGATGCAGAGAAACCCATGAGGTATGCTTATACACACAAGTAAGTGGTTAAGAAGAGCCAACAAGAAACGGAGGAGGGTTTTTATTAATAAGTGAGAGTTCAAGCTGACAATGGGGAAAGGAGCTACAACAACTCAAACCCAGTTTGATTTGCCGAACTCTGTCTCTGCCTAAACCTAGAACAATGGTTCCCAAGTAACAGCCTATCTCCTGGAGCCCACTGCCTGCTTTAGGACCACCTGGGGTTCTTTTTAAAAAGTGGAGTCCCAAGGATGCACTTTCTAGAGATTCTGATTCAGCCTAGAGTCTATATTTTCTGAAAGATGCATAGATGATTTTGATGTACACTCCAAATTAGGAACCACATACTCTTCTTAGCTTCAGTCCATTCCTGGAGGGGGTCATTAATGACAAGAAGTATTGTTGGAAAGTACTCAAAGTCTCAGTGGCCAGTCCTCAGGGAAGACGTGGGGCTCCTGAAGTGAGTCCTGGATTGTAAGTCCCAGACTTGCCCCTAATGCATTGTATTATCCTATCTGACCTCATTACTTTTGATCTATGAAATCAGAAGTTTGGTACCAATGATAAATAGAGTTCTTTCCATTCCAAAGTTCTACAGTTCCAAGACTCAGTAGTATCTGAAAGGATCATGCCTCTCTGGCCAGATTCCACTGGAGGGATGCTCAGTTTAGAATCATGGAGACACATTAAGCGCTGTATGAGCTATCCTTTGCTACGTAACAAATTATCTGTGGGTCAGAAGTCTGGCATTGTGCATCTGGGTTCTTTGCTCCGGGTCTTACCAGGCCAAGATTGAAATGTCAGCCAGGGCTGTAGTTCTCATTTGGGATGCACTGTCCTCTCCCAAGCTCCCTGGTTGTAGTAGAGTCATTTCCTTGGAGTTGTAGGACTGAGGCTCCTTTACTGGCTGTCACTTCTAGATGCCACCCTTATTCCTTGGCACTTGGCCTCAACCATCTTCAAAGCTACGAATAGCAAGTTGGATCCTTCTCATCATTTGAATCTCTCTAATCAATTCTTCTCTACCAACCAGAAGAAAACTCTGCTTTTCAAGGACCTAATTGACTAGGTCTGGGCCAGAGATTAGACCTTAAAATTAGAGATAATCTCTAATCTTAAAGTCAACTAACTTGGGTCTTTAATTTTTCTGCAAAATCCCTTCACAGCATTGCCTAGCTTAGTGTTTGATTCAATAATCAGAAGATGGGAATCTTGAGGGTGCAACTTTAGATTCTACCTACCACAAGCACTGAAATCAGGAAGCCATGTCTAGCCTTAAAAAGGAAGGAAGCATGGCCATACCACCCTGAAAATTCCTGATCTTGTCTGATCTCAAAAGGTAAGCAGGATCAGACCTGGTTAGTACTTGGATGGGAGACTGACTGGAAACACTGGGTGCTGTAGTTTTTTTCCCCTTGCCTCTTCTAGTTTTTAGTAAAAAAATAAAAATAAAAATAAAAGGTAGAAAGCAACGCCACATCTGCCAAGGTCTTACCCCAGGCATTATAGACATCACCCCATTTAACTCTTATAATCAGCCTGTAAGGCAGGAATTGTCATTCTCATTTTAAAGATGGAAAATATAACTCAGATGAAGGGAAATACTTTCCCAAGATTATTTAGTTGGTTAGTGTTGGAGCCAGGCTCCCGAGCCAGGTCTGCCTGACTACAATGCTTCTTCCACTCCACTGTTTCTTACTCCTTAGAGGTAAATTAAAAATCATACAATGAGTTCAGATTGGTCTTGAGTTTACCAGGAGTCAAGGGTCAAATCAGCCCTCCTGACCTCTACTTCCATGATGTTCCCACCAGTCTTTACTAATTTCTTTTATCAACTGGAGACAAAGGAATTAAGCATTAAAATATTAGGTTTCAAGAAGAGAGAAAATCTTTTGAATTTAGGGAAAGGGCCTTGGTCCCTTTCTAACCCCTTTCCCTGGTATCCAACATGCTTCTCCTTCAGTTCTTCTTGGACACAAATTCCTGATTCAGATCCATTTGAATGAATCTGAGTGCTGAGAAACAGAACTAGCCCCTGAATATAAGCAGAGCAAGAACTAAGAATCGAAGGTAGAGGATAGGGCTGAGAGAATTTCACTACACACCTTTGCCATAGGAGAAAAAGAGCTGAAATTCCGAAAGAATGTGAGTTTGGACATTTCTTTCTTGCAGACAAACCAGGGTTATGTCCCAAAGAGAGGCTCACCTGTACCACTGAACTTCCGGACTCATGTAACACAGATTTTGACTGCAAGGAATACCAGAAGTGCTGCTTTTTTGCCTGTCAGAAGAAGTGCATGGATCCCTTTCAAGGTAGCGATGTCCAGGCTGAGGACAGAGGTTCCCCACTTCTTGCTCTGTCCAAAACTGGCTGAGGGATTCCCTTGGATGGCAGGACAAGGACCCAGGGCCTGTGCTCTTCTCATTCTGTTATTCAATGCCTAACCCTCAAGTACAAGTCATAAGTCTAGGCATGGTGACCATCAATCACCATAATATTGATGCTGGTCTTCTTGGGTCCAACATTCAATTATTCACAAATAACTAATACTTGTTGCATGCGCACTCTGTTCAAGAGACTGTTATGGCACTGTGACAAAATAAAACCTCAGTCAGCTTAAATGCTGGCATTGTTTTTCAGACTCTTTGATCTTCAAGGAGGTTTTCTGGTGACTCAATGTATTGGGCATCTATCTAATATGTGCGGGGAACTGTGTGTTTTTTAAAAAGATTCATTTATTCACTCACTCATACATTTATTCATTCAACAAATATCTGTTGTTAATGCCCTTTGAACAAAGACCACCAGAATACACCTATAGTTGAACAAATTGGGTTTATTACTTATTGAAGTGAGGGAAAAGATTCACCCTAGACAAGTATGAGGCATTTCAGTAAGAAGCTGGTAGAAAGAATCTATTATAGGATTTGGGCTTTGATTGGGTAATTCGGGGGAGGGTCTAAAGAAGTGAGAGTTTTCTCTAGATTGGGTGCTGTCAGAAAGCGGGGGCAATTCTATGACTGGCTATCCCAGGGAATCTTAACAATACAGAATACAGAATAGACTAAGGATAAAGCTGTGATTGATTGGTAGAGAAGCATAAGTCACTCACGTTAGCTTAGAGGGGGGCGGGTGTTTGGTATTTTGCAGGTTTCACTGTGATCTTGTTTTTGTCTCACTTCATCATGATCTCAGAGTGACGTTGGTTGATACAGATGTTCTAGGAGATTTTTTAAATGTCCAACAGAGAATCCATGTGGCTTAGCTGGGAGTGTCAGATCACTTTTCAGACATCAGGGGCTGTTTCTTCCTTGGTATTTCATTCCTTCTAGGTACTAGGCACTTTGTTAGGCACTTTGGATGCAAAAGTAATTGCGGTTTTGGACCGTGAATTTTAAATCATTATAACTAGGCTTAAACACATCTTTATTGGCTGGGCACGGTGGCTCACACCTGTAATCCCAGCACTTTGGGAGGCCAAGGCGGGTGGATCACCTGATGTCAGGAGTTCGACACCAGCCTGACCAACACAGTGAAACCTTGTCTCTACTAAAAATACAAAAATTAGCTGGGCATGTTGGCGGGTGCCTGTAATCCCGGCTACTCAGGAGGCTGAGGCAGGAGAATTGCTTGAACTCGGGAGGCAGAGGTTGCAATGAGCTGAGATCGCACCATTGCACTGCGGCCTGGGTGACACAGCGAGACTCCTTCTCAAAAAACAAAAAAAAACAAAAGAAAATAAAGCAAAACACATCTTTATTAATCAAAATAGGAACCATTACAATCAACATATTTTTGCCAAAGAGAAATAAGTTCGTTTATTGCTGTAGCATACAAATCCATGCTTCAGGATTTGATGAACTCTTGGAAAGCATTTTCTGCATCCTGTTGTTTGTGGATGTGTTTTCCCTGCAAAAAGTTGTTTAGATGCTTGAAGAAGTGGTAGTCGGTTGGCAAGAGGTCAGGTGAACATGGTGGATGAAGCAAAACTTTGTAGCCTAATTCATTCCACTTTTGTGTTGGTTGTGTGACGTGTGGTTGGGCGTTGTGGCAGAGAAGAATTGGCCCTTTCTGTTGATCAATTGGCCCTTTCTGTTGACGAATGCTGGCTGCAGGCACTGCAGTTTTCAGTGCATCTCATCGATTTGCTAAGCATACTTCTCAGATGTAATGGTTTTGCCAGGATTCAGAAAGTTATAGTGGATCAGACCAGCGGCAGACCACCAAACAGTGACCATGACCTTTTTTGGTGCAAGTTTGGCTTTGGGAAGTGTTTTTGAGCTTCTTCTTGGTCCAGCCACTAAGCTGGTCATCATTGGTTGTCGTGTAAAATCCACTTTTCATTGCACGTCACAATATGATTGAGAAATAGTTTGTTGTTGTTGCACAGAATAAGAGATGACCCTTCAAAACAATATATATTTTTTTAATTTTGCTCAGTTCATGAGGCACCCACCTATCGAGCTTTTTCACCTTTCCAATTTGCTTCAAATGCTGGATGACCATAGAATGGTTGACGTTGAGCTCTTCGGCAACTTCTTATGTAGTTATAAGAGGATCAACTTTGATGACTGCTCTCAGTTGGTCATTGTCAACTTCCAATGACCAGCCACAATGCTCCTCATCTTCAAAGCCCTCGTCTCCTTTGCAAAACTTCTTGAACCACCACTGCACTGTATATTTCTTAGCAGTTCCCGGGCTAAATGTGTTGTTGATGTTGCAAGTTGTCTCTGCTGCTTTACGACCCATTTTCAACTCAAATGAGAAAATCACTCGAATTTGCTTTTTGTCTGACATAATTTATATAGTCTAAAATAAATATAAATTAAACAGCAAATAATAAGTCATTAGCAAAAGTACAGGAAGCAAGAAATGTGCATTAAAATGATATATGATATAACCACATTTATTTAAGAATGTATTCTAATATCAAATGGCAAATTTTAACAATGCAAAAACCATAATTACTTTTGCATCAACCTAATAGTTGCTGAACAAGTCTTGCCCTACCAAAGCTCAGGACAGTGGAGAAGAAAGATCAGCTCCAAAGTACAAGATTCTTATATGCACCTTGTAATATTCTTTGCAAGGAAGGAGTGATGCTCAGAGGTGCCATACAACATAGACTATTAGTAGTAGAACTGGGACCAGAACCTATGCCTTTTTTTTTCCCCTGCCATGGCTCCTTTTATGACTTGGGTGATAACACCAGGAGTTATGAGAAATGCTAGGGAACTGACCCTGTTCTTTTATCTCTACTCTTCATATCCTTCTTTCCTTGCTTCCTGACCTCAGAACCCTGCATGCTACCTGTGAGGCATGGAAACTGTAATCATGAGGCACAGCGCTGGCATTTTGACTTTAAAAATTACCGCTGCACACCCTTCAAATACAGGGGCTGCGAAGGGAATGCCAACAACTTCTTAAATGAGGATGCCTGCAGAACGGCCTGCATGTTAATTGGTGAGACCTCTATCCTGGAAATCTGAGGGTCTAGTTTAACTAGAAATAGTATACCAATGAGGTTATAGGCTCAGGATTTGAGGTTAAAGTTCCTTGGTTCAAGACTTAGCTCTGTCATTCACTGGCTGGGAGGTCTTGGGCCAGTTGCCTGCCTTTATAAGCTTCAGTTTCCTTGTCTATAGAATGAGGTTAATAATAGTATTTACCTAATGGAGTGGCTCTGCCAAAAAATGAGATAGTGTATAGAAAATGTTAATAGATCTTGGCCAATGTGACCCGAAAGCCAGGTGTGCCCCCTTGGAAGAAGGTGTTTCCTCATCATAGTAACCTGTTGAGCATCATACTGAGGATTTGCTTAAGAATGAAGTGTAGACAGGCCAGCTCTGGAATCCCATGGAGTAAGTGTCCACACTGGAGGTGGAGAGTAGGGTGGGGTGAAGGTGAAGGCTGTGGATTCATTCCTTAGTATAATGATCATCACCAGCAATGTTGGGAAACAGTGTCCTACCAAACTTAGGAGTCAAATGACCTGAATTTAAATCTGACTTTTCCCACTTGCTGCTTTCTTCATTTCTTTGAATTTCAGTTCCCTCTTCTGTAATTCTGGAGTCACAGCAAACAGCTCGTTGAGTTGTTGGCAGGATTATATGTGATTTAAAACACAAAGACTTGATAGAGTGGTGGTCCCGTGGTGTGGGCTCACTAAACGGTAACAATTGAGATGGTGACCAGTGATCTTCACAACTGTGTGATTTATGAGGCAGCGTTGCAATTTCGACCTCAGATTCTGTGAGGCAAGCTGAAAAATGTACCATCACTACCACTTTACAGATGGGAGAACACAGTCAGAGAGGTGAAGTTAGTTGCCTGAGGACCCACAGTTGGTCAGGAGTAGAGGTGGAATTTTAATTCCATGGACCCATGGGCCTGAACGGCCAAGGCAACCCTGGGACCTGACTTGAAACTAGGACCACAAGCTTCCCTTCATGGGAAGCTCTAAGGAATCATGGTGCTGTGGACAAGAGCCTTGTCTCCTCTCCCAGGAAGACAAGGAAGAGGAGGCCAGGGAAATGGGCTTGGGCTGGTTTGTGGGAAATTTAGGTTAAGACTCAGAGGCAACCTGATAATACCTCTGAGAGTTCAACACATCATAGCCTGAGCCTGACCTGGGGAAGCCCTTGTAGAATTTGCAGTCAGATGAGTACAAGAGCATACAAAACCCCAAAGAATTGATTTAAATACCACCTATGTCCTAATGACCCACAAAGTTGTGTCTCCAGCCCTAATCTGACTCCTAAAATCCACTATCTGCTCTACATCTCCACCTGGACCTCACAAACATCTCATGTTGAACTTGCTTAAACAGAACCTCGGGCCAGGCACAGTAGCTCACACCTATAATCCTAGCGCTTTGGGAGGCTGAGGCAAGAGGATCACTTGAGCCCAGGAGTTTGAGACCAGCCTAGGCAGCATAGTGAGACCCAATTTCTACAAACAACAACAACAAAACCAAAAACAAAAACAAAAACACAACAACAAAAAAAACAGGCATGGTGTCACGTGCCTATGGTCCCAGCTACTCAGGAGGCTGGGAAGATCACTTGAGGAGGTATTCCCACCTCCTCAAAGATCACTTGAGCTGGGGAAATTGAGGCTTCGTTGAGTGACAGTGGGAAACCCTGTCTCAAAAACAGAAAAATAAGCTCAACATAAACATAAACCAGTACCTCTTACCATCACTCCCCTAACGCAAACCGGTTCTATCCATGCTTCTCATCTTGGTTGAAAAACTTCACAATCACAGTTGATGCCTCTCTTTATCAATTAACATCCATTAAGTTAGTTAGGAAATAATTTTAGTTCTACCTTGAAAGTAGATCCTAAATCTGGTAAAACCTTACCACCTCCGCAGCTGCCACCCTGATCTGAAGAGCCATCTTCTTACTTGGATTACCCCAACAGCCTCTTAAAAGGTCTCCCTGCTTCTATCCTCCTTACAATCTATTATAAACACAATAGTCACAATGACCCTTTCAAAACATGAGTCAGGCCATATCACTTCTCTACTGAGAACAGTGTGATGGATCCCCATTTCATTCTAAGTAAAACCAAATACCCTAAAATGGCTTACACTGATTTGTGTAGATTTCACATAATTATCCTCATTTTACAGAGAAGGAAACTCACCAAGTAGCAGGACTGGGACTTTACCATGGGGCTTAAGGCACCAAGCCCAGCATGCTCTCTACCATATCCCATGATATGATGAGACATTTCATTCTTCCACAGCCTACTGGAGATGGATAGGGTAGGGTGAACCAAGTTGCAGAAAGGGATACTAGCTTTGAAGAGAAGGAAAGGCTCTTTGAAGGGTGGTGGGATGGGGGTGGGGTTTTAAGAAGCTCACATCTGCTCTTATTTTAGTTAAGGATGGACAATGCCCACTCTTCCCTTTCACTGAACGTAAGGAGTGTCCACCTTCATGTCACAGTGACATCGATTGTCCCCAGACAGACAAATGTTGTGAATCCAGGTGTGGCTTTGTTTGTGCCAGGGCCTGGACAGGTAAGGATTGGGGATATACCTCCCAAATCTATTGGGCATGTGCCAAGGATGTCATGCTGTCTCCATGGAGTGGGGGGTGTCTTGAACCTCAGATGCTCCTTGGGCTCATCTTTGAGGATCTTTGGGAACCCCTTTTAATGCCCAACAAGTTATATTGACCTCTTGACCTCTGAAGACTATTGTGCTGTTCTTCAAAGCCAGTAATTCATAGCATTGCTCTCTATTCTTCCCCAAGAAAACTTATTTTTTCTGAGACTCATTCCTCAATGACTTGCAAGGTGACAATATTCACCGATTCATAAAAAATTCATAACCATGAGGTGTATTCCTAATAAGCCCTCATGTCTGCACAGAACTTCAAAGCATGCACATCATATTCATATCCTGTAAGATGGGCTGGGGAAAACATTAGTAGCAAATGATGTTGGATAGAAGCCAACTTTCCTGCCTCCTCTAAGGCAGGTGTTTACTTCCCCATGTAGTCCCAGGGATTGTCCAGGTGTGGCTTTAAGGTTCTAAGGTTCAGTATAGTGTGGTGGCAGGAGTCCAAGGCTTTTCAACCTACTTCAACTTTTCTACTGGCTTTCTATGTGGCATTGGGCAACTCATTTCCCTCTAAATACGCCTCAATGCCTACAATTTGTAAAACAAGAAGGTTCTGTGTGCTAATACTCCTGCCACCTGTGGTACTCTGGGGTTATATAACCCAGATCCATTAATTCTGTAGGAGCAGACAGGAATCCTATCAGATGGTACAAGTCAGAGATGGTAAGACTTTTCTTGATGCTCCTCAAGTTATTAGTCGTAGAAAGTTGATACTCTGCCTCCTCCAGTCTATTGTTACTGTAGGGGGAAAGGTAAGAAGCTTAATCAGAATAAAACCTTGTTTGAGATTCCCAAGATTCCTCAAATTTGTCTCAAATTATGACCAAGTATTTCAAGGTCAAGTGTTTTCTTTTACCCCATAAAGTCAAAAAAGGTTTCTGCCCACGCAAGCCCTTGCTATGTACCAAGATTGATAAACCCAAGTGCCTGCAGGATGAGGAGTGCCCATTGGTGGAAAAGTGCTGCTCACATTGTGGACTGAAATGTATGGACCCCAGACGTTGAATAGTAAGTAGAAAATATTATCATCAAAATCATTAATTATGAGTAGCATGATAAAGAGCTGTCAGTTTTGTCTTGTATCCAACTTGCCAAATTATCTTAAGTATCACAATATTGAATGATGTTACTTTGATTTTATATATAATCCCATCATCTGAAAGTGATGATATATTTGGCTTTTTTTCAACTTCATGACTTTATTTTCTTGTCTTCTTGTATTGTGTAGAACCTCCAAAATAATAATGAAAATAAAGGCAATGGCATCCATCCTTGTCTAGTTCCTTATTTTAAAGTCAATGGCTCCTGCACTATAAAAAGATATTTGTTGTTGAATTTGGAATACATAAGTTTTATTGCACTTAAATTATTTTCTTTTTCCTTTTCTTTCTTTCTTTCTTTTTTTTTTTTTTTGTGAGACGGAGTTTTGCTCTTATTGCCCAGGCGCAATCTCGGCTCACTGCAACCTCTGCTTCCCGGGTTCAAGTGATTCTCCTGCCTCAGCCTCCCAAGTAGCTGGGATTACAGGTGCCCACCATCATGCCCAGCTAATTTTTTGTATTTTTAGTAGAGATGGGGTTTTACCATGTTGGCCAAGCTGGTCACAAACTCCTGACCTCAGGTGATCCACCCACCTCAGCCTCCGAAAGTGCTGGGATCACAGGTGGGAGCCACTGTGCCTGGCCAGTTATTTCCTTTTTAAGCCTATTTCCTATCCATTTATAGCTACTACTGAAAATGACTACTGAATTTTATCAAATACCTTTTAAGCATACAGTCACATAATGATTTTTCTCTTCTAATTTGTTGGCATAATAAATTACTAAATTTTCTTGAGCCATCCTTGCATTCTTAATAAACTTAATTGCAGACTGCTGTATCAATATATTATTGGTTCTTTTTAGCTAATAGTATAGTTTGAATTTTCACATCTATAGTCAAAAGAAAAATAGGTCTTTTTAAATTTGTTTTTTCTATTTGGGTCATATTACTTTCAAAAAATGAGTATGGGAACTAATTGGGAAACCTAGCTACTTTTTCTATGCTCTGAAATATTTTACATAATATAGCAATTCAGCATTTTTTGAAGGCTACCAAAATTCAGCTCCAAAAGCATCTAGATCAGGTTCTTTCTAGTGGTATATTTTAGTAATTTTTAAATATTTCATCTTATAGTCTGCAGGTTTTCTACCTCCTCTTCTGCAAATTTTGGTCTTTTGTATTTTGGTAAAATTGATCCATTTTTCCTATATTTTCACATGTATTACTTTAGAGTAGCATAAATTGTTCTCTATATAATTCTTTTATATCTTTAACTTTGGTTAATGCTTTCATTTGTACATTCATGTTTCCACCCACCTATTTACTAACTATTCAATCCCTTTACTCACCTATCCATTCACTCAACACATATGCAAATACCCAATCCCCACTCACCTATCCCTCCTTTCCTTCCACTGACACACTTTTCAACTTAGCTATTTGCCTACTCCATATGTCTATCCACTTACTTTTCTTACTCATCTTTCTTCTACAGACCCACTTGCCCATCTAGCCTTTAATTCATCTTCCTATTATTGACCTCTCTCTTCCCCCTTTCTCTGCACACACACACATGCACACACTCTTTCATACCCATCAAAATACATATTCATCATTTCTATACCTAACTCCCTCCATCCCCCTACCAATGCACTCTTCCACCTTTCATTCAAACAGCCTCCATCAATAGGCCCACATATCCCATCACTACCCTATCCATCTTTATATTCAATCCAATCCACTTATTCACCCAATCATCCACCCATCCATAATCCATGCATTCATGTACCCAAACATCCATGCTTTCCTCACTAATCCCTCTCCCTGCTCAACCATCTTCCCACTTATCACACTCTACCAGCCACCCATCCATCCACATAGCTACCTACCTATTCACACACCTACCAATCCCCCCCACCTACCTTGCTCTTCCAGCAAGATGTACTGAGTGTTTATTTGGGGCCTATTCATGTTTTAAGCACTGCGTTCTAGACACAGACCTGTTTAATGGAGTTCAGAGCTTACTTGGGGGAGCAAACATGTAACTTAGTAATAGAGTTAGAGGCAGAGGGAACAACATAGGAAGCCAGTGACAGAGAATCAGTCCATGTGACAGATCTTGGGCTAATGAAAAAGCAGGAGGTGCCAGGTAGAGGCTGATCTTGTTGGTTCTCGTTGGAGTCCCCTGTTCTAAGCACAGGATTGTTCCTGGGAGAGAATTGGCCTGGAGGCAGAGGTAGGGCACCATGCCCTCAATGAGAAAGGATGAAGAAAGGAGAGGCAAAACCCCAGGTGGGTCCTTACCCAGCCTTCTCCAAGAAATTATTGGAGAGAAGGGGCCAAAACCATGATTTATCCCAAGTCCCAAAGACATAAATTTTATTTCACCTGCTTGGAAAGTGAGATGCTTGGATGGGCCTGAAAATTAGGCAAGACAGAATGGAATGAAGCAACCAGAAAGATAGTTAATTTATTTTCAATAAAATTTACGAAAAAATGCAGCCTTAATTGGGGACCCTGGGTACCATTTAGAAATTTACTGACTTTGGTGAGCCAAGTTTGCGCCACTGCACTCCAGCCTGGGTGACAGAGTGAGACTCCGTTTCAAAAAAAAAAAAAGAAATTTACTGACTTTCACTTTGTGGGTGTTCAGCCTCTGTCTCCACTAAAGACATTACTTCATTCCTTTAGACTCACCCTTCCTCTCTACCTTCAACTCTACAAGAAAATATTATATCCACACCAACATCAAAACATGCCCTGGTGTCCTCTGGCAAGAACTTGTGTGCTCAGCTCCCTCTTAATCTTATTTCTGACACTCACTTGCTGGGTGACATTTAGTCAGCATCCTCACTTCTCTGGGCCTTATGATTCCCATCTATAAATTGAGAAATAGGGCTTGATGGTCCCTCAGAGCCCTTCCACTTAGATATTCCAGTTTTCACTCTCTCCTGGGCTGAGTTTGTGAGAATATGGGAAATGAAATGAGTGAAACAGCACTGCTTACGACGTCTTACTCATTCATTAGAAATTCTAGCCAGGCACGGTGGCTCATGCCTGTAATCCCAACACTTTGGGAGGCTTAGGTGGGCAAATTGCTTGAGGCCAGGAGGTGGAGACCAGCCTGGCCAAGGGCGATACGTCATCTCTACTAAATATACAAAAATTAGCTGTGCATGGTGGTGCATGCCTGTAATCCCAGCTACTTGGGAGGTCGAGGCACGAATTGCTTGAACCGGGAAGGTGGAGATTGCAGTGAGCCGAGATTGTGCCACTGCACTCCAGCCTGGATGACAGAGCAAGAATGTTTTTAAAGAAAAAAAAGAAAAGAAAAGAAAAGAAAGGAAAGGAAAGGAAAGGAAAGGAGAAGAGAAGAGAAGAGGAAAGGAAAGGAAAGGAAAGGAAAAGAGAAGAAAAGAAAAGAAGAAAAAAGAAAAGAAAAATTTGATTCGGTAGTCTCTTCAAGTGAGATTGTCAAGTTGGTGGCATGGGATTCTTACGGCGGCTGTCTGTGATCCTAAATTTTGTGACCATATAGTCACTCTCTGATAATAAGGCTGTCTTTGTCTGGCCTCTGTCTGTCATGTAGGAAAATTTGGAGAACAAACTTGGCCCAAAAGGGTAACTCCTAGTTAGAGAAGAAAACGGGAGCCCTCGGGATAACATTTACTCTGTAAAGAGTGTCTCTCTTCTTCCCAGGACTGGCTGAGTGGCCAGTGTAGATTCCATGGCTGTAGGAAAGGAAAGCTGTCCAAGTTCCCCAGCACCTCTTTCCCACAGCTCCTCTAGCAGCCCAGTTAGAATCCCCAAAGTCTGCTGTGTTACTGAACTTTATTCCACTGCAGTCTCCCAGGCAAGTCCCTTCACTTCATAGTTCCTCAGACATCAAGGAGCTGGCAGTGATGATAAAGGCTCCCTCTAAGCTCTGATATCCTCTCTTGCTCTCAGAGCAACAAAACTTTGAGAAACATTCTCTGAAGACTCTGCTATCAGCCTGATTCCTCCCCTACACCCTGCTCTGTGGCAAATCTGTATTCTTTGGCCTTAGTCAACGAATATGAGTGAACCAAAGATACAATAAAAGACAGAAGGATGGGAGGAAACTGTGGGAGAGGGAGAAAGGAACACAGAGACCATGGGGAAAGAGAAACAGTAGACTTAGGCACAGAGAGGCACAGATAAACAATGAGATACCAAGAGACCGACAGAGACACATTGTCAGAGACAAGCAGAAGGAGTGTGCTAGTAAGTGTGCACGTACGATGGAAAATGAATGAAGAATGAGGACATTCCACCACTCTCCAAGTTATCAAGATGAAGACCCAAGATGGTGGCATTCACTCTGAAGGTAGCCTGGAAAGTGGGAGACACGCTTTGCCCACTCCCTGTGGTTGACTAGAGCCCCCAGCCCAGTGCAGCCTAGGGGTGTAAGGATCAAGATCCATTCAATAAGAGACCCTTCCTCCCAAGCTGTGAGCTGTGGGTGCCAGTTAGTCCCATTTGTGACCTTGGGAACTTAGTGTTCCCAGCAAGAAAGGGGGTGGCTGGCTTGTCTCCAGTTCTTATATCCAAGGTGCAGCAGCTGAGCATTCCAAATTCGGGAACCACCAGAAAGGCTGGCCTCTCTTCAACATGGGATCTTCTGGACTTTTGAGCCTCCTGGTGCTATTCGTCCTCTTAGCGAATGTCCAGGGACCTGGTCTGACTGATTGGTTATTTCCCAGTAAGTATTGGCCTCAGCCCTTACCCTAGAGAGAGGGGAGTTTGCTGGGAGGAAGGAACAGGGAAGAACTCTTCAGATGTGGGTTGCTTTCCACCATCTTAGCCCAGGTCCCGGGTTGGGAGAGGAGAGAGATATTTGTAAGATCCCTCCTGTGTAAGATTCCTTCTGGGAATGCAGTAACCCCAACTTAGGCAATCCCCACTTTCAGCTCCTTTGAAGTGGAGGGTCTTTATCAAGCAGGTGGAGGAGAGTCACAGGATCTAGCTTTCAGGGGAGTCGCTACAGGAATCCGGGAAACCAAGGGACCTTCTCCTTACCCCACAAGCAAAACAGGCCCCTTCCTTGAGGCATCATCTCTATCCACTCTTGGTTCTTTCAAATGTAGTCCCATAAAGTGTCCCTGTATCCCTAGGGGTTCCCTAACTTTGAGATAAAGGACAGCATCCAGAAGTCTCTTTAAACTTAAGACACATTAGTTGTGGAATATTAATTCCATGACTATAATGTAACAATGATCATTGGTATCATTTGCTGAACACTCAGGAAGTAAGGATTTCTGAAAAGGGATTTCTAAAACAACAGAGGGATCTGGAATCAGACTTAGTGGGTTCAAATCTTGGTAGCCCTGTAATCTTGGGCAAGTTACTTAAATTTCATGGGTCTCAGTTTCCGCATGTGTAAAATGGGGATATTAATAGAACTTCCTTCATAGAGCAATTATAAAGATTAAATGAGATCATACATTTAAAATGCTTAGAAGAGTGCTCGGCTTATGGTAAATACTTAGCAAATGTTAGATAATATGACTGTGCATCAGTTACTTTGATTAGGGCTTTATATACTTTGTCTCATTGTTTTCTCACAAAATCCGTAAGGGCAAAATGATTTTACAGATGATGAAACCAAGGTTCAGAGAGGGTCAGAATTCAGACCAAGTCAGAATTCAAAATCTAAACTGGCTCCGGGGTAAGTGATACTAATTGCTGTATAATACTACCACCTAGAGGAACTTCCAAACATGGATTCCTCAACAAGGCCAAAAAGACCGCATTGGCTTACATCAGTGGCCCACAATGGTGTGATTTTGCCTTCCAGGGGACCTTTGCAGTGCCTGGAGACATTTTCAGTTGTTACAATCAGGGGTGCTACTGGATTCTGATGGGAAGAGGCCTGGGATGCTGCTAAACATCCTACAATCCCCAGTTCAGCCCCCCAAACAAAGAATTATCCAGCCCAAATATCACCAGTGGTTGAGAAATTCTGCCTTAGATGGGATGGAGCTGGGGGGTGGGAATAGAGGGAGGAGAGGTCACTGGGGAGTGGTGGGGGTGTAGGCAGTAGGGAAATGAGTGAGGCTGCCCTGAGGAAAAGAACTCCTGGGGGCAAGCAAACTGAAAGCAAACTTCCCTGACTCTCTAGAATTGCCTTGTGTCTGGCAAAGTGGGGAGACACTATGCTCTCTAAGGCACACGGGTGTAAAACCGCTCTTTCCCTAGGGAGATGTCCCAAAATCAGAGAAGAATGTGAATTCCAAGAAAGGGATGTGTGTACAAAGGACAGACAATGCCAGGACAACAAGAAGTGTTGTGTCTTCAGCTGCGGAAAAAAATGTTTAGATCTCAAACAAGGTAATATTCAGAGCTGCAGAATAACCAACCCCTCCTCCCCCTGTCCTCACCTTCTGCCTTCCTGGACTGGCTTTGTGCCCTGATCGCTGAGGGCTGGTCTCTGGCAAAACTGCTGGACTTGGGAGACCTGCGATTTAGATTCATTACTGTGCCAAATATGGTGTGTGCCATTAGGAATGACCTTATCCTATCAGGTAATGTCTGAGACTCAGTTTCCCAGAACAAATCATTGGTGAATCAGTGGCATTGAATCAGATTCTTTTGGCTATTTGGATACCTGTCACTCTTATAATTTTTTGAGCTCCCAGGTGGCCATCGTTGCCCTAACATATGCTGCAAGTGATAAATTAAGCAATTTATATTTCCCAACTTTTTTGCTATGGAGTGACCACCTCTCTGCCTACACAAATCCAACTTTGCACCAAAACGCCTCTCCTGACTGCTCCAGAACAGAGGGTTTCTCCTTTCTGCTGCATCTTAGTTTCATGCCCATCACCCTGGGATGCAAAAAGACTATCAAAGATTCTGTTTTTATTCATTCAACAAATACTGATTGAGTGCCTCTGAGACCCACAATAGGATTTGGTCTCAGTGTGGTCAGGGGGGTTGGGATTGCCTTCTTTGAGAAAGAAAATCTGGGGTTGAGTTGAGAAAGATGGGTAATGTTTTAGGCAAAAAGTGGGTGGAGGGGTTTTCCAGGCACAGGCAGTAGCATGCACAAAGGCTCAGTGGTGGGGCCTTGGGAGTCCAGAACGCAGAGTGAGCACGAGCATGGTACAAGGAAAACAGATTCTGGGTGGGCAGAGATCAAACAATTCAGGTATGGTGGGCCAGATTAAAGAGTCTTGCCTGGATCCCAAGGGCTATGGCAATCCACCGAGGCGGGGCATCATATGACCAGGTTCATACTACATCTATCGAGTTTAAAATAGGAGGAACAGAGTATCTTAAAGGACTTCAAGATGATAGAAATGGTGGCCGGAACTAGAGGTAGCTGAGGGGATGAAGAAGAGTAGGACCTGCTTGAAAGAAAGAGTAGGACATAGGAGGCAAAGTGAACAGGACTTGACAGAGAAGTAGAGTGGGCAGGTTAGGGGGCTAAGTCACTCATATGCCAGCAGGTAAGGATTCTGAATTCAGCCATCCTGAGTTCAACTCTTACCTCCAGTTTTTACGAGCCTTTTTGTCTTGGATAAATTAACAACTTTCCCTCACTGTGAGTCAGTTTCCTCAGATAATAAAAGGATCAGTGTAAAAGATTATTTTGAGGATCCAATTGATCTGCATGATGTGATTAGAGTTATGCCTGGCACACAGTAGCCACCTGATACCTATTCGCTTATTTGTAATTCTTGGCTAAGGGCTCCTAAATAGCAGAGATCATGCCTTTTCTCTGTTCCTTGAAGCATTGAGCACATAATAGGTGCTCAATGAATAATTTATTCAGTTCAGATCAGGATACATTTCGTTTATCCTCAACGTTCCATAAGGTTCTGTACTGTGCCAGGCTACCTGTTAGGAATTGGGATGCCAAGATGAAAGCAGATACACTAGAAACTCACTCCCTGCTCACTAGAAACTCACAGCCTCAGGGATGAGACTGAAGATATAAACAAATGAAAAATGAATGCACAAGACTCTGAAGCAAGGTGTGGCAGTGAGGAATGTAGAATGGGGTCAAGAGTGACATCACAGCAGTTGATGTCTGAGAAAGGTTTTGAAGTAAGAAGAGTGTCACTGTGAGCAGTGCAAAGGGATGGAGGTATAGAGGTAGCACGGTGTGTTGAGTACTGCTGGAGCATGTGGCTCAAAGGGGTTCTGCGGCAGGAGAGGAGGCCAGCGTCACAGTAGGAGCCAGACAATGAAGGGCCTTGTGGGTCATGGGAGGACATTGTCATAGAGTGAAGGTAGGTCTTCTCTGTGCAATGACATGATAAGCCTGGCTCTCAGATCCATCAGATCCTTCTCTCTGGTGGGAAGCATGAAGGATTGATTGGAGGGGCCAGGAATGGAGGCAGGGGGATCAATCTGAGGTCACCTCAACAGTCCAGGCATGAGACACTGAGGCTTATATTAAAGAGACTGGCAGAGAGGTGAGCTATTAGGAGGTAAAAATCAACAGGATCTAATTGTTTAGCAGTGGAGATTTACCCAAATGGAACTGTGTAAGCATTATTTAGTTGGGACCTGCATTTGTTTGGTAGAGTTGCTATAACAAAGCACCACTGACTGGGAGTCTTAAACAACAGAAATGTATTGTCTCACAGTTCCTCAGGCTAGAAGTCCGAGATCAAGGTGTCAGCATGGTTGGTTCCTTGTCAGGGTTATGGGGAAGAAGCATGTTCCATTGCTCTCCCCTGGCTTCTGGTGCTTTGCTGGCAATCTTTGGTGTTCTTTGGCTTGTAGACACATCACCCCGATCTCTGCCTTCACATTCATATGGTGTTCTCACAGTGTGTGTGCCTCTGTCCAAATTAACCTGTTTGTATAAGGACACCAGTCATATTGGTATAGGGGCCCACCCTATTTTGGTCTGACCTCATTTTAGCTAATTACACCTGCAACAACCCTATCTCCAGGGATGCAGATGCCCACTCTGGGGTCTCCTTGCAAATGTGTGCAATATGTCAGTGGAGCTGTGCTCCTGCCATGTGATAAGAGAAAAGGAGCCTACTCCAGTTTCTTCTATAGCAGTTGCCAGGGAGAATAATAACAACTGTTTATTTCTGGAGTGGGCACACTGAGTTTTCAACTCTGGAGTCTCTCTGCAGATGTATGCGAAATGCCAAAAGAAACTGGCCCCTGCCTGGCTTATTTTCTTCATTGGTGGTATGACAAGAAAGATAATACTTGCTCCATGTTTGTCTATGGTGGCTGCCAGGGAAACAATAACAACTTCCAATCCAAAGCCAACTGCCTGAACACCTGCAAGAATAAACGTAAGTCCTAGGGGCCCCGGTCTTTCATCCTCTCCAGTCCCATGCCGGGAGGTCTGGGTGTTGGCTGGTCCATTCCAGGACAGCTACATCTTTGGCAGACCTGGTGCTGACAGAACCAGCTCTGATCAGGAGGTAAGAATGCACCTGGCAAAAGGCAAGACAAAGTTACTTTCTGAGTATGAGGAACTGAGGATGAGAAGGGATGTAGAAGTAATCAATGCTGGCAAGTATGAGGGGAATTAGGAGGGGTGGAGGAAGGGTGTAGAAGTGGTGAAATCTCAGAGATGAATTGCAGAAGAGGCACAGGACGCTAAACTTAAGACACGTTGACCAACCAACCCTTCTAAGCCATCAATGTCTCAACACAACTCTTTGGCAGCGATTCACTCCTATTTGTTTTTCCTTGAAGGAGATGGAGAGCTCCCCAAAGCAAACCCACTACTTTTTAGTGTCTTTCTGTGCAAAGATGTATAAACATAACTTCAAGCTCCAAAGATGAGCTGAACCCAAGATGCTCAGCTGTTTCTGTCCTACGTTCTCTGCAGGCTTTCCCTGATTGGATAAGGATGCACTGGAAGAACTGCCAGAATGTGGCTCATGCTCTGAGTACTGTTCCTGTACCTGACGGATGCTCCAGACTGGCTTCCAGTTTCACTCTCAGCATTCCAAGATCTTAGCCCTTCCCAGAACAGAACGCTTGCATCTACCTCCTCTTCCTCCATCTTTGGCTCTTTTGATGCACAATATCCATCCGTTTTGATTTCATCTTTATGTCCCCTTTATCTCCAACTTCTAGAACTCCCAGTTTATACCTGTGTCACTCTCAATTTTTTCCAGTAAAGTACTTGATGTAGTCCTGTGCCTTGAGGCTGAGTGATTGACATCTTTTTGGCACATTACACTTTGCAGAGTAAGGGATCATTGAGGCTTCTGGTGACATCATTCAAGGGAGTGAAGACAATCAGAACTTTGAGAGTTCAGAGTTCCAGGAATATTGTTATTGTTATCTTCCTCTGTTTCTACAAAAGATTGTAAAACCCTTTTTAGGCAAGGGCCCAAGGACAGTGCCTTAGTTTGGATCCTCTAGAAACTAACCCTGGGAAAAGGGCATGGGTGCAGGTAGTTTGTTTGAGAGATTTCCCAGGACATACAAGATGGGGAGTGAGATGAGTAATTCAGGGAAGAGAAGGGAAGAGAGAAGAGTCTATTATGAGCTGGTTACTACTGTGGCTCAATCCTATTGGGGACCTTTTAAAGAATCATGTAAAACAGGCTTACAAATTTTCTTTTTAAAAATATTTTATTTTATTTTACGTTCCGGGATACATGTGCAGGACCTGCAGGTTTGTTACATAGGTAAGCCTGTGCCATGGTGGTTTGCTGCACCTATCAACCCATTACCTGGGTATTAAGCCCCGCATGCATTAGCTATTTATCCTGATGCTTTCCCTCCCCCTGCCCCCTCAACAGTCCACGTGTTCTCATTGTTCATCTCCCACTTGCAAGTGAGAACATGTGGTATTTACTTTTGTTCCTGCGTTACTTTGCTGAGGATAACGGCTTCCAGCTTCATCCATGTCCCTGCAAAGGACGTGATCTCATTTCTTTTTATGGCTGCATAGTATTCCATGGCATATATGTACCACATTTTCTTTATCCAGCCTATCGTTGATGGATATTTGGTTTGATTCCATGTTTTTGCTATTGTAAATAGTGCTGCAGTGAACATACACATGCATGTATCTTTATAAAAGAATGATTTATATTCCTTTGAGTGTATACCCAGTAATGGGATTGCTGGGTCAAATGGTATTTCTGGTTCTAGATCTTTCAGGAATTGGCACACTCTCTTCCACAATGGTTGAACCAATTTACATTCCCAACAGTGTAAAAGCATTCATGTTTCTCCACAGCTTTACCAGCATCTGTTGTTTCTGGACTTTTTAATAATCACCATTCTGACTGGCATGAGATGGTATCTCATTGTGGTTTTGATTTGCATTTCTCTGATGATCACTGGTGTTGAGCTTTTTTTCATATGTTTGTTGGCCGCATAAATGTCTTCTTTTGAGAAGTGTCTGTTCATGTCCTTTGCCCACTTTTCAATGGGGTTGTTTGTTTTTTTTCTTGTAAATTTGTTTAAGTTCCTTGTAGATTCTGGATATCAGACCACAAATTTTCTTAATCTGTCTCCAGTGATGGGAAAGCTAAGCTATTTGTCCACTGATTCCCAACGCCCACTGGATGCCAGGGATACTAAATCCCTCGCTCTTTCAAACTGTTATACTTGCAAGCTATACAAGCTCCCTGGGGGCCAGAGAAAACCCACAGCAGAAAATTAGGGACTGATGCTAGAGGTAGGAGGCTGTCAATGTGCATTGGCTATTATTCGGCCATAAAAAGGAATGAACTTCTCACTCACCACTGATGACATGCCTTGCTGCACACACACCCTGCTGCCACCCTGCAGAAATGCTTCCATTACCCACAGTCCTTTGCCAGATGGAACTGATGCCCAGGTAACTGGCTCCTCACCTCCTTCGGGCTTATACCAAGGATATAAAACTTGGTACAGATGCTCAAGCGTTAATGCTTCAGGGTGTGACTTTTAATCCAATGCTGTAGCTGTGACAACAGGGAAAAACGGAGAACAGAGTTGGAGAAGTCCCAAAGTAATGAAAGAAGTTATTTACTGTTGCAAAATCAAACGACTTAAAGGATAAATGTAACTGATCTTTACATACGAAAGAAGAGAGAGGGAAGTGAAGGGCGGGGAGAAAGAGACTCAGACAGACAGAGACTCCCTGAGAAAAAGACAGGCACAGAGTAAAAGACATACAGATGCACAGAAAAGAGAAGAAACAGAGTGAGAAAAATAAAACATAAGAATAGACATGTCAGGAGAAGAGTGAAATTAGAAAGAAGGAAGAGAGCTAGCATACTGTTAACCTGCAAACTCCCCCTGGGAAATGGAAGACTCTGGAGTTAAACCTCCCCTTCTGCTAAGGGAGCCTGGAAAGCCCAAGACAACATGTGCCCTCTTTCCCTGGTAGACCAGAAAGCCTCAGATTGCTGAGGATTAGGAGCCACCTATCCCCCAGTGTAGGTACCAGGTAGTCCCACTGATGGCCTCAGGGATCTGGTGTTCCTGATCGGGGAGTCTGGCTGGCTTGTCTCCAGGGCTGTCTCTTAAGGTGCTGGGCCACACCGGGGCAGGCAAAGTGCAGATGTAGGAGCTGCTGAGGAGCAGTTCTTAGTTTTGGTGCCATCAACCAGGCCAGTACTTCCTAAAATGGGACTCTCAGGACTTCTGCCAATCCTGGTACCATTCATCCTTTTGGGGGACATCCAGGAACCTGGGCACGCTGAAGGCATCCTTGGCAGTAAGTATTGGGAACTCCGTCCTTGCAATGGGGAAAGGAAACTCAGTGGGGAGGAAGGAACAAAGAATAATTTTGCAGCTGAGAAATTATTTTCTCCACCTCTGCCTGGAATTCCAGGTGGGAAAGAGGGGAGCTATTTGAAGTCTCTTGGTAAGAGACTCCCTTGGTGAATACAGGCATCCAAATCTGTGGCAAGTGACTCCTTGCTGCCATTCCAAAGAGTTCTTCCTGGAGGTGCCTGGACCTAGAGCTCATGAAATGAACTAAGAAGGAGTAGTAAGCCCAAGGAAGTCTCCCACAAGAAAAACAGGCTGCTCCCCACAACACCACCTGTGTCAACTTCCAAATGTTCTCATTGCAGCCCCCACACCCATACCCACAGAGGACCCTGGTCTTTGGGTTAAAGAATGGTCTCCAGAAGTCCCTTGGAATGCTGAAATGTGAAGACTCACAATTAGCAGCTAACTGTACTGGGCACTGAAAATTAGTGGTTGAAAGTGAGCACTCAGGAGCCACACATTGTAGGTTCAAACCTGGCTCCACCCCTGAGTAGCTGTGTGATCTTGGGCAAATTCACATAATCTCCTTATGCTTCCAATTCTTCTGTTTACAAAATGTGAATATTAAGAGTACTTACCCATAGATTTGTAATGAGGATTAAGGAGAAAAGGCAGCTCACAGTAAGTGCTTCATCCATATTACTCATTGTTACGTTACATTGCCCCAGGCAGTTTGACGATGGCTTGTCAAACTGTGTTGCTGGTTAGTCTTCAAAGCAACCCTATGGGCAAATGAGGAAATCAAGGCTCAGAGAGAGTGCCTGGCACACCAAGCGTCTCACAGAATTCAAAAGCCCAGCTATCTGATGCCAGAAATGTTAATCTCAATCATCGAGAGCCACAGCACCTCCTGGGGGAGCAACCAAGCACAGCAAGGCTGAGTGACCAGAACAGTCTTAGAGGAATGCGTCTTTCTCTCAGGAATCTCATAGATGGTGCGGGTAGGGGGTAGGGGTTGGTTTAGGCATCCGATGGTGAGTTGTTATGGGGTTGGGGATGTGAGCAGTGTTGTGAAATTCCTGAGCCCCCTGAGGGCCACTACCTTCTGGGGATAGGTGAAGTGGAAACAAAGTTCTCTAACTCTGGAGGGGTGCCCTGGTCTCGGGGAGGGGGAGCACTGGCTCCTTTAAGGCCTTGAGGGAATATATCTTCCCCTCCCTTAGAGCCGTGTCCCAAAATCAAAGTGGAATGCGAAGTGGAAGAAATAGACCAGTGTACCAAACCCAGAGATTGCCCAGAAAACATGAAGTGTTGCCCGTTCAGCCGTGGAAAGAAATGTTTAGACTTCAGAAAGGTAACTCAGATGCTTCCTAAATTACCCAGTGCCCTCACCTCCTATCTCCACCTGCACTGCACTACCTCTGTCTCCTAGTTCACTGATGGCTGGTCTCTGACCAAGAGTTTAGGTACATCTTCTACTTGACACAAATCTGCCAGTCCTGGACTTGGGAGACATGGATTTTATTTCATTTCTTCCTCTATTTTGGTAAGTGATGTGAACAATGTAGTTTTCCTTTCTGGGCCTCAGTTTCCCTTTCCATAAGACAGGTGTGGATAATGGACCACATGGTCTCTTGGCTACTCTTCAGTGATTCTCGAGATGCCAAGTAGTCACCAAAGTCTCATCAAATGCCAACATTGTGTCAGGTTATATGATAGCTATAAGAGACAGGTATATAATCTGTATTTCCTGGCTTTTTTCTCTAGGCCTCTCTGTCTACATAAATCCAGGATGCCTTCCCTGACCACCTTAGACCGCCTACACTCTTTCTTCTCTGCCCATATTATTGAGCTCTAAAGAAGATCATCAAGGACCATTCGTTCATTCTATTCATTCAACAAATATTGATTGGTGCCCCTGACACCCATGATGGGTTCCACTTGCTCATTGTGGCCAGGAAGGTCAGAAAAGTTTTTCTGGGAAAGAGATCCATGATTTAAGATCTGAAAGATGAGTACTTAGACCAAAAATGGGAAGAAATAGCCTTTCAGGCCAGATAATAGGATGTGCAAAGGCTCTGTGGCAGGAGGCAGGATGTTCAGGTCTAGAAAGGCTAGAAAGCAGAGAGTGAGCAAGAGACAAGAAACAGGAAACTGGTAGTGTATATTCAGGGCAACTTGAATCTGTATTCCCAAGTGGCCATCCTCAAGTTTTGGGGTCAAATAAATGCCCTACTTAATGATATTTTCTGAATCTTGTTACTTTAGGTTGACATACCTTTCAAGACAATAACTAGGTTTTCAGTGCTTTGATAAAACCTCAAATGTGTGGCCTTCCAGCCAGGCATCTGTGGTTTCATATTGTTTAAGCATTTGTTGCATCCCTATGGATTGCAGCTCTCTATAGGTTCGCTGTTGCTGAACCAAGAAATAAGGCATACACAGATTTCTAGAGAAATTGTAATTCTATAACAGATTTTCAGGAGATGAGGAAGGCTGGTATCTTTCAGAGTACAAAGTGATTTTGGAATTGAAAGAATTTCTTTGGGTTAAAGTTTGTCACTGACTTGTGTTCCTGAACCATGAAGCATGAATATGTGGGCTGAGAAATAGTTTCTCTTGATAAATAAACAAGTAACAAATTTTAAAAAGAGAGGAAGATGAAGCTGGGCTAGTTGGGGGAAGGAGAGCTGGTAAGGGATCTGGTCTTGATCCTAACAGCAATGGATTAACCTATGTTCAAATCCCTTACCATCTGTGTGGCCTCAAGAAAGTTATTTAGCCTCTCTAAACCTTAGTTTTCTCATCTGCATAATGAGAACAATGAGAGGACCTACTTTACAAGATTAAATGTTAATAGATGTCAACTACTAAGAACACTAATCAATGCTATAATTGTTGTTTTGTTGTGCTGACACTAATCAATGCTACAATTGTTGTTTTGTCGTGCTTCAGACCTGAGGTTCTAAAGAACTCTATTTGTACCTCATAGCACTATGGGCAAAATAATTGCTCAATAAATGCTTAAGATCAGGGTAGATTTGAGTTTTGGGTTTTTTTTTTTTTCTGTGAATACTCCTGAAGCATCCTCTCTATGCCAAATTACCTGCTAGAAACTGCTGTATCAAGATGGCATAAGATGCAATCCCCTCTCAAAAACCTCACATTCTCATGGAGGAATCAGAAAATATGAACAAGAAAGTAAATGGAAATGATAAATGTGTGTGCAAGACTGAGAAGCAACGAAGAAAAGCAAAGAGTAAAGAATGAATCCAGGAAAGACTGCATAAAAGAGTCAATGTCCGGAAAGGGTTTTAAAGAATGAACAAGAGTTCACTTAGCAAGAGGGGGCTGGATATGTCAGGCATGTGCAAAGGCACGGGGTGTGTAAGAAAGTGCTATTTTTAGAGCATAAGTTTGGGAAGTTGGGTGTTGGGGCAGCATAAGAAATAAAGCTGGAGAGGAGAAGGAGAAAATGGATTCTGAAGTCCCTCTGGGTTTGGTAGAACTTTATCCTGTGCCCAGCAGATCGGCCATTCTGGAAACCAATGTTGAGCAGATTGGAGAAGTCTTGGAGATCAGCTGGTGGCCTTTCATGGAGTCCTTGCAAAAGATAATTATGCTTGAATTAAGAAAGCAGCCGGAAGGAAATAAAGGAGAGCTATTTAGGAGGCAAAATCAGCCAGATTTAGTGTTCAGATGTTGGGGAGGCAAGGAAAAAGAAGCCATGTGATGTCACAGCTGCTCCTTCCAACAGCCCTGTTAGGCGAGCAGGTTGGGATTTTGTATTCTCATCTTACAGATGAGGAAGTCAAGGACCAGAGAGGTAAAATGAGTGGTCAGGGTTCACACTGAATTGGGAACAGAGCCCTGAGGCAAATTTGCTTCTCAGTGGAGACAAAGGGAATGGTGGCCAGAGAAGGGGAGAGATGGACATTCTCCAGGGAGACAGGCACCCAAACAGCTCTATTCTGCGATCTCCCTGCAGATATATGCAGTATGCCACAGGAGGCTGGCCCCTGCCTGGCCTCCATACCACACTGGTGGTACAATAAAAAAAACTAAGATCTGCTCCGAATTCATCTATGGCGGTAGCCAGGGGAACAATAACAACTTCCAAACTGAAGCTATCTGTCTGGTCACCTGCAAAAAATACCATAAGTCCCAGAGGTCCCGGTCTCCTGTGCTCACCAAGGCCACACTGGGAGGTCTGGGTGTTGGCTGGTCTATTCCAAGACCTGGGTGGCGCTGGGGATGACAAAACCAGCTCCAATGCAGAAGTATAAGTAGAAGGATATTTTGGGAAAGAGGGTGGGAAGGGAGGGATTAGTCAAAGGGATATTGGCAAGTATGAGGTGAGTAGTGGGTGTAGAGAGAAAACAGAAGTGGTGGAGTATCCCAGACCAGGTCAGACGGAAGCCCGGTAAACCCAGCCCAGCCCTGGGCACCATTCATCAGCCAATCATTATAGTCCTTTACTTCTCACTAAACCTTGTTGCTACTTCTCTTCCTTTGAAAGGTTATTTCTAACCAGGGCAACCACATACTTTATTGGCCAAACCAAATCACTTTTGAAAGTGTCTCAAGGTGAGGTGCCATTAATTATTACACTGAGACAACAGGCATAAACTGGGACTCTACTGGACAAGTCAGAACTCATGATCATTCTAGGAGCCCCCAAACTCACCTTCATTCCATTCCTGCCCAAAGATGTAAAAATGATCCCACCTCCTTTTTCCCATTAGGTGCAAGATTTGGTTCCTAATGTGGTCAGGGTCCAAGCATCTCACCCTTTATTCTTCTGCTTCACAGGTCAGCCTTACTTTATACCATAAGGAGGAGCTTGAATAACCTCCAGGATTTGGCTCATAATCCAGGCCTCTCTCCACGTGTGCCTGATTGATGCTCCAAATTGGCTTCCACGGGCCAAACCTTGGCTGTTCCAGAAACTGAACCCCAGGAATTGCTTACACACTTTCTTCCAGCGTAGCATCTCTTCAAACACAATGCTCTTCCCCTTGACCACTTCTCAGTATGAAACTCTATGTCTTCAACTTTCAGACCCCCCATTTATTTGTATGAAGGCTTCAGTTGCCTTAATAAAGTGCTCTGTGGGGTCCGATCTCTCCGAGGCTGAATAATTCACATCTGCAATATGCTGATATTGACATACACTCACATCTCTCTATATGCAATTTTCAGAGAACAAAAAGCCATTGCATTTTCTGGTGACACCAAAAAAGGGAGAGAGTATGAAAATCCTGCAAATTGAGAATGCTAGTGACATTGTTACTTTGGTAAAGTTGTCGTTAAGATGCTGAAGAATGGAGCCAGTGCAGATCCAGATTTTGTATGGTCTAAACCTGATAAATGAGGAGCTCCTTTAGAAACCAAGCACAGGCTGGGCACGGTGGCTCACGCCTGTAATCCCAGCACTTTGGGAGGCCAAGGAGGGCGGATCACCTGAGGTCAGGAGTTCAAGACCAGCCTGACCAACGTGGAGAAACACCATCTCTACTAAAAATACAAAATTAGCCAGGCGTGGTGGTGCATGCCTGTAATCCCAACTACTCGGGAGGCTGAGGCAGGAGAATTGTTTGAACCCAGGAGGCAAAAGTTGCAGTGAGCTGAGATTGCACCATTGCACTCCAGCCTGGGCAATAAGAACAAAACTCAAAAAAAAAAAAAAAAAAAAAAGAAAGAAAGAAAGAAAAGAAAAAAGAAAGAAACCAAGCACAAATGAGTACAAAAGAGAATATTATTTCAAATGAGGAGGGAAATTGCAACCAGCTGCAAATTTTTAAAGGCTGACAAACAGTAAAAATTGCACAAAACCCATATAAATTAATAATTCATTGTTTACATTTATGACCTCAATTCTGTAAAGCACTATTTCTGTGGAGAGAATGGAAAGATAACTTTTTATTTAATGTGGGGATCAAAATATGATATTTTAATTTTTATTATAGGTGAATTGGATAAAACATGTACCTGAATGCTTGAAGCCATGCTTGATGTCTGCAGTTCTGTTACAGGTTTGTGTCCTAGAAACACAGGAATTTTAATAAATTATCTTTTGTACAACTCTATTAAAAAAAGAAAAAATGCATGGTACATTTAAAATTGTACATATTGAATTATCAAGTATATGCTTACTACAAAAGAACTTCTGAACAGGCTTCCATAAGAGCTGATTTTTTTTTTCTAATTAAAATGTGATGTATCTGACCAGACTCAGTGGTTCATGCCTGTAATCCCAGCACTTTGGGAGGCCGAAGGGGGCAGATCACCTGATGTCAAGAGTTCAAGACCAGACTGGCCAACGTGGTGAAACCCCATCTCTACTAAAAATACAAGAAATTAGCCAGGTGTGGTGGTGCACACTTGTAGCCCCAGCTACTCAGGAGGCTGAGGCAGGAGAATTGCTTGAACCCGGGAGGTGGAGGTTGCAGTGAGCCAAGATCGTGCCATTGCACTCTAGCCTGGGCGGTGGAGTGAGACTCCATCTCAAAAAAAAAATTGATGTATCTGATATTTGAAAGAATGCTACACAGGCTTGTTTTCCTGGCTCCACACATTTCAAAACTTGTTTCTCCTCTACCACCCGCAACCTTCTTGGGCTAAGAACATTCATTTTACAGTGCAACCTCTAGTCCCATAACTTAGTGTCATAACATCAAGGGAATAGGCCCAGTAGAAAACAGGAGTATTATTTGCAGCTGCTTCTCCACCAGGACAGCTAGCAGCAACTTCCTACACATACAAATGACAGCTAACGACCTAAATATATTCTACTAACTCCAAAATAAATATATCCCCAACTCAACTTCCTTTTAATTTGCATGCCTAAAATGCTGGCAGTCGCCCAAACACCACCTGACCTAGGAGAAGTGTGACAGAGGGAAAGGTCAGAGTGGAAAGGGAAGGTGGATTGGCGATTATGGTTAGAATATCTTACTTTTGCAGATATTACAAGTCATCTGACCATGTAAACATATAGCTAGAAGCACTCCCAGAATCTTAAAAGGGGCTCGCTCGAGCGAGGACCCTGAGGCTTGGCTCCATCGACCTCATGGTAAGTCCGTCTCTGAAAGGGCTCATGGACTTGTTTACTGGAGTTGTAGTAAAGAAGACAGTTCCATAGTATGGTGCAGAAACTCCAAAATTGAAAATAGCTGGACAGGCATGAAAGGGGGAGATGGAGGAAAGCAGAGAAGAGTTAAAGAGGAAGGGAGAAGAAAGGGGTGAAGGAGGAAAAGACACTGGATGGTGTGACTGTTTTAAAGCAAGGTCCTAAAATTCTTTCACTCACCTTCCACCTAGAAGTGGGATCTATGTCCCCTCCTTTTGAATCTGAGAAAACTCTGTGACTGCTTTGACCAAGAGAATAAAGCAAAAATGATGCTATGTGACCTCCAAGGCTAAGCTAGAATAAGTGCAAGTCCCACTTGATCCTCTTATGTAGCTTGTTTGGGGGCAGTGGGAAACTGCCATGTAAGATGTCCAACTACTCTGAGAGAGGCCCATGCTAGAGAGACCCATGTGGGTGCTGTGATCAGCAGGCCCAGATAAGCTCTGACTGATAGCCAGCATCAATTTCAGCCATGCAAATGAGATGCCCAACCCAATAGAGCCTTCAGATGGCTGCAGCCCCAGCAGACATCTGACTGCAACCATGGGAAAGACCCTATAAAAGAACCACCAAGCAGATTGCTTCCCAGATGGCTGACCCACAATATAAAATGGTTGCTTTAAAGTGCTAAGTTTTCAGAAAATTTATTCACAGAATAGGTGATCAAAGATGGAAACGGGCTAGGAGCAGTGGCTCACAGCTGTAATCCCAGGCACTTTGGGAGTCCAAGGCAGGCAGATAACTTGAAGTCAGAAGTTCAAGACCAGCCTGGCCAAAACGGCAAAACCCTGTCTCTACTAAAAATACAAAAATTAGCCAGACATAGTGGCGGGCACCTGTAATACCACCTACTCGGGAGGCTGGGGCAGGAGAATCTCTTCAGCCCGGGAGGCGGAGGTTGCAGTGAGCTGAGATTGCGCCACTGCACTCCAGAGCGAGATTTGGTCTCAAAAAAAAAAAAAGAAAGAAAAAAAAGATGAAAAGGGAGTAGAAGGAAGGATAGGGAGAGAGAAAGAAGAAAGAGACACCCATAGGACTGGGCAAGATAAGAGGATGCCAGGCTTGAGAAGGGAACCTCACAACAGGCAGCTTGTCATCACAGCACACCAAGACTTGCTATCTCTTGTCAAATAAGTTTGTTGTTTAATATAACTTGGATCAAGGGGCTCTAAAGAGGCTGGAATTCATTTGCTGTTGATGCTGTTGCCATCTCTGCTTCCCTCTCTTTAGAAAGGGCTGGTAAAACTGATTGTAGAAAACTCTAAAGGCACTGCAAAAAAAGGTTAGAATTAATAAACAAATTTATTAAAGTTACAGGATACAAAATCAACATACAAAAATCAATAGCAACTTTATACACCAAGAACAATCTCATTTCCATCAGCGGCAACAACAACAAAACACTCAGTAATTAACTCAACCAAAGAAGTGAAAAACTTATGCATTGACAATTATAAAACATCGATGAAGGAAATTTAAAAGACACAAATAAATGAAAAGACATCCATGCTCATAGATTAGAAGAATCAATGTTGTCAAAATGTCCACACTACCCAAAGCAATCTACAGAGCACATGCAATTTCTGCCAAAATGCCAATGGCATTTTTTACAGAAACATAAAAAGCAATGCTAAAATTCATATGGAACCACAAAAGACCCCAAATTGCCAAAGGAATTTTGAAAAAGAACAGAGCTGTAAGCACCACATTTCCTGATGTCAAATTACATTGCAAAGCTAGAGTAATCAAAAGAGTGTGGTACTGGCATAAAAACAGAAAAGCAGACATACAGGCCAATGGAACAGAATAGAGAAGCCAGAACTAAGCCCACCCATTTATGGTCAATTGATCTTTGACGAGGGTGTCAAAAACACACAATAGGCAACAGAAGATCTCTTTAACAAATGGTGCTGGGAAAACTAGATATTCACATGCAAAAGAATGAAATTGGACCCCTATCCAATACCATATACAAAAGTCAACTTAAAATAGATTAAAGTCTTAAACATAAGACCTGAAACTAAAATTCTTTAAAAAGTCTTGAAGAGACATCTGCACTTCCAAGTTCATTGAAGCATTATTCATAATAGCAAAGATATGAAAAAAACCTAAATGTCATCAGCAGATAAATGAATTAAAAACTGTGGTGTGTGTATGCATACACACACATGTGTATACACACGTTATACATATATATACAACGTATATATACATTATACAATATATGTATACATTATATGTGTACACACACATGCAATAGTATTCATCCTTTAAAAAGTAGGAAATCCTGTCATTTGCCACAACACAGATGAATCCAAAGGACATCATGCTAAGTGAATTAAGCTGGACACAAAAAGACAAATATTGCCTGATCTTACTTATATGTGGAATCTAAGATAGCCAAACTTGGGCTAGGAGTGATGACTCATGCCTGTAATCCCAGCACATTGGGAGGCTGAGGCAGGAGGATTGCTTGACGCCAGGAGTTTGAGGCTACAGCCTGGGTGACAGAGTGAGTTCCTGTCAAATAAATAAATAAATAAATAAAATAGTCAAACTCATAGAAGCAGTGAGTAGAATGGTAATTACAAGGAGGATGGGGTGATGGGGTGGGGGAAGGAGAAAAATGAGAAAATATTGGTCAAAGGGTACAAAGTTTCCATTTCAGTTATGCAAGATAAATTAGTTCTGGAACCTAATGTACAGTATGGTGACTGCAATTAACAATACTGTATGGCATACCTGAAATTTGCTAAGAGGGTGGATCTTAAGTGTTCTCATCACACAAGAAAAGGTTAACTATGTAAGATGGTGTATATGTTAATTCACTTGAGTGTGGCGATCATTTTATACATTATCAATATAGGAAGTTGCACACCTTAAATATATACAATTCCTATTTGTCAATTATACCTCAATAAAGCTAGGGGGAGAAAAATAAAAACTTTTAGAAAAAGATAAAAGAAAAAATCATCTTTACATTGATTTTGGCAATTTTTTTTGGACATGACATCAAAATTACAAGCAACAAAAGCAAAAATAGACAAGTGGGATTATATCAAACTAAAATCTTCTGCACAGCAAAGGAAACAATCAACAAAATGAAAAGGCAAGCTACTGAGTAGGAAAAAATGTTTGCAAGCCATATATGCTGTAAAGAATTAATATCCAAAATACATAAATAACTCACACGACTACTATTCAAGAATACATATCAAGAATACAAGTAACCTGATTAACAAATGGACATCCAACAATTTTTGGGAAGCTGAAAAAAATGGGCAAGGAACCTAAATAGCCATTTCTCAAAAGAAAAAATTTAAATGGTCAACAGGTATATAAAAATGTGCTCAAGATCTCTAATCATCAGGAAAATGCAAATTAAAACTACAGTGAGATGTCACCACACCCCTGTTAAGATGGCTATCATAAAAAAGACAAAAGATAAGTGTTGTCAAGAATTTAGAAAAAGGGCACCCTTGGACACTATTGGTGGTGAGAATGTACATTGGTACAGCTACTTATGGAAAACAATATGGAAGATCCCAAAAAAATTAAAACTAAAACTACCATATGATCCAGAAATCCCCCCCAAAGGAATTGAAGTCAGGACTGAGAAGAGAAAGCTGTGCTCCCATGTTCACTGTGCGTTATTCACGGCAAGTCCAGAAACGACCTGAATGTCTGTTGACAGATGAAGGCCAACTATTGCAAGGACAAAAAACTAAACACCGCATGTTCTCACTCATAGGTGGGAATTGAACAATGAGAACACATGGACACAGGAAGGCGAACATCACACATCGGGGACTGTTGTGGGGTTTGGGGAGTGGGGAGGGATAGCATTAGGAGATATACCTAATGCTAAATGACGAGTTAATGGGTGCAGCACACCAACATGGCACATGTATACATATGTAACAAACCTGCACGTTGTGCACATGTACCCTAAAACTTAAAGTATAATAATAATGAAATTAAAAAAAAAGAGGAAAACCAAAAAAAAAAAAAAAAGAAAGAAAAAGGCTGGGCATGGTGGCTCTCGCCTGTAATCCCAGCAATTTGGGAGGCCAAGGTGGGAGGATTGCTTGAGCCCAGGAGCTTGAGACCAGCCTGGGCAACATAGAAAGACCCCCATCCCTACAACAAATTTAAAAAATTAGCTGGGCATAGTGGCACGTGTCTGTAGTCCCAGTTACTTGAGAGGCTGAGGCAGAACGATTGTTTGAGCCCAGGAGCCCCTAGGCTACAGTGAGCTATCATTGCGCCACTGCACTCCAGCCTGGGTGACAGAACAAAATTCTGTCTCAAATAAAATAAAATAAAATAAAATAAAATAAAATAAAATAAAATACACACATACATATTCAATGGGATAATATCAGCCTTAAAAAATAAAAAGGAAATGTTCCCATTTGGCACAGCATGAATGGAACTGCAGGACGTTATGATATGTGAAATAAGCAAGACAAAGAAAGAGAAATACTACATGATCTCACTTATATGTAGAATTTTTAAAAATTTACATTAAATTGACAGATAAAATCGTATGTATTTATTGTGTACAACATGATTTTTTCCCCTACATACTGCTTTTTCAAATAACATGTTTTGATACACACACACACACGCACACATTGTGGAATGGCTAAATCTAGCTAATTAACATATGCATTACTTCACTAAGTTATTTCTGTGGCAAGAACATTTAAAATCTACTCTCTTAGCATTTTTTAATAATACAGCTCCTAGATGCAGAGAGTAGGATGATGGTTGCCAGGGGCTGGTGGGAGGGGGAAATGGGGTAATCTTGATCAAAGGGGATAAAGTTTCAATCATACGACATGAATAAATTCTAGAGATACAATGTGCGGCATGGTAAGGATTGCTAACAATACTGTCTTGTATACTTAAATTTACCAAGAGAGTAGATCTTAAATCTTCTCAACACACACGTATACATACATGGTTAACTATGTAGAGATTATAGATATGCTAATTAGCTGGAATGTGGTGATCATTTCATAATGTATATGTATATCAAAATACCAAGTGGTACACCTTAAATGGATACTTTTTTATATGTCAATGATATTTTAATAAATCTGTTAAAAATTTTACAGCTAAGTCCAAATAATTACTGAGAAAAATGAGGTGGTTTTTTTTTTTTTTTTTTGAGACAGAGTCTCACTCTGTCACCAAGGCTGGAGTGCAATGGTACGATCTTGGCTCACTGCAACATCCGCCTCCCAGGTTCAAGCAATTCTCCTGTCTCAGCCTCCTGAGTAACTAGGATAACAGGCTTGTGCCAACCACGCCTGGCTAATTTTTGTGTTTTTAGTAGAGACGCAGTTTTACCATGTTGGTCAGGCTGGTCTCGAACTCCTGACCTCGTGATCCGCCCGCCTCAGCCTCCCAAAGTGTTGGGATTACAGGTGTGAGCCACCGTGCTCGGCCGAAAATGAGGTTTAATGCAATTGTTAGAAAGTAACTCCCCAAATAGACAAGACATAATGTTTTTAAAGTGTTTGCCACAGTATGAAAGAAGATCAATAGTATTCTGGAATATTCTGAGTGATTACAATAAAATTGTGACAAATGTCTTGCCATTAACAAAAGAAGTCTATGGTGCCTGTTTCTGGTGTAGAAGGAGAGTAGGTGAAGATGTTAGAATCCTTGGAAGTGGGAGGGTCAGGTCAGGGTCGTGATGAAGACCCTGAAAAGGCTGCTCATTTGGCAGTTTTGCAAAGTGTCTGTCCAGCCACATTGTCCCCATGTGTGGTATCTCCCCATGTTGACATTTGCTCTTGCCTCCATACCTCTGTGAGAATTGTTCTTTGCTCCCGGGAAGCCTATCCCAGTCCTGTGCATCCTTAAGATTCAGACCAAATTACTAACCAGTCATCTTTGGTCTGCATCCTATGGGAAGAGCACGTGTCTGGGAATAAAGAGATCCAAATCTGAATCCCAGCTTTACCCCTGGTTGAATGTATGCTGTGGTTGGAACAGGATAGGGTGGAGGGATGCTCCCCTTGGGGCCTCAGTTTTGCATTTCTAAGATGAAGACGATGGACTAATGATGTCAAAGTGTATTTCTAAATTTGAGAAAATACAGCAGCTCAAGGACTCTGCCAAATCTGATAAGCACCTAGTGCTTGTCCTTCTCACTGGCACTCTTCAATCCTTGATTGGGGTTGACATACATGAATGAATGGAACAGAATCATTCTGTCCCCGACACCCATGGACCAAAGAGGCCCTTGGAAATGTTCAGAATGTGCCGTGTGGTGAGCAGTATCTGATCACTGCTCTGCTCAAGAATGAACTCAAAGCCCTCAGGGCTGAGCACTGAGAACCCCTGCCTTGCAAGACCTCAGTGGGGCTGGAGTACGTTGGGTCTCTTTATCACTGACTGTTTGCTCATGACTCTGTCCATTAGATCCCAGAAGACATCTCAAGTGGAATCTTCAGGTGTTTCCCATGGTACCACGCATATCCAGGACCTCTCGTCTTCTTCTCCTTCTTCTCTCTTTGGAGCTGTCTCCAGAGCCAAAAATGCCCAGAGGAAGCTTAAATCATTTGGAAATGCAGGGAGTGTCTAAGCTGAGGGGCCTAGAAAACTCCAGCAGCCCCAATCCCTCTCTTTTTAAAAACACATACACAAATGGAAGCTTCTAGTAGGGGAAATGGACTTGTCTAAAATCACACAGCAAATGAGTAACAAAACTGGAGCTAACCAGGTCTGAAGGGTGGCAAAGTGTTGCCAGATCCCACAGACTAGTTGGAAATCAGGATGGATATAGTGACTATTTGTGATTTCGATTTTTAATATTCAGTACCTAAATCTAATTCCTACTAGGACTCCCTACTAGGGAAGTCTTGGTGGGAGTTAAAACCAGTATTCCCAGTATAAGAACTGAAAGAGCCAAGCTTTCACTCAGAGAGGATTTAATACTGAGAATTGGTTACATGAATATTAGAATCCCTCACTCCTAGATTTGGGAGTATAAAAGATTTGGGGTTACCAGAACCCAGGAGTTAAGACAAGGGGCCCAGGCACACATAGTGCTCACACCTCTGGGGGAACAGAGAGGTGGGAGCTGTGTGACTGGCACTCTTCTTCTAAAATTTCTGCAGCCAGGGTTGAGACCTCTGAGGGATCAAATGGTACTTGGTCCACTAGGTGGGGAGGCATGGCCAGCTGCATCTCTGAGGAGGTACCATGCAGCTGGTTTGAAGAACAAGAAGCATCCAGAGCCTGGAGGGGTAACTGCTTCCCCCACCACAGACTTGCCTGTGGCACTTCCTTGGCTCTCATCCCCCCAACCCCAGGGACTTTCATAAAGATATCAGTGGTGGTAGCAATGAGGATTGGGGTAAGTTGTCTTACCCAGAGGAAGAGAAGATCCAGCAAAACACTGTAGACCACACCCCTCTCAGGATCCAATTCCTTGCCAACACCTGCCTCTTGTCAGACCAGCTGCACTCCACAGCTGAATCATGGGGAAGGGAGAACTGAGCCCACCTAATTGTCATCGAGACCTGGGTTTTGTGTTTGGAGGGAAATTTCTACCCCCATTCAGTGAGCTTTACATTTCAAAATCAACAAGTACTGCTACCTGGGCTGTCCTAAGATATCTCAGATGTCATATAACAACAGCAGATGCTGAAGAAAATGGGCATGCATTTCAGTACTTGTTTAATACATTGTCTATCATTGATAAGCCACGGATTTCTTTTTTTAGCCAAATCACCTGAGGCAGTAGCTCACTAGTACCAGTACACCAAGAATTCAGATTCTAGAGCCTTCCCAAAAAACTAAACTTTATAAATAAATTAAGCTCCCAAGGTAAGTCTTTTTTGTAAATTCTATATAATGTTCCTTTTTAAAAAAATTTTACTGTGTATATTTAAAGTATACAACATGATTTTATAAGATCCAAGGTAATTCTGATGCCGTGTGAGTTTGGGAACTACTGGTCTAATACTCCTGATTTAATATCACATTCCTGAAAAGTATTATTAAATGTAGGTCACAAAACTTCTGATTCATCATAATTTTGCACATTCTTGCTTCCTTCTGCTATTAACTTTTATTCTAAAGACCCATCCTTCTTAATTTGCTATTTCTGCTAAGTATTGTCCAGTAGAGAGTGCATCATTCATGATTCATCATTTCTGTCCTTTTGCACAATTTTCTCTCCCTGCTACTGATTTCCTCTTTACTGCCTACTTTAGCATATTAATTCATCAAGCAAAATGAGCACATCTTCGGTGTTCTTTCAATTCAGCAGTAAAGTAAAAGGAGGACATGGAGAGGCCAAAAGTATGTTTAACTCCAATGTACTTTACTTTTCATGTCTAAGGAGTCTCCTCTTTTTCCCACAACTCCCTCCCCAGAGCTAATTCACTGAGAAACCTTGTCAAGTCAAGCTTCTCTCCCTCTTACTGTCAGCAAAGCTGACACTGAGCTCCTTACTGCCCCCAAAGCACTCACATGTGCTGGTCCACATGTGTGGATTCCCTTCACCTCAAATCTTCATCGCAGATCTTGTACTTAACTCTGTCATAGCTTTTATCATAATCTGTAGGTATGTATTTAATTGTGACATTATTCAATGTTTCTCTCCCCTCTAGACATTAGGCTCTACGAGGAAAAAGCGTTGTGCCTTTTTCTTACTAGTGCCTGACACAGGAGAGGTCTTCAATGGATATTTGTTGAATGAATGGAAATGCATCGTATAATAAAACACCCCTTAATGTGAAGGACCAAGGGGAGGGGCTGGTTACTGGAACAGAGATCTATATGGAAGGGGTATCCTGAAAGGAGCAAATTGAGGCATCCATGCAGACTGTGGAGACACAACCAGAGGAAGATGGGGAATAAATACCCAAACCTTAGTCCCAGTCTTTCCTCTAATCTCCCTCTGTGCCCCATGGGCTGGTTCCAAGGAGAAGCCAGAAAGCAAGATAACCGTTGATACAACCCATACATTTGGTTTTCTGAGGTATAAAGCAGGGCACAGAAGAGGGGGTAAGTAGGTTCAAAAGGGGAAAGAAAGAAATTCAAATCCATCCCTCAACATTCACTCTTGGGTTCTGTCCGCATGAAAAGTCCATGTCCCATTACGGGGTTGCATGAGTCCTCCTGGTCACCAAATCATTGTGGGTGTCAGTTGGTCACATACCCAAAAGCTAAAATGCTAGCCATCACCAATGTTCCTCATATTCAATTGTGGAAGAAGGGAGGAAAGAGACAACTAACATAAAACAGCGACTACAGACCCCCTCTGTGTGGCTGGTCATGAAGTTCAAGGTGATAACCATAGCTGCCTTCTCCTGGCATCCTTTCTATGTTTCCATTACCTTCTGCCAGTCAGATGGAGTGCTTCACCTGACGAGGTGATCCAAACTTTCATTCCTGTGCAGTCTGAGCCCTTCACAATCTTTCCTTTATGGGGTTCCCACAGTTTTTCATTGATCAAGACTATTGTACAAAGGAGTTCTAAGAGGTGCCAATGAATCCCTTGGGTTCTAGGTTGTGATGGTTAATCTTATGCATCAACTTGACTGGGCCCCAAAATATCCAGATTAAACATCATGTCTGGGTTTGTCTGTGAGGGTGTTTCCGGATGAGATGAGCATTTGAATTGGTGGACTCAGTAAAGTAGACGGCCCTCCTGAAAGTGGATGGGCATCATCCAATCCACTGAGACCTGAATAAAGCAAAAGATGGAAGAAAGAAAAATTTGTCCCGTCTTTCTGCCTCATTTCTTGAACTGGGACATCTCATGTCATCTTCTCCTGCCCTTGAACAAAGATTCACACCCTTGTCTCAGGTCTTCAGACTCAGACTAAATTACACCACCAACTTCCAACTTTCCTGGGTCTCCAGTTTGCAGATGACAGATCATGGGACTTTTTGACCTCCAGCCTACATAATTGCATGAGCCAATTACACACACACACACACACACACACACACACACACACACACACACACATAATCTTATATTGGCTCTGTTTCTCAGGAGAACTAGTATATAGACAAGCTTCCTTACCTCCACTGTATAGCAGCAACCCAATTTCCCCTTGGTTATCAGGATTAACCACCCATCTTGTGCAGTGACACCCTCCCCTTTCTCTCTTTTGATTAAGTGGTATGAAGAGCCAAAAATATCCAAGGGGCAGTGTTTGCTCTTAATTCTGCAAAATCCCAACAGTATTTTCCTGTGGAAGCATTCCTCCCTTGAGCACTAAGACCACCAATCCCACTAAGCCCAGGATTGGGAGGATGAGAGGCAAACATTCCTCTAGTGGGTTATTATTAGATGTGAAAGTCAGAGGAGAATCACTCTTAATCCTGGGCTAAAATTAGAATCATTTGGGGAGCTTTTAAAAAATATTGATGGGCAGTGTGTGGGCATGGGAAAGGGGGTGGGGAGGGAGGGAAAGAGGAAGGTAAGACAACAGATAAGGACCACTTCCATCAGGGACAGGTCAGTGTTTTGTTCTTACTAGAATAGATACTTACTCTGAACACTAATCTGCCCTCCCTGCATGGAACGCTTCTGCCAGAACTACCATCTGTAGACTTATGGAACGCCTTATCCACTGTCATAGTATTTCACACAGTGTTGTTTCTTATCAAGGAACTGATGTCACAGTAAAAAAAAAAAATTACAGCAATAGGCCCGTGCTCATGGAATTCACTGATCTTATTGTATTTCCCAGCATCCTGAAGCAGCTGGTTTGATAGTACCTTGCAGGACGGGGGGCAAGGTTTTCCTGCAGGCTGTAGATGCTCTGAATCAGCCTCCAATATATGGTACCCTTTCTCCCATAGTCAGGATTCATGTGCCCAGGAATAAAAGAGTGGAAATGGGAGTAGGCATTCCTCACTATTATCCCTGGTGACCCACTAGCAAAATTTTTGCTTCCTATTCCCATGATCTTATTCTATGCTTCCCTAGAAGTCTCAGTTCCAAAAGGAGGCCTGCTTTCACAAAGAGAACCAACAATGATTCCACTGAACTGAAAGTTAAGACTGTCATCTGGCCACTTTGGGCTCCTCCTGCCTCTGAATTAATAGGCAAAGAAAGGCATTACTATGTTGGCTGGGGTTATTGATCCAGACTACCAAGGGGGAAATTGAAGTACTGCACAATACAGGTAAAGGAAGAGTGTGTCCGGAATACGGAAGATTCCTTGGGGCAACTCTTAATATTACCATGCCCTTTGATTAAGGCCAATGGAAAACTACAACCCAACCCAGGCAGGACCATTAGCAAATGGCCCAAACCCTTCAAGAATGAAAGTTTGGGTCACTTGCCCAGGTAAAGAACAATGACCAGATGAGGTGCTTGCTGAAGGCAAAGGCAATACAGAATGGGTAGTGGGGAAAAGTAGTTATAAATACCAGCTATGACCACGTGACCATTACAGAAACAAAAACTGTAATTGTCATGAGTAGTCCTCCTTATTTTGTTATGAATATGGGTGTGTATTAAGCAAATATCTTTGTTTTCTTCCCTTTCCTATTTCCTTATTATGCAACATAAGATGTATTGACTTTATTTCATAGTACTTAAGTATTGTTCATTTTACATCATAGAATTTTAAGCTATGAGATATCAAGAGGAGTAAACGTCACTCAAAAACTATGTTCTCTTTGGGAAAGGGGTTGGTGTATTTCCATTGTCTGCAGGATAATTGTATCATGTTAGGTGGGATTATAACCTTGTAATAGTCTTTATTTTAAGATTAAGTATAGTCTAAGGAGATATGTATGGGTGCCAGGTTGACAAGTAATGGACTTGAGATGGCTAATTTTATGTATCATCTTGACTGGGCCATGGGGTGCCCAGATATTTGGTTAAACATTATCTCTGGGTTTGTCTGTAAGGATGTTTCTGGATGACATTGACATTTGAATTGGTAGACTGAGTAAAGCAGATTGCTCTCCCCAGTGTGGATGGGCCTTGACCAGTCTGTTGCAGGCCTGAATGAAATAAAAGTCTGAGTAAGAAATATATATTTTTTCTGCCTACCTGGCTTCAAGCTGAAACACTGGTTGTCTCCACACTCAGACTTGAACTGGAACTTATGCCATTGGCTCTCCTGGTTCTCAGGTCCTCAGACTCAGACTAGAGCTTGCATCATTGGCTCTCCCAGTTCTTAATCCCATGGACTTGTACTGGTGCTGTGCCATTGGTTTTCCTGGGTCTCCACCTTTCTGACTGCAGATCTTAGACTTATCATCCTCCACAATCATGTGAGCCAATTCCTTATAGTAAAAAGAATTTATATATATGTGTGTGTGTATATATATATATATCCCATTTTCAAAATGTTACCATTAGGGGAAACTAGGGAAACATTTCAAAATGTTAACATTAGGGGAAACCATATTATTTCTTACACCTGTACGTGAATTTATAATTATCTCAATAAAAATTTGAATTAAAGAAAATATAGGCAAAATAAAGACTTTCCCATATAAACAAAAACTGAGAGGAGGTGATGCTTCTCGTGGACTAGACTTTTTCCTTAAGACTGAAAGGATATGAGCCCAGATGGTAATTTGGATCCACAGGAAGGAATGAAAAACACCAGAAATGGTAAGTATGTAAATATAAAAGTGTGTATATGTGTATATAAGGGCATGTGTGTGTATGTGTGTGTGTGTGTATGTGGTCTTCTCTTGATTATAACAATGCTATAATAGACATAAATGTAATATATATGACAACAAAAGCACAAAGGAGGGGCAGGAAATAGAGCTATACTGGTGCAACGTTACTATATTTTACCAGAATTAAATGAATTGCCTGACATATGGTGCTCATAAGATGTTAGTCCCCTTCTTCCTTCTACAAAAGAGAAAGGTCATTTGGAGGTTAGAACCTGAAGGGTGAAACTTTATTCTTTCAAAATCCCACCCTTATTTACTTCCTCCTTCCTTAAACCAGCCAAATTAATGGGTCTCAATCAAAAGTAAGTTAATTGGGGCTGGGCTCGGTGGCGCTAGCCTGTAATCCCAGCACTTTGGGAGGCCGAGCTGGGTGGATCACTTGAGGTCAGGAGTTCGGGATCAGCCTGGCCAACACGGTGAAAGCCCGTCTCTACTAAAAATACAAAAATTAGCCAGGCGTGGTGGCACACGTCTGTAATCCCAGCTACTCGGGAGGCTGAGGCGGGGGAATCTCTTGAACCCAGGAGGTGGAGGCTGCAGTGAGCCAAGATCACGCCACTGAACTCCAGACTTCCAGACTGGGTGACAGAGCAAGACTCCATCTCAAAAAAAAAAAAAAAAAAAAAAAGTAGTAAGTGAATTGGAAGCGGAGCAGGGTTGAAATATTACCTATGGTGTACAGTATTCACTCTTCAGGCCCAGGCTTCACCACTGTGCAATATGTCCATGTAACAAACCTGCACATGTAGCTCCTGAATTTATTAAAGTTTTTAAAAAAATAATGTAATGATTTTTCACATACATGCACACACATATGGTTGACATAGGGTTAGTAAGATTCCTGCAATGAATATAAGTGCTAGATAACTAGCTAGGGCTGCCTTCTAGCTGCTCTAACGTGTTTTTAATAAATCTTACACTTGCCCTCCCCTTTCTGGAATTACAATAACACTGCCACCCAGATCTCCTGAGAAAGAGCCAATTCACTGAGTCATGACCAAAGATCCCCAGGGCAACCTGAGTACAGAATGAGCTTTTCAAGGGCCAGGTCCTGTTGCACCTTCCCACAAGGCCTGTTTGGCCAAACGAGTACAGACACACCTCATCAGGCACTGCCCCTCACTGCACTGGATCCTTATCATGCTGTTAATGTTGGAAATATTATTATAATTTTTTAAAAAAGTGTTTGTATCTATTGCTCTTCTGCAGGGTTTCCTAACCTTGGCAAGATTAACATTTGATGCCAAATGTGAGGGCTGTCCTGAGCAGTATAGGGTGTTTAGCAATATCTCTGCCTCAACACACTAGAAGCCAGTAGATGCCCCCAATCAAAAATGTCTCTAGACATTGCCGAGTGTCCTTGGGGGCAGTATCACTCCCTCCCCTGCTTTCCTGAATAGTACGTTTAAAGGCAGCTTCTCACTTCCTGATCCATTGCCCCAGAGGAGGCAACACTGCAGGAAGCTCTCAGCCAAGGATCATCAATAGGCGCCCCCGCCTTTCCTCTGCCTGCACAACAAGTGACAGTCTATTTATTTCTTCCTTCTATCATTATTTTGTTTTCTGATGAACAGATTTGATCACCCAAGAGGGCTAAGAAAGGCGATATCAAGGATAATGCTGGTGGACCCCTCAAAGTGCAAAAGAAGTTATACCAAAGAGATGTTGCAATGTAGGCTTCAGAAGTGCCTTCAAGGAAATAAATGTGGGGTAAACAGCAAAGATCAATAGATAATGAGAGGATCGACCAACAATTGTATAAGCTATAGTTAGAGAAAGCAATGGCCAAGGAATGAGTATCATGGTTCTAGGGAATTTAAAGAAAAGGAAGAGCTATAACTAATGTGCAAAGATGGGGAAAACATTTCTGTAGCAACTAAGTATGCTGCTGATCCAGTTAGCACCCCCATTTTCAAAAAGGCATCATTGCCACACACACACACGCATCCCTTGCAAAAGACATATACCTGTGTGTGCATTCACAATGTGTGAGGCATTTGAATATTTATTGAACACTTGCACCAATTCTGGGAAGTATGCTAAAGCAACATAATTAACCCCAATTTATAGATGAGAAAACTGAGGCTGGAAGACGTTAAATGACTTGCCCAGGTCAAGAGTAGCTGGACTTAAATCAACCCAAGTGTCCGTCACTGGATGGATAAAGAAAATGTGGTATGTATACACAATGGAATACTACTCAGCCTTTAAAAAGAAGGAAATCCTACCATTTGTGACAACGTGGATGAACCTGCAGGTTACGTGAAATAAGCCAGGGACAGAAAGACAAATACCAGGTGATCTCACTTACATGTGGAATCTAAAAAAGTTGAAGTCACAGAAGCAGAGAGTAGAATGGTGGATACCCGGGGCTGGGGGTGGGAAGTATTGGGAAGGTGCTGGTCAAAGGGTACAAAATTTCAGTTAGACAGACGGAATAAGTTGTAAAGACCTATTGCACAGCATGGTGACCGTAGTTAATAACATATTGTACACTTGAAAATTGCTAAGAGAGAAAATTTCTCTCTCTCTCTATATATATATACACACATATATTTCAAAACATCATATTGTACCTCATAAATATATAATGTTTCTCAACTTATGATGAGATTATAGCCTAATAAACCTAGCCTAAGTTGAAGATATCAGAAGTTGAAATGCATTTAATACACCTAACCTACCAAACATCATAGCTTAGCCTTACCTACCTTAAACTTGCTCAGAACACTTATACTAGTCTACAGTTGGGCAAAATCATCTAACACAAAGCCCCTTTTATAATGAAGTGTTGAATATCTAATGTAATTTATTGAATACTGTTCTAAAAGTGAACACAGAATGGTTGTATGGGTATTCCAAGTACTGTTTTTACTGACTGTGCATTGTGTTTGCACCATCATAAAGTCAAACACTGTAAGTCAAACCATTGTAAATTGGGGACTGCCTTTATACAATTTTTATTTCTCAATTAAAAATAAATAATAATAAATATATGATAGAATGCTTCTTGAAAAAGAATAGCTGGACCCATCACAACCTCAAATTTTAAATCTGAGGCTCACTAAATCTCCCTAAAGCATGCTGGCTTTGTCTTTCAAAAAAAATGGATCTCTAGAGAGTCAAGGAAAGGAGACAGTTGGAATGTGCTGGATTCTGGGGGTGTGTCTCTAGAGACCATGACCCTCTGAAGCAAACAAAGCTGGGCCCTCCTTCTACATGGTGCTTTTGATATTTCTATTAAAATATAATGAATCTGCTCCTCCTCCAAGTAGGTGACTGTTTCTGACTTCCAATGTGTTTGTGTGTGTTGTTGCCATAATTTCCTGGGAGCACCCAGATGGGATGGAGGCAGCATCTAATACTTTGCCTGGTGCAGTGTGGGTACTTGATGAATGTTTGTTGAATGAATGAGTGATACGAGGGCACTGAAGCAGACAGACCGGGGTCTCAGTCTTGTCTCTGAAACTTGCTGTCCATGTAACAATGGTCAAAGTAGCATAACCTCCTCTCATCTACAAAATGGGAGTGTTAGTGTTGTGGGATTCCCGTGTAGACTTAAGGGAAGCAATGTGTGAAAACTATTTTGCATGGTGCCTGGAAAAGGAAAGGTACTCAAAAATGGCTGCTGTCTTTTTATTATTGTGAAAAAGGCTTCCACCCTGAAGTGGTACTAAAGTAGCCTGGGTGGCCAGATCAGATAAGGCCAGGAGGAGAGAGGTGAAGCTGTGCTTTGGCTGAACACTCTGTTCCTGAGGCAGCCCAGCCCCATGAAAAGCCTGAGTTAAAGGTGAATGAGCTGGATGTGGGGCCAGGCTCCTCCCCTTGGTCCCTTTTCTCCCTAAAATGGCAACCCCAGGCTGAGCCACTGGCTGAGTGGCACCATGCAGCTTCAGGCCTCTCTCTCGTTTCTCCTGATTCTCACTCTCTGCCTAGAGCTTCGATCAGAACTAGCACGAGGTTGGTATGAAATGTGGGATCTCAAAGAATAGACTGGGAATCAGGCTGGGGGGCGGGGTGGTGGGGGAGGTGATGCAGCACAAACAGAGCCCATTTCTTACCTTACCGGATTGAGAGTCAATTCAGTTCAATTCACTTCATCAGACATATGTTGGGCACATAGTTATGTGCCAGGCACTGTCCTAGGTGCTGAGGTTAAAGCAAAGAGCCTGAGACCCTGCCTTTGTGAAATTAAGATGCTAATGGGAGAGAGACATACAATACCTAATACAAATGATAGATGATCAAAGTGCTATAGAAAATGAAATAAGTAAAGCAGGAAAAGGGGCCTTCAATGTCTGGGGTGGGGCTGGTGGCAGGCAAGGAGAGGTTGGGAAAAGGAGATCAGAGCCAGAATTTGAGAGTGAGGGACTTAGCCAAGTTAGATGCACTTGTCAGAAAAGGCTCCTTCCTGGACCACTTTCTCTGTGGAAGCTTGGAATCTGCAAATGGAAGTGGGGAGATGAAGTGCAGTTATAGCTAAGATAATCTGCTGGAAATGGGGATGGTAGGCAGCAGTTTCCAAGATTTTTAAGCAGCCAGTAGGATGCCCTGTATAAAAATGCATATTAGAATACACAAAAGGGTAAGAAAGAAGGTGAAAAATTATCAAAATCTTACCCTCTGGAGATTATCACTGTCAATGTGCCAGTGAACATTCTTGCATGTGCAAGCATAGTTCTCTGCATGTATGTACATGGAGCTATTAATGATAGATTCTTAGACATAAATGGAACTCTAAACCTCCCAATAACCTTATAGATGAGTGGTTCTCGAGTTTGTCCCCTAGTCTGACAGCAATAGCAGCAGCAGTATCAACTGGAAACATGCTAGTTCCCAGTCCCACCTGATCAGAAACTGTGGAGGTGGGTCTCTCTAACAAGCCTTCTAGATGATTCTGACGCATACTCAAGTTTGAAAATGTCTGCCATAAGTAAGAAGAATGTAGTGGTTTACAGTATGAGCATTCCTGGAGTCAGACACACCTGGGTTCTGGTCCAGGCTCCTCTACTTACAAACTCTGTGCCTCAGGAACATCATTTATAGCCTCTCTGAGCATCAGTTTCTTCTTCTATAAAAAAAGATTAACCATCTTTTCTGCTTTATTAATCAAATAGTCTGATGTATGTCAAGCTCTCAGTATAACTTAGCTCTTAATAGATTCTTGTAAAGCACTTAGAACAGCTTCTGTCACACTCAAAACACACACACAGGGTGTCATTATCTACTTTACATAAAAAAGAAGCAAGTCAAGTGATTTTCCTTTGGTTTAATGGAATGGAAGAGCAGAGAAGCAAGACTGAGAAAACTAAGAGCAGATGGGACTCCAGCCCCTACAGAGTCACCTGTAAGGGTCTAAGGGCCGATGATGCAGTGACTAGGATGTCTTAAGAACATGCCCCTCCACCTCCCACCTGGATTGAATAAGCTATTCTGCCTCTTCCCCATTCTCCTGCACCCTTAGCGTCAGCCTTGCAGGTAGGAGGATAAGACAGAGTCTGAACCTTTCCAAGCCCTAGGCTGCTGCCTGAAGTTCCACCATAGGTGTGATCATTCATCTGTGCATTCACTCATTTTACAACAACCAAGATGGATGGAGAACCTGCAAGCCTTTGCAGTCGAACCATGCTGGGTTTGATTCTTGGTCCTACTGCTTCCTAGCCTGACATTAGGACAGGTACTTCATTTATCTGGCCTTAGTTTCTTCACATAATGTTGGAAATTCTACTAGCTACCATGAAGAGTAAAACTGCCCACATGGTGACAGAAACATAAAAGGAGGGTACAAAGAAACTTTTAATCCTGCCCCAGAGGGGCTCAGTGGGGTGGTGGTGGTGGTTTTCTATTAACAAATATTTGCTAAGAACTGAGAACTAGGCCTGTGTTAGGCACTAAGGCTGCAGAAATGAGTACAATGAGGTCCCTCTTCTCAAGAGTCTTATTGGTTAAGAAATAGAATGATTAAGAGCAGCTACTATTTATTGATTTATTTTCTATTTATCAATGCTTTTCACTGGTAATCTCTAACCCTGCAATAAACCAAAAATGTGGATATTACACCTGCATTTTTGCAATGAAGGAAATTGAATGTCAAGGAGATAAGTCATTTGTCCAAGATCACATAGCTAGAAGATAATTGAGACAAGTTTGAACCCTCTCAGATTCAATCTTGCTCTCAGATTCAAAGTCTGTCCTCCTTCTCTCATAGGATATTGATTCTAGAATTGATTATGAGACAGGAGGTAGAAACCTGAGGATCTTTATTATCAAATCCTATAAAAGTAGATCTGGAAGGGAACTCAGAGATGATGTGGTTCAACTCCTTGATTTTACAAATGAAGAAATGGAGACATGAAGAAGTTAGGTTTATACAACATCACACAGTAGCAAGTGGCTGCGCGAGGATCTCAATCCACTTGAGTTATATTCTCAAGCCTATGATTATCACCACATCAGGCTACTCTCAGAAGTGAAAATGTCAACTTCTGTGTAGACAGATCAGACCATAGCTGGGTAGAAAGAGGTACAGAGCACAGCCATTGTGGATGGCCTCACAATTGTGCCCAGGGCTGTCACAGCCCCTGGCATATGAGGCAAACAAGGAGAAGGTGATGGGTTTGGTCTCCTTCAACCACTTTCTCTCTTCAGACACTATCAAGGATCTCCTCCCAAATGTATGCGCTTTTCCTATGGAAAAGGGCCCTTGTCAAACCTACATGACGCGATGGTTTTTCAACTTTGAAACTGGTGAATGTGAGTTATTTGCTTACGGAGGCTGCGGAGGCAACAGCAACAACTTTTTGAGGAAAGAAAAATGTGAGAAATTCTGCAAGTTCACCTGATTTTCTAACAAGAACACAGCCCTCCATGGATTCGGGATTGCTCTGAGGGCCATAGAAGGCATTTGCGTGTGTGTGTGTGTGTGTGTGTGAACAAGAGGTTCATTCCTCTACCCCCACATTTATTCTCCCTGATGTGCTCCTACAAGTGCTTCATCTCTGTGCCTGAAATTCTATAAATGTTGCAATCATGTTTACAATCTCAAGACCTCCTTTTTAAAACATACACGTACTTACAAATACACTGGGGAAATTTAGAGCAACCATTCACACCTTAGTATGAATTACTGCTTAACCCACTGGGAGATAAAGGTTTTGAAGGACAGAGAGGGTGGATTTGGAAATTCGGGTACAACATTGGAAGGGCCTACATTGGACAAGGAGGGGATTTCTGGTCTTGTGAAATAAGAAACAAGGAAACAACAGAAACCAGGGAAGAAAGGGGAGCTGGGGAGAAACTGAAGATGTTAAGGACACTTTTAATTAAAAAAAAAAAAAAAAAAAAAAGTAGTGGGCTGGGCGTGGTGGCTCACACCTGTAATCCCAGAACTTTGAGAGGCTGAGTAAGGCAGGTGGATCATGAGGTCAAGAGATCGAGACCATCCTGGCCAACATGGTGAAACCACGTCTCTACTAAAAACACAAGAATTAGCTGGGTGTGGTGGCGCATGCTACTACACTACATAGTTCCAGCTACTCGGGAGGCTGAGGCAGGAGAATCGCTTGAACCCAGGAGGCAGAGGTTGCAGTAAGCCGAGACCGTGCCATTGCACTCCAGCCTGGTGACAGAGTGAGACTTGGTCTCAAAAAAAAAAAAAAAAAGTGAATTTTTATGAAAGCTGTTATCTACTAAGGCTCAACCACATCTTCCTACCAAGGGCTACATGGGGAGAGGAGTGAAGAGCCCTGGTCCTAGAGTCTTTTGGTTTGCCTTAAGCAACACCAATTACAACAACTTGGAGAGAGAGGAGAAAAACACAGGAATCATTTCTTTCATTTATTTCAAGAGGGCCCATAGATGCGGAGGGACTTCTTTAAGATCACAGGTTGGGAACAAAACAGAGGCATCCTTGGTCCCACCAAAAGGCCTTTTCCATTGCATTGTAAACCCCCCAATCCATAATTTTTCCAGACTTCCTCTGGGATGGAGGGCAGAATTGAAGAGGGGGCATTCATGTGGGCACTGTCCCTTACTTACCACTCTGATTCAGAGTCCTCCCCCAAAGTCCAAGTCAGCTGCTTCCCATTGCCCGAGGAACAATAACTCCAAACCATTATGCCAGGCTCCATGCTAAGCTCTTCATAAATAATACACATTAACCTCAGGGTAACCCTAAAAATCAGATTACTACTCAAGGCATGCTCCAGGAACAGGCAGCTTCCAGGTCACCTGAGAACTTGTTAGAAATGCAGAATCTCATGACCAGCCTTGTAACAAGATTCCTAGGTGATTTGTGGGCACACTCAAGTTTAGGAAGCAGTGGTAGATGAGGAACCAAGGATAAAACAGAGCAGTAATGTTTCCAGGGCCACACAGCTGGAAAGTGGCAGAGCTGGTCATTGAGCTCATGTCAGTATATTTGCAAAGTCCCTGGTTATAATGGCTATGCTTCACTCTGTCATGGATCTCAGGATTTCCCCCATGGGGCTGATTTCCAGTTAAAGGTTGTATCAGAAAAATTTTAAAACACCAAGTTATGCTGGCAAGGCAACAAACACATCTCCCTTTTGTGGAGAACACCGGGAAGCAGGATTCCTGGATCATCTCTGGGAAGAACCTGAGACAAAATCCTAAATGTCTCCCATGGCCGCTGTCTTCTTTTTCCAGGTTGGAGAGCAGCAGTCACACCAACCTACTGAGGACTTCCACAAAAGAGAGATTGCCTCATTCCTAGCCCCTGGCTCCATACCACCCACCCTCACTCTCTCTTCCCTTCTCAACATTTCACAAGAGGGAGCATTCTCCATGGCTAACACCAATCAGATATTCTGTCTTACCAAAATGTCCTAGAAATTCCTGAATTGCTCAACACCTAAATCATGGCTAACACCAATCAGATATTCTGTCTTACCAAAATGTCCTAGAAATTCCTGAATTGCTCAACACCTAAATCACTGGCTTTAAGCTCTGTCTCCTACTCATGAAACACCAGAACTATCTGGCCTTGAGATTCAGAAAATGTGATCATTGTCTCTATAATTCAATTGTATCTGCATTAACCACCCAATCTTGTCATAGAATCCGAAATTCAGGCTCTTGTACCGAACGTACAGCTGATGCCAACACTGACACACAAGTGCTTGGAAATAGAGAAAGGTTTATTTAATTTGGTCAAGGCAAGATCTCTCCGATTTACCTTAAGAAAAAGAAGCAGAGAGTTATGTGGCTGCAGAGTAAGAGAGGGGGAGTTTCAGGAAACCAAGGGAAAAGTCTGTGTTTCTTCACTCTCAGATAACACCTGAAACAACCAGACTTCTAGGAGTCAGCAGCTTGTCACAACATCCTTAAAGACATTTATTTCTTCTTGGATACTTTTTTTGTGACCCTGAAGTTAACTCCCACTGCTTGACAGAGAAACAGTACATCAGCAGTTTATCATTATGTTGTGGGAACAAGGAATATTGGGCAAAAAGCAAGTTCAAGCAAACAAGGGCCTGATCAGAATTTTCATTATTTCAGTCACTAAAAATGCTTGGATGCTGAGATCTCAAGGGGCCCTGTTACAAATCCCCACTGCCTTTTTCCATTCCTCATTCATGTAGGAAAAGGGGTGTCATTCTTTTCTAGCTACTTCCTGCTGAAAAAGGGGCAAAGGTGTGGAAACTGAAGAGCAGAATCTATCCATTTGAAGTTGAAAGTATTTCCAGGGGCCGGGCCCATATCCTGCATACTGCAATTCCATTATCTGGGTACTGTTACCTATTGTAGTCTTGGAGCAGCATCTTAATCTATATTTGATGATGACATTAATGAAAACATAACTTACAATAACGATAAGAGAAATAAGCCAAATGTAACGATACCAGAAAATACAGATTGGATCCCTTGTGAGATCCAAGAAAACAATCCAGAATACCAATCACCTAATCCTAGTTAATCTTCTTTTTATCTGTTGCCACCATGAAGTTTGCTCTCTTATTTTATCTACCTGCATTTCAACTTCAACTTCAGCCAAGGTGTTAATATAAGACAAACAGGAGGAGTTGGCCTTGTTCAGCCAGCAGGTAATCTAATGCTATCCCATTATCTAAACAACTTTAGCTAGAGAATCCAAAGACTTGCTGTGCTGTGATAGCAGCACCTTTCTTTAGCTCTAATCCTTAAGTAATGGACATGTTTCTAAGCACGTGGTGATAAACAGCCACTCCCCACCATGGGAGCAACGTATATCTGAAGAAGTACCCTGTGTCATCAGGAATCCTGGCAAATCCACTTCAGAGACCACCCTGTCCCTGACAGACAGAATCTCCTTCCAAAATTCCTTGGGAGAGCCTGGGCAACAGTTTTAGGGAACTTGTCCGGTGTTTGGTAACACTTTCATTATGTACCGAGAAAGATGTCACTGAGTATCCTAATAAACGTTGTCCATGATCTCCCCTCCTAATGCACCTACAGGCCCAGGGTTGGTTTTCCTGACTGCAGATCGAAACATATCCCTCATGAGCAGGCCAGGTATGGTGGCTCACATCTGTAATCCCAGCACTTTGGGAGGCCAAGATGAGTGGGTCAGTTGAAGTCAGGAGTTCAAGACCAGCCTGGCCAACACAGCAAAACCATGTCTCTACTAAAAATACAAAAATTAGCTGGCTATGGTGGTGAATGCCTGTAATCCCAGCTACTCAGGAGGCTGAGTCATGAGAATCGCTTGAACCCAGGAGGTGGAGGTTGCAGTGAACTGAGACAGTGCCACTGCACTCCAGCCTGGATAAGAGAGGGAAACTCTGTCAAGAAAGGAAGAAAGGAAGAAGGGAAGGAGGGAAGGGAAGGGAAGGGAAGGGAAGGGAAGGGAAGGGAAGGGAAGGGAAAGGAAGGGAAGGGAAAGAGAAAAGAAACATATTCTTCAGGAGCACAGGGCACAGTGTCAGTAGTTGAGGCGGTCATTAAAGCCACATTCCCTAGCCCTGGATCTGTTAGACAGTTGCCACACTCAGGTAAGGCTGGGCCTATCCGTTGTCCTTCCTGTGCTATGAAACTGGGGTCAAATGGGGTGCTATCCAGATCACTATCCAGTGAGAATTGTCACAAAGGTCGTGGTGACTCACCCAGGAAATGCAAATCCAAAAGTACACCAAAGTCAGGTACATGTCTTCACTCCAAGCGAGCATTGCACCAAAAGTGGTCACCACTGGCAGGAAAGGAACCAGTGAGGGGTGTCCCCCAGGCAAGGTGCCTAGGCAGCTTTGGGGACTCCCTGTGCACGCAGATCCTGGTTGGGACTGCCCAGCCATGGGCACAAGGTTCTTCCATGGTCGCCAGAATTGTCATAGAACCCCAGATTCAGGCTTGTGTACCCAATGGGCAGCTGATGCCAACATTGATGCATGGGTGTTTGGAGATGGAGAAATGTTTATTCAATGTAACCAAAGCAAGAAGGCAGAAGGGTAAGAGCTCTCAATTCCACCTTAACAACAATAACAAAGTGGGCTTTTAATGTGGCTGGGGAGTAGGGGAGGGGAAGTTTCAGGGAACAAAGGGGAAAAGCCTGTGTTTCTTCCCTCTCAGGTAACACCTGGAACAACTAGACCTCTGGGAGTCAGCAGCTAGTCACAACGTCCTTAAAGTCTTTCATTTCTTCTTGCAAACCTTTTCGTGACCCTGAAGTTATCTCTCCGTTTAACAAGGAAACAGCACATCAGCAACTGTTTGTTTGCAACAAATAATTTTGTTGTGGAAACAAGGAATATTGGGCAAAAAGCAAGTGCAAAACATTTTCATTATTTTAGTCACTAAAAATGCTGGGGTGCTGAAATCTCAAGGGGCCTGGTTACAGTCTCATGACTAAAATTGCATCATTCTATCAATACTCAACAGCTTCAGACAAGACAAACCTTCAGCACAGGTGGAGATAGACAAGTTAGTCCACACGCTCACACAACACTTATCCGCTGTTCACCCACCCTTTAGTGGTCCATCTATCATCCATTTTTTAAAACGGAAATGGCCTCCCAACTGGTCTCAGGGCTTTAGTCCTTGCTCTCTACAGTTTATTCTTAAAAGAACAGCCAGAAAGATTCTTTATGTCCTGATACTCTGCTATTAGCAATCCTTCATTGACTTTTCATCTAACTCAGAGCAAAAGCCAAAATTCATATGAGTACAGTAGTTCCCCCATATTTTCAGTTTCACTGTCTGTGGTTTCAGTTACCCTTGGCCCAAAAATATGAAATGGAAAATTCCAGAAATAAACAATTCATAAGTTTTAAATTGCACATTGTTATTGGGGTGAAATCTTGTGCCATCCTGCTCACGATGTGAATCATCCCTTTGTCCAGTGTATCCACCCTGCACATGCTACCAGCCCATTAGTCATTTAGAAACCAACTCAGTTATCAGATCGGCTGTCACAGTATTGTAGTGTTTGTGTTCAAGTAACCTTTATTTTACTTAATGCCCAAAAAATGCAAGATAAGTGATGCTGGAGTATTGTTATAATTGTTCTGTTTTGTTATTATTGTTGTTAATCTCTTACTATGCCTAATTTATAAATTAAACTTTATTATAACTATATATGTATAGGACAACAACATAGTGTATAGGGTTCAATACTATTCGTGGTTTCAGGCATCCATTGAGGATCTCAGAACACATGCCCCACGGATAAGGGCGGACTACTGAACTTGCCTCAGGTTCCTACCCAAAGGTTTCTGGCAGTTGCTATGGACAGCACCCATATTTCCTTTCAGGAATGAAGTGCCTATTACCCCAGCTGGGAGTTTGGTAGCTGATGGTTCTTAGCTGAGTTCCTCTCCTCTATGGAAACGAAAAGAGTCCAGGTACTACCTCTCTCTTCTGATTGGCTGCTTGAGTGCGAGTGTGTGACATGAACTTAGCCAGTCAGTTGCTCCTGCCCTGGACTTTGGATCTGGAGGGAATGATGCAAAGACCCAACAACTGTTGAGAAAATTTTTCTAATTGTGATGGAGATGGTGAAAGTCTGGAGGTCAAAGAGCATTGAGTACCTGGCAGTGAAGTGCAATTTGTAGCTAGAATGAAACTCTACTACAAACTCAGATATGCTCAAAATGTCTTTTAAAAAATTGTAACTGGCAGCTGGGCACTGTGGTTTATGCCTGTAATCCCAGTACTTTGGGAGGCCGAGGTGGGCGGATCACCTGAGGTCGGGAGTTCGAGACCAGCCTGACCAACATGGAGAAACCCCGTCTCTACTAAAAATACAAAATTAGCCGGGCGTGGTGGCACATGCCTGTAATCCCAGCTACCTGGGAGGCTGAAGCAGGAGAATCGCTTGAACCTGGGAGGCGGAGGTTGAGGTGAGTCGAGATTGCACCATTGCACTCCAGCCTGGGCAACAAGAGCGAAACTCTGTCTCAAAAAAATAAAAAAAAAAATTGTAATTGGCCTGAATTTTCATTTTGATCTTCCATTTAACCAGGTAATGGAAATTAATTTCTGTCATTTCATTAGTTTGACGGCCACATACCCCTAAGGGTTGCCTCTACATTCCAGTGCATTGGCTTAATTCCAAGGCATCCAATGGGAAGTGTGCTTGATTCTTGGTCACTATCATATATACACACTGTTTTATTCCTGCCAGATATTTTTCTGGCAGGTAACTGTTGCATCCTCCTCATTTGATGAGAGCTCACTCAGTGACTTATATGCCCCATAGAACTCAAGAAATACCTCACTGCTGCTCCTTAGAGCTCAAGAAATACCTCACTGCTCTGTACCACCTAGGACTATAGGAAACTCAAAGGGACCCTCTAAAAACCCTATACATAGACCTCCCATGTTCCAATTTCTGATCTACCCTGCAAGGGTTCTCAGTTCTAACTAGTGGTTCCTCAATTCATACTTCCTAGTTGTGGAAGTATACCCTGGCTGTGGTCATTTCTCTTGATTCCCAAATATACCTGGTACCCTATTGGCCTAAGAACCCCCTTCTCAGGATCCCAAACCACCATTCATTTCCTCTGGTTCCCTTCTAACTCTCTTCTTTAAACCTCCAATGGGGAGAATTTTATACATGGCGGGGAGCAGAAAGGAAGCAAGGGGTTGTTAAAACCTGATTCTGGTTTTTCATATATTCTTTCATCTCGTGATCTGCATTCACTCTGATGTAATTAAAACACTTTCTTCCCAAAATTAAGGTTCTAGCTCCGATGGTCTAATGATCTCTAAGATCCCTGATACCCTTAATTGCTCAGTTATCTCCAAATAAGCCCTTTGTCTTAGATCTGAACCTTCTCTTTTGAACTCTACAAGCCAAGAATTTAAATATTCTGCGAGCTGTATAATGCTGTCCTGTCTCCTCCCCAGGCATGAGGTAGAATGTCCAGGTGCCAGAAGTGAGAGAAAGACCAAAGAGAAGTAGATCTACAGGTATAAAGCTCCAATTAGCATCTCAAAGTAATATCCTCTCCATAGGCTTTTAATTACTTTATATATGCATATAAAGTATATATACTTTATATATAGTATATAATGCTATATATTTTTGTATAAATTTATATATGCTATTATAAATGTTTATATATATGAAAATAGTAAAAATAGTACTCATATACAATAAGTATATACTCTCTCTATATAGTGTGTGTGTATATATATATATAGAGAGAGAGAGAGAAGGAGGGAGAGAGAGTGTGTACTATTTTCACTATTTTCTACCAGCGTTTTTTTTTTTCTACCAAGACTTTTACTTAGCATTATATTATAAACTTTTTCCCAGGTGGGTGAATATTCTCTGGTGTCATTGTTAATGGCTACATAATATTCTGACCTACCAAGCATTGTAATTTACTTAGTTTACTTGGTTTCCAATGGTTCATTATTATAAAATAGCACAAGGTTAAACACAAGCACAGACACCCTTTGAAAATAACATCCTGTGATTCTGTGAAGAAACAAATTCCCAAAGAGAAGGCAGTTCTGTTGCAGTGGGGGCAGACTGGATACACCATTCTGTACCACCAGGGCAGGAATTCAGGGGAACTCTCACAGGAGGTGAGGGAAGAGGCAGGACACAAGGACTACAGAACTAGTCCTGTGGATCAGGGTCTTCTACAGGGATGAAGTCTAATTGTTGGCTGGCTGGGGCTCAACTAGGGAAGCATGCACTTCCAAGCCCACTTATATGGTTGCTGGCAGGATTCAGTTGCTTGCAGGTCACTTCCAGTTCGTTGGTCAGTGGGTCCTTCCAGAGGGCAGCTCATAACCTATAGATTGCTTTATCAGAGTGAGCAAGCAAGAAGCTCCAGAGAGACTGAATAGAAGGTAGAAGTCACAGTCTTTTGTTTTTAGACGGAGTCTCACTCACTCTGTCACCCAGGCTAGAGTGTAGTGGTGCAATCTCGGTTCACTGCAACCTCCACCTTCCAGGTTCAAGCGATTCTCCTGCCTCAGCCTCCCGAGTAGCTGGGATTACAGGCATGTGCCACCATGCCTGGCTACTTTTGGTATTTTTAGTAGAGATGGGGTTTCACCATGTTAACCAGGCTGGTCTCGAACTCCTGACCTCAGGTGATCCACCTGCCTCGGCGTCCCAAAGTGCTGGGATTACAGGTGTAAGCCACCAAGCCCAGTCAGTCTTTTTTTTATTAATACATAATTGTTATACATATTTATGGGGGGCATTTGATATTTTGATACATGCACACAATGTATAATAATCAAATCAGAATAACTGGCATATCCATCACCCAAGGCAGTTATCATTTCTTTGTGTTGGGAACATTCCAAAGTTTTTCTTCTAGCTATTTTGAAATATACAATAAGTTATTGTAGTCATAGTCTTTTGTAACCTAATCTCAGAAGTGACGTCCCAACATTTTCCATGACATCACTACTCATTAGAATCAAGTCACTAGGTTCAGTCCACACTCGAGGAGGAGAACACACAAAGGCATAAAAACCAGGAAGTGGAGGTCATTGGAGTCATCTGAGAAGTCTGACTGCCACCAGGAGCAACTTGCCCAGAGTCAAATGCAGTGAGAGCTTAAAGTCTCAGTTCTTGGCTGGGAGTGGTGGCTCACACCTGTAATCTCAGCACTTTGGGAGGCAAATGTGGGCAGATCACTTGAGGCCAAGAGTTCAAGATCAGCCTGGCCAACATGGTGAAACCTAGTAAAAATACAAAAAAGTTAGCCAGGCATGGTGGTGCACACCTGTAATGCCAGCTACTTGGGTGGCTGAGGCATAAGAGTCACTTGAACCCAGAAGCGGAGGTTGCAGTAAGCCAAATTCATGCCACTGCACTCCAGCTTGAGAGACAAAGTGAGACTCTGTCTCAAAAAAAAAAAAAGTCTCAGTTCTAGAATTGGGAAGATTTGTTTAGAGAAACAGGGTGGGCAGCTTTACCATCATCTGGTTATGACGGATTGTAAGCTTGGACAGAGGTAGTGGCATTGAGAATTCAAAGCAAAAAATAAGAACTGATAAAAACACCCTGCTTTGCTACCAAAAAAGTTTTGCAGCTTCACGTCTCTTCTCTTTAAATCAATAAAAAGGCCACACTGTGGGGAGAAAATGTCGATTCTTTGGTCTCTTCCCTCTCCTCTCCTTCTTCCCTGAGATTTATTCACAGGTGAAAGCTTAAGGCTCATAGTGCCTGGTCCCTATCAGTACAAATACCCAGTAGTTCTAAATCACCATGTCTGGATTCTGAGAGCTCTTGTGTTATAAAAGTTGCTGGCATGCAAAGACAAACAGATAAACTTAACTCTCACAAAGTGTACCAGAGGCTAGTGTGTGCCAGATATGCTACATGAGCACTGGGAAGAACCCTCCTGACATAATATTGAGGTCCCATTAAATTTTTTAATTCACACTTGCTAGAGAAAAATCTTCCAAATGCCCCTTGGGGCAGTGGCAAGCTCCTCAAGTCCTTTAAAAATGTTTCTGGGAAGAATGAAAGAATATATGGGATAGAGAACAGTTTAAGAATATATATTAATGCAGATTCATAGATTTACCCAGTTGACAATATTAGGTAAAGATTTTCTTGTATCATTAAATATTCTGTAACATAATTGCTAATATGTGTAGAGCTTTACTTGCATAAAGAGATCACCATTTATTTAAACAAGCTTCAATGGTTACATGTTAATGTTAAATGTTAAAGGTTGTTGAGGTTTTCTCGATATAGTAAGTAATCACTATGGGTATTTCTGGTTGTTTACTCATGATAGATTCTAAGTGGAATTTCTGGGTCAACTGTGGACATGCATTTGAAAAGCTTTTGACACATAATACCTTCCTTTAAGATTTTAATAACTACTGTTTATGAAACACTTAGGATATGTCAGGAACCAACCTAAGTGCTTTGCATGCATTATCTCATTTAATATTCGCAATAGCCCTGAGAAGAAGATTCTATTAATATCTGTATCTTACAAATGAAAAAGTTGAAGGTCAGAAAGATAAATTACTTGCCCAGAATAACAAATTAGGAAGGAATGAAGATGGTGTTGGAATCAAAGTCTAATTCTAGAGCCAATGCTTTTTAATCAGTTTGCTATCATTAAAGTTCAGCTCTGCCATGACCTATTTACCTCCCCATCCCATAAAATCCCCTGGACCTCTCCATGTAGACTACACAGAGATATTCCAGGCCTGCCTGCTTCTACTCTTCATGTTTACAGCTGTGGGTTCTTGAAAGCAGTGACTTTGCCTTACACATTTCTTCTCTACAGTGAGCCAAGCAAAACGGTATGCACAGAATAAGTACTCAACAAGTACTTGTAGATTAGTTTTGTAGACATGATACCATGGAGGAAAAGAGGGACCTGGGATTTCTTTTTTAGAGTTAAAGTGTTAAGCTATGAGTCAGAGCCATGATTCTCATAGTCTCTGAATTATAGAAGGAAGGAAGGAGAGAAAGAAGGATGGTGGGAAAGTGAAGCTTAATGCCCTCTCGGGAGTAAGACACTCCATTAACTAATGGAGTAAACCCTGGCTTAAGACATTTAACCCAAACCTCAGAGAGATCAGAGTCCCAAACCTCCCCTACCCGCATCGTGCCCACAGGCTCAGAAGAGTAGATGGAACACATCAAAATGTCACATCGTAGGCAAGGATAGGAAGCCAAAAAGGGCTCAGTAAAGGTAGACAAGGGGTCAAGGATAGAATTAGAAAATCATCATTTAACAGCTGGGCATGATGGTTCACACATGTAATCCCAGCACTTTGGGATGCCGAGGTGGGAGGAACTCTTGAGGCTGGGAGTTCAAGACAAGCCTGAGCAATATAACGAGACCGTCTCTACAAAAAACATAAATAAAAGAAAAAAATAAAAGGAAAACATCATCTAGCAACCATTAAATAATCATTGATTTAGGCAAGAATCATCAATGTATGCTAAAACTAGTGGGTAAAATTTTGAGAAGTAATAATATTTTTGCATAGATCCAAAGTATCTTCCCACAAATACTTATTTATTGCAAATGGGAAAATAGGCAGCCACCATCTTACTCAAGTAGTCAAAGTTAACACCATTAGTAACAAAACAAATCAACAGCATGTGCCTCGTGGTATGATCCACCACAAAGAACACAGTATCTTTTCTATAGTATTCCTGCCAGAAACGCATAACATGAATTTAATTGTGAAGAAATAGCAGATAAACTCAATTGAGAGACAGTCTGTAAAATACATGGCCTTTAATCGTCCAAAATGTTAATGTCATGAAAGACAAAAAAAGATTGAGAAACTTTTCCAGATGAAAGAAGATTAAAGGAAGATCTGCTCCTGAACTAAGTAATTTTAAAAAGGAAAAAGAAAGAAGATTAAAGAGGTGTGACAGCTAAATGCAACACAGGATCCAAGATTTTCTTTTGTTGTAAAGGACATTATTGAGACAATTTGTAGAATCCGAATAAGGTCTAGAGATGGGCTTTGTAGGCATGCACCCAAATCACACAGGGCCCTGGACACAGAAGGACCCTGCACCCAGGATGTAATTCCCTGTGGTCATTGTCTTAAAATTCTCAGTTATTTAAATTTGTGTTTGTAAGTGAAGGTTAATTAGACGATGGTGCATGCTCCAGGAGCTAGGCGTCCGGACTCAAGAGCAGTGCCACCTCTTGCTGCCTCCCTGGGATGGGTTCTCAGCAACTCGCCCTCCACCCACTGACACCATGGCTCTGCTCAGCCCGCCCCTTTCCACCTTTGCCCCCTGACTGCTGCTATGCAGATGACAGTTGAATCACATTGGCAAGGGGAGGCTCATGTTCTACCGTTGCCAACCACTCCCAGTGGGGGCTTGGGAAAGGGTGCAGGAAGGGTCAGAGTTAGGTGTGCACATCCTGTGGCATTTCAGGGAGTGCCAATTACTGTCCCAGTCCCAGGCTGGCAGCAGCACAATACATTCAACTGGTGACTTGGCAGGAGCCAGCCTCTCACCTATCCTGATCCTGTACTGAGCATGTCTCAGCACAGAGGTTGCAATCGCTTGGGGACTGCCCATCCATGGGTTGGTGCAATGGACCTATGGACAAGGAAGATTGATTTCCCACCCCTAGCTGGGTCACAGAGCTTCAGTCTGGCAGCTGGCATGAGGAGGAATTCAGCAGCAAGCGGAACCCTCCAGGACACACCACCAAGTAGCGGTCAGGGACCCTAGGTAGTTCTGAGGGTCTGCACTGCTCCACAACTATCCCCGTGCCTGAGGGAGAGTGACAGAAACAATAAATAAAAAGCTCCATGAGAGGTCTAGAGACAGAGAGACTCTGCAAGAAAGAAAAAAGCCTTTTATTTGAGTACCTTTAGTGATGTTTTCCCCTGTTTCTTTGAACAAGGAGCTCCACATTTTTACTTTGCACTGGGTACCCCTACAATTATGTAGCCAGTTTTGCCTCTAGATTAGATAATAGTACTGTATTAATGCTCATTTCCTGAATGTGACTATTGTACTGAGGCTATTTTAAAGAATACCTTTATTTTAGAAAATTCACTGAAGTATTTAAGATGTCTGCAACTTATTCCCATATGCTATGAACAAACATAATATGTGGGGTATATGTGTGTGTATGTGTGTGTGTGTCAGAGAAAGACAGACACAGAGAGGATTAAGAAAAATGTTGTAAAATGTTAGCATTTCGGGAATGTGGGTGAAGGGTATACAGGAAATCTTGGTACTATTTTTGCAACTTTTCTTTCTTTTTGTTTTTATGAGACAGGGTCTCGCTCTGTTTGTCAGGCTGGAGTGCAGTGGCGTGATCACAGTTCACTGCAGCCTGAAACTTCTGGGCTTAAGAGATCCTCTTGCCTCATCCTCCTGAAGAGCTGGGATCACAAGTGTGCACCACCATGCTGGGCAAATTTTTTAATTTTTTTGTAGTGACGGGGTCTCTCCACATTGCCCAAGCTGGTCTCAAACTCCTGAGCTCAAGTGATCCTCTTGCCCCAGCCTTCTGAAGTGCTGGGATTATAGGCATGAGCCACTGTGCTCAGCCATGTAACTTTAAGTCTGAAATTATGTCAAAATTAAACACTGAAAGAAAAGAATAAAACATAAAGAAAACAGTGAAGGGGAAGTCACCACAGTGGTATACAGTGGTATCCTATGAAATCATAGAGAAAAGTATAAGAAATGACAGTGACTCTGCTAATCTGCCACAGCTGAATGGGAATCCCCCAGGATGGATGGAGAACTGTCCTTCTGATAAGCATGTACTCACCTAAGTCATATATTAAGAAGTCAAGAGATTTCTATTATTTCAAACCAGAGTCTCTGGCCCTACAACGTAGATAATGAATGAGCCAATCTAGGGTTTTCTGTGCTCCAACCACTCAACCAACCCAGGCACCTATCATGAGGCTGCAGAGCTCACCGGGTTTTTTGTTTTGTTTTGTTTTTTTGAGACAAGGTCTTGCTCTGTCGCTGAGGCTGGAGTGCAGTAGCACTATCATGGCTCACTGCAGCCTTGACCTCCTGGGCTCAAGTGGTCCTCCCACCTCAGCCTCCCGAGTAGCTGGGACTACAAGCATGCACCACCATGCCTGGCTGTTTTTTGTATTTTTTGTAGAAACCAGCTCAGGCTGGTCTTAAACTCCTTGGATCAAGCAATCCTCCCGCCTCCATCTCCCAAAGTGCTGGGATTATAGGCATGAACTACCACGCCCGACCAACATTGGGGTCTTGTTTGAAGTAGATCCTGTGGTGCCACCTAGCTTCACAGAGCTCTGCTTGCTGAGGAAACCACAAACCTTCCCATTTGTATTTACTTTGAGATTGATGGAAGAGGGCAGTTGCCTTCATTGTCTATCCCCCAGGTGGTGCAAAAGCCCTAACCCTAACCCATAATAAACCACAGGCTATGGATTGTTCATCCAGGGAGAAATCCTCTGAGGGGTGTTCAAGATGTGAAGGCCATAAACTCTAGGGCAGAGCAGCCCCAGGGGTCCCATCTCTTGCAAATTCACCAAGTTTTTATGTAATGAGCTCATCCCAACATGTCTGGTGTGGCTGGGCCCTGGACATTTGGGGGTTAAAGTCTCAGCTGGGGAGGGGGATATACAGAAACTTCTGTGTCTAAGACCTGTATGCTCTGCAGGCAGGATTTACTAATGCTATGCTGTTCTGTGGAAAAAGTCAGCGTGCTGCCGGGCGACGTGGCTCACGCCTGTAATCCCAGCACTTTGAGAGGCCAAGGCAGGTGGATCACTTGAGGTCAGGAGTTCGAGACCAGCCTGGCCAACAGGGTGAAACCCCATCTCTACTAAAATACAAAAATTTGCCAGGCTTGGTGGCAGTGCCTGTAATCCCAGCTACTCGGGAGGCTGAGGCAGAAGAATCGCCTGAACCCAAAGGCAGAGGTTGCAGTGAGCCGAGACCGCACCATTGCACTCCAGCCTGGGTAACAGAGCCAGACTCTGTCTCAAAAAAAAAAAAAAAAAAAAAAAAAAAATTCGGCGGGAGTGGGGTGGTGCATGCTATAGCTCCTCCAAGCACCACCTCTACTAGCTAAGCTAAGCAGACCCCTATCTCCTGGCCAACAGGCTGCAGCAATGACTAGAGGGCTCATTTTGTTTGTTTGTTTGTGTTTGTTTGTTTTGTCTGCCATCACTCCATTTGTACTTTTTCCCCACCCTCTCTCTTTGCCATGACCTTAAGGTGAATTATGAACTGGGTAAACATAGTGATGAGGTGGGAAAGGAGGAGGATTTTTTTGCCATTCGCTTATTTTTCAAGTTGGCGTTTCCAAAGGCTGCATCAATGGACAGGACAAGTGGAACCATGCAGCAGTCACAGCACCAGCAGGAGCAAAAGTGAAGAAGGGAAAGCTCGAGCCATTACAGCTGGTATGGGGCTGTGGGACTTGGTACTGCAGAAGCACTGGGACTGGTAGAGTGGGGCGGATGGATGATGGTAGCATTAGGGTGAAGGGTGAGGGCCAGGCTGGGGGCAAGAATTTCCAAGACTGGCAGTAGGCAGGAAAGGGTAGCATTACTAGATCCTAGCTCTACCACAATTTCTGTCTTAATAGCATGGATTGCATTTAATAGCGTAACTGAGGAGCTTGGCTTCAAACCACATTTTAAAACTTTGTTTTCTTGCCTCCTTTCTCCCCAGTCTCAAGATATAACTTTGAGACAAACTGCATATGTGTTTCCTTTCATCTCGAAACACAGCTTTGGAATATGCTGTAAACCTCCACTCCCTTTCTTTTCCCATTCTGCGCTCCCACACCTTTCGCACATGTATTTACCTAGATGCTTGTTAAACACACATCATACTCACTTATCTGGTCAATATGTTGCCTTAGAAGCTTCAGGGACCAGATCCTGATACGGACCAGACACTTTCAGCCACAATGGTGCTGGCCCCTTCACCAGATGGAACAATAATTCAAGACAACCCATTGGAGTGGCTCACCCCACCTGACACCTCCTAGCCCCCTGCCTCTTCTGCATTCTGAACCCTGTCTTTAAAAGACCCCGTGTTTCCTCTACAAATCATAAAGTGGAAATCTTTGGAAAGAATTACATCCACTTCTCCTCTATCTAGCATGGATAATAAAATCTTGCTCTCTTTTTATCACACTTCATTCTCATTATACTGGCTTCTTTTTACAAGTGGCAAGCAGCCAAACCCTTTTGCCAGTTACAGTAGCGGGCAGCCTCTCCCCTTCCCTGCCCAAGAAGAGTGTATTTTGGACTCCAAGATCCCTGCACTGGTCTGTGATTGAATCCAATAATTAGCTCCTCTGACTCTTCTGGACACCATGTTCTGCTGGGGTGGTCCCTGAAAGGACTTAAGCTCATTTGCAAATAATGGGTGTTAGGACACCTCAAAATCCGGAAGAGATCTTGTCTTACTCTTGACCTCTCCTCACTTAAACCAAGCCCTAGGTTGGACACTACATAAATGGAATTGGACCGGGTTTGAGGCTTAGAGAAATGAACGTTTAAATCATATAGCAGTTGCATTTACTGCAATATGATCAGATGATGCATTTTCAGAAAAGCATTACAGAGGACATAAGATTGGGGGGATTTTCAATGAGTGTTGCTTCTGTAACCTTCCAGTTTCCTCACAAGGAATATTTTGGGTTGGTGCAAGCCTACTAGATAGAGGAAATCCCACATGGGGTTTACCAAGTTTCTTACATTTGCAACATATCACCCTGATATGTTGTAAAAATGTGAAGCAATCTTCACCATCTTGATCTAATATCCAGGTTATAAACACAGTTTCTTACTACACAATTAGTACCATCTTCCTGCAGAAGCTATGTGAAACTGAGACAGCACACTTGCACAGTCCCATTGTGACAATGTAATAATGGCCAGTACCCAGTATGACAACATATAGAATTAGCTATTTACTGGGCTTCAAAGCCAAAGAGGAACTGAGCCCAGGAGATGGGCCAAGACCTCCCTCAATGTCCCGCAGGCACTTCACAAAAGCTACAAGAGAAGCTCTTGTAATCACTTAGAGAGGATGACACCCCCATAGATGTCAGTCAGCCTGTCTCCCTGGCCACCCTAGTGCTTGCTCAGGGGGCTCATGAACAAAGCACCATGTGACAGTGGTAGGGACTAAGCCTGGGGCCAATGACATGGACTTCCCACTTAGCAAGGCTGATTGGCCTATTGACACTTATGGTATACAGCAGTGTACTCCAGCAGTGAGCCTGCTAGCGTGATGGCCAATCTAAGCCCTGATATGGTGCCGTTAACCAGAGAAAATGAACCAGCTATCTGGTGACAGGTACATGAGACCCCTTCAAAAGCATGGAGGCAGGGGTGATTGGCCCTCACTGGAATAGATATTCTGAATTTGAATTTTATTTCCTTGCCTTCCATGCCTGTGCCAGTACTGGTACCCATGGATTTGTGGAATTTCTTAATCACAGTGACTGTATCCCATATAATATTGCTTCTAGAAAAGAACTCCTCATTCATTCATTCAATTAACATATATTTATTGAGTGCCTACTATATGCCAAACACAAAACGGACAAAACAATAATCTTTTCCTTTCCCCTTCTTGATCACAAACACTCTGAGTGGGGCAAAGATAATAAATATTATATTCAGGGTGGGGCCCAGAAAATAAACAATAAGCATAATATATAATTTAATTATATAGACTAATAGTAGTACAAGGTGCTATGGGGAAAAAGTGAGTAGAATAAGGGGAACTGGGGATGCAGAGGTTGCAGTTTTAATGAGGATGGTCATAGTGGGCCTTTTTGAGAAGGTTACACTTAAGCAAAGTCTTGAATGAGGTGAGTGAAGATTAACCATACAGACATCTAGGGAGAGTGCTACAGTAAAATAAAGAAAGAAAGGGCCTGTTATTCATGGGATTCACCAGTTTTATCCTGTTCTCCATCACCCAGAAGCAGCCAGACTTGTGGAATGGTGGGATGTCCTGCAGGTGTGACATTAACAACTTGGAAATAAAACTTCGAGTGGGTAAGGTTCTATCTCGCAGGATACTGTACATGCTCTCAATCAGCAACCAGCATATGGTGCTTTTTTTCCCACAGCCAGAATAAATGGATCAGAGCAACCAAAGCATATCTTGTTATTAAACATAATAACTGTGGTAGATTGAGTTACTGGCTCCAATTCATCACCCTCCCTATATCCACAATCAAAGAGTCTGCAGTTTCTTCCACTAGAGGCAGAGTATATTTCTCTGCCCCTTAACTTCGGGGTTGGTATGTGACTTATTTTGGCTAATGATGCTAACAGACATGATGAAAGCACAGACTTGGAATCTGTGCTTATCCTTCTACCAATCCTACGAGAATGTGTTTTTGTTTTGTTTTGAGACCAAGTTTTGCTTTTTTTTTTTTTTTTTTTTTTTTTTGAGACAGAGTCTTGCTCTGTCACCCAGGCTAGAGTGCAGTGGCGTGATCTCGGCTCACTGCAACCTCTACCTCCTGGGTTCAAGTAATTCTCCTGCCTCAGCCTCCCGAGTAGCTGGGATTACAGGTGCCCACCACCGCGCCCGGCTAATTTTTGTGTTTTTAGTACAGATGGGGTTTCACCATCTTGGCCAGGCTGGTCTCGAACTTCTGACCTCGTGACCCACCTGCCTCGGCCTCCCAAAGTGCTGAGATTATAGGCGTGAGCTACTGCGCCCAGCCTGAGACCGAGTTTCACTCTTGTCACCCAGGCTGGAGTGCAATGGCTTGATCTCCACTCACTGCAATTTCCGCCTCCTGGGTTCAAGTGATTCTCCTCCCTCAGCCTCCTGAGTAACTGGGATTACAGGCGTCCGCCACCATTCTTGGCTAATTTTTTTCATATTTTTAGTAAAGACAGGGTTTCACCATGTTGGCCAGGCTGGTCTGGAACTCCTGACCTCAGGTGACCCAGGGAATACATTTTATGGAACCTGCTGGTTCAAGAAGAACCAGCTGAGCCCAGCCTAGATCAGCTGAACCCCAGCAGACCCACAGATATGGGAGTGAGAGCGAATGATTGTTGCCTTAAGTCACTGAATTTTGAGTTGGCTTGTAATTCAGCATTACTATGATTATGTTAAATGTTGTGTCTCAGGGCTCTGCGGTGTTTTAGAAACCAAGGAAGGAATACTTCCAATAAGGGAAACAATAAAGGTTTGTTTAAGGAAGCCAAGATTTCTACCTGACAGTGTGGGGGGCCTCATACCACTGGATGAAGAGTTTTTTGTTGTTTGTTTTTTGAGACGGAGTCTCGCTCTGTCCCCCAGGCTGGAGTGCAGTGGCGCCATCTTGGCTCACTGCAACCTCTGCCTCCCGGGTTCAAGCAATTCTCCTGCCTCAGCCTCCCAGGTAGCTGGGATTACAGGCACGCACCACCACACCCAGCTAATTTTTTTGTATTTTAGTAGAGACGGGGTTTCACCATGTTGGCCAGGCTGGTCTCGAGCTCCTGACCTCGTGATCTGCCAGCCTTGGCCTCCCAAAGTGCTGGGATTACAGGTGTGAGCCCCCATGCCCAGCCTGAAGCATTTTTTTAAGCCAGCTTTTGCCTGCCCTGTTGCAGTGACCTACCTGCCCTCCCTGGTTCTGCATCTCCCCTGTAGTATTCACAACACAGCAGCCAGAAGGATCCTTTTCCAACTGAAGTCATATGTCACTCTTCTGCTCAAACTCCTCCAGTGGCTCCCAAATTTGCTCCAAATAAAAGGCAAAATCCTTGCAATGAGCCACAAGGCCCTTATTCTCTGTGCCCATGCTACCTCTCTGACTTCAACTCACCTCAGGCTCCTGACCACTCATTCACCCCAGCCATGCCAGCCTCCTGGATGATCCCCAACACCCTGAGAACACTCTGACCTCAGGTCCTTTGTTCTGGAACTCTCTTCTCTCTAAATTCCTCTTCTCATGGGTTGTCACGCAGCTCATGTCCTCCTTCACTGAGTTCACTACTTGAATAATACTTTAAGACCTTCCCTGACTACTTTGCAAAGTAATCACCCCCATCTCTACCCCACCCCCAGACTCACTATTCCTCTTACCTGTGTATTTCTCCATAACTTTTCCTCCACCTAACATGTTATATATGTGTTAGTTCATTTATTTATTGGCTATCCTCTCCACCGCACACACACACACACACACACACACACACACACTCTTTTCCTTCTATCAAATCCCCACCACCTAGAATAGAACACATAGTAAGTGCTTTATAAATATTGAATGAGTGAATGCCTCTGCTGATGTTGTTTCTGGGGCAGGACCTTCCCCTCCCTGACTGGTCTGTCTTTAGAACTTTATTTTCTAAGCTCCAGCTCACTCATGTAACTTCTTACTATCGCTCCAACCCCAAACCTGCACTTTCCTGCAGAGAAGATGTCTGTTTCCATGTAGGTATTACCATACATGGCTTCCTGGGCTGGGGATGGCCTTTAGAGGCATCTGCAAAGCAGTTTGCCATCGGAAATGGGAGAAAATAAGTGCGGGAAGAAGCCCTGCCCTGACGTCTGGAGGGGCAGCTGGGCTGAGTGGTTCTGTGAGGGGCCTTGAGGTTGGCTGTCCCATCTCGATCCACCTGTTTACTGGGATTCCTGGGCCCTGGGAGCTGTTCTCCTGGCCAAAACTAAGCTTTGCTGTGGTCTGCCTATATCAAGTGTGGCCCATCAAGGCCTGGAAGAGGGGGAAGAGACCAGTCTGGGACCCTGTCCTTTTTCCTTCCCCCTTTCCAATCACAAATCTTCAGAGTCCCCAACCTACAGCATTCACTTGGCTGCAAAAGTTGATCAAAGAATGATCGTAGGGCTTCCGCCTTGCCTGGCCCCCCTTGCACGCTGCAGGTCTGTGTCAAGCCATGGACACAGCTCTCTGTTCCGGAGGATGGAGTGTGTTAAAATTGTTAAGAGTAAGGCCTACTTTAAGAGATACAGATGACATTTAGAAGACCAGTGGGTTAAACTGATTACTATGCTCAGACACACTTGGTAATCCAGGATGAAAATAAGTAGAACACACCAAAATTCAGGATAGTTCATGCAACTAACAGAGAGATCATTTGTCATATGGTTTTTGCCCACACAGAAGGGAATATGATTGTCTGCACAGCATATGTTCATGAATGTCTAAAGTGTAGCATGAAGGTTGGCCAGCCAGATTATGATGCAGCACATTGTACTGGCCTGTGCTGACCCGAAGGCCCCTCAATAGTCTTGGCATGGACAACACCTATGAAGGTCAAGTGGAGGTGAGCAGAGATGGGTATCACATGGGAAGCATTGATGGTTACTTGGTGCCTTCACTTGCTACTTGCCAGAACTACCAACGGAAATAAAGGTAGGGGGGCCCTGAAGGGAGGTGTGGATTGAGGTTTTCTATCCCTCACAGTTACCAAACAATTCCCTGGTTCCAATTCAGAAAGCAGGGAGTTCAATGCAGAAGCACATCCTGGGTCAGAAGATCGCAGATTATATGCATTACCCAATGTAAGAAGATGAAGATGTTTACAAGAAACAATTTTCTCAATACATAAAGAACAACATAACTCCAGTCATGACGGAGAGACATGTAAGAAAGCTCATGATGCTGAACAAGAGAATCCAGTTCACGAGAGGAAGCCTGGGGAAGAAGTTAAGAAAAGGTGGAACCATCCCAAGACGTCCCCTGTCCAGAAGAAAGACTGAGTAGCTCAGAAGGCAAGTTTTCTAAGAGCTCAGGAGCAGGCTGCTGAGCGCTAAGCCAAACAACTATTTTCTTGTCTTTTCTTTTTCCTTTTTCTTTTTTTTTTTCAGAGACAGAGTCTCGCTCTGTCACCCAAGTCAGAGTGCAGTGGCACAATCATAGCTCACTGTAGCCTCCAACTCCTGGGCTCAAGCAATCCTCCCCCACTTGGCCTTCCAAGTACTTAGGAATATAGGCACGTTCCACCACGTCTGGCAAATAGTCATTTTCTATAAGATTATTCAGATAAAAACAATAAACTTATTGACCAAGCAGCTTAAAAAAGAAAATTAAAGGAAGGGTCTCAGCCAGAGGTTCTGCCTCGTCTAACCCACCCCTGCTTTCTTACCTGCCCCATCCCACCTCTCAGTCCTCCTTCCCTGGTAGCTTCTTCCTGTGCATTACTGAGATCCCTGGCAACTTCCACCTCATCTTCTGCAGGAGGCCTCTGGGCTAGGGACCCCTTGAAAAAGCTTTACCCCCTCTTAAGCTTCTGGTGGAGGGCCTGAGGTCCCATCTCCTTTGGACCCCTGCTCAGGGTCCCCTGTGCAGTCTTCTTACTCAGTAAAACCTCAACTGCCAGGTCTGACTTTTCACCATTAGCATTTTATTTCTTGAGTTAAATCAGGGGTAGCAAATCTATCTATCAACCCCAATCAATGGGCAGCTGTAGCAGCTGCCTGGAGCCCTGTGCTGAGGGCTCTGTGGCCACACATGGGCTAATGGAAAGGAGCAGCAATCATGTGATATGGGTGCTGGTGGAAGAAATGATGGCATGTGGACACCTTTGCCATCCCTGGGTTAGACATCACCCTGCCTGGGCCACTCTTTCAGAATGCAAACCTGTAGAAGGACAGGAGAAAGTGGAGCTAGTGGTAGTCACACACCGAGTTCCCAGCAACTCTTCCCAACCCATCACTGGATGCCTCTGTTTCTGCCTAAAAGGTTGGGGAGCCCCGAGCATGGACAAAAATAGAAATCAGAAAGTGGGGAGCTGGGAAAATCTACACTGCCATCTCTGGCCAAGGGGCTATCATATGCACAAAGCATCCCCACTCCCACCAGGAGGCTCTATCAGTTTGTGCCCCTGGGAGTGAATGGAGATGCCCTGGGGCCTTGTCTGGTCCCTGGTCCCTGGTCCCACAAGAAGATGAGGAAGATAAAGCCTGATAGACACCAAGCCAGGCTGGCCAGATATTCCAGACAATGTCACTGAAACTTTCCAGATCTCTCATGTTCCACGGTGGGTAGAGAAGGGAAGGACATGAAGGCTGTTCCTGGGGGGCCAGAGTCACTGACATTACTCCCTTATTCTCCTTCTCCCTCACCCCAAAGGATAAGCATACACCCCAGGATTAAAGTAAGAAATCATTGTGTCAGAGGCCTTCCAACCAGAGTGACTCCATCTTGAATAGGGGCTGGATAAAATAAGGGTGAGACCTGCTTGGCTACATTCCCAGAGGGTTAGGCATTCTTAGTCACAGGATGAGATAGGAGGTTGGCACAAGATACAGGTCACAGACCCTGCTAATAAATCAGGATGTGGTAAAGAACCCAGCCGAAACCCACTGAAACCAAGATGGCAATGAAAGTGACCTCTGGTCATCCTCAATGCTTATTCTATGCTAATCATAATGCATTAGCATGCTAAAAGACACTCCTATCAGTGCCATGACAATTTACAAACACCATGGCAACACTCAGAAGTTATCCTATATAGACTAAAAAGGGGAGGGATCCTCAGTTCTGGGAAATCTCTTCCCCTCTCCATGAAAACTCATGAATAATCCACCCGTTTTAGCATATAATCAAGAAATAACCATAAAAATCTTGAACCAGCAACCCTTGGGGCTGCTCTGCCCATGGAGTAGCCACTCTTTTTCCCTTTCCTTTACTTTCTTAATAAACTTGCTTTCTCACTTTACTCTACGGACTTGCTTTGATTTCTTTCTTGTGTGAGATCTGAGAACCCTCTCTTGGGGTCTGGATCCGGACTCCTTTCTGGTAACATCTTCCTGGCCACCATGAAGCGACTATACTGAAGAGACTTCTGACCCAAAGAAAAAGACTGCAGCACCAATTGGCCAACTCTGGATATGTGGTGGGGTACGTTTTACCTGGGTAAAGGATGGGATTGGGTTAGAAGCCCAACTTAGGAGAGTTAGAGTCCCTCCTAAGACAAAGAGGCTTAAAGGCCCCTGTTAATAAAAAGCAACGACGCTTGACCAAACCTGGGTTAAAGGCTTAACTTAGAAAAATTAGAGTCCCTTCTAAGCCATAGGGGGTGGCTGGGCGCGGTGGCTCATGCCTGTAATCCCAGCACTTTGGGAGGCCGAGGCGGGTGGATCACCTGAGGTCAGGAGTTCGAGACCAGCCTGGCCAACATGGTAACCCCACCTCTACTAAAAATACAAAATTAGCCGGGTGTGGTGGTATGTGCCTGTAATCCCAGCTACTCGGGAGGCTGAGGCAGGAGAATTGCTTGAACCTGGGAGGCAGAGGTTGTAGTGAGCCGAGATCGCACCACTGCACTCCAGCCTGGGCGACAGAGTGAAACTCCATCACAAACAAACAAACAAACAAACAAACAAAAATCCTGGCCGGCGCGGTGGCTCACGCCTATAATCCCAGCACATTGGGAGGCCAAGGCGGTGCGTCAGGAGATCAAGACCATCCTGGCTAACACCGTGAAACCCCGTCTCTACTAAAAATACAAAAAATTAGCCGGGCGTGGTGGTGGGCACCTGTAGTCCCAGTTACTCTGGAGGCTGAGGCAGGAGAATGACGTGAACCCGGGAGGCGGAGGTTGCAGTGAGCCGAGACTGCGCCACTGCACTCCAGCCTGGGCGACAGAGCGAGACTCTGTCTCAAAAAAAAAAAAAAGTATTTACCTTACATACAGGTAATGCGTGTATAAACACATACGCAAATAACACCTCTGAGGCCCGCAGGTCACTGCCACCTCTAACGGCCCCATTGGACTGTGAATTCCAGTGGGCCCAGCCATTCTCCCTCAGCCATGACTGGATCCGCAGGTCCCAACACAAGCCTCTCATCCAGCAGGCGCTCAACAAACACTCAAGTAACCCATCAGGCCCAGTTTTTGGAGAAGCCTGGGACTCACCTTGAGGGAAAGGATGTCCTCTGCGCGGATGACGAACTCGTCCTGCTCACGGAAAATGCCCTCTCCGCCACTCTCGTCAGCCTTCTAGTCCGTCTCTCCACACACGGCCGCCGTCTCCTGCTTCTTGGCCAGGTGCAGAGGCCAGGTGTCCGGCAGCTCAGCGTCCTCGGGGGATGGGGGGCGGGCTCCCCTGGAGGGGCAGCCGGTGGGGCAGCGGCTGGCGGGGGTGGCAGTGGAGGCGAAGGCATAGCTGGTGGAGGTGGCAGCGGTGGTGGCGGTGGTGAGCTGGACGTGGGGGCCACCAGCGGGGGTGGTGAGGGCAGGGCTGGCTGTGGCGGCGGAGCGGGTGGGAGAGGCTGAGGAGTCGGGGCTGGAGGTGGAGTGGGTGGAGATTTCTTCTCCAGCAGAGGGGGCTCTTTCTGTATTTTGTAAATTTTTCTTTCTGTATTTTTCTGTCATAAAAAGGGGTACCTTAGGATGAAGCACAACTCCAGCCTGGGCAACACAGCAAAAAACTCCATCTCAAAAAGAAGAAAGAGAGAAAGAGAAAAAAAGAAAGAAAAGAGAAAGACAGTGGTTAGAAAGAAAAGAGAAAGACAGTGGGTCAGAGGTCCCCCTCAGTAACATCCCTCTTGGTTAGAAATGGATTTGGCACTATGAAATGTTAACTGCTATTCTCTGGATTAATCTGCCTTGCACTGTTTGCTGATGGCTACAGGTGACTGGATTAGGCATGTACAGGATCTTGGAACATGGGGAACTTTTTTCTCCCCAGAGGGGGCAACTTGAGAGCTGATGGGACTGCTGGAAAAGATCCCTTTGTGACTGACAAGTACCTGCCTGAACTTTTGATTCAGTGTTGCTGCAATGGGTGGGTATTCCTCTGGTCTCCCTGAGCTCCCCGCTTCCCCACCCTGCCTCAGACCAGGCTTCTCTCTCTTACTCTCTCTTTCTCTCCTTTTCTTTTCCTATCGTTTCTGTTACTTGAGACTACCTGCTCTTCCATCTTGCCCAGAGACCACATGTTGAAATTCCGGGTCGGAGGTCACTCCACCCCACTTTGAATGGATTAAAGATGACAAGGCCCAACCGGGGGCAAGTTTGAGCCTTGCCAGTTAGATATTGGGTGCTAAGCAGAGCGGCTAATGTCTATGTTTTGTCACACGTATTTTGCTCTGGCTGGAATGGAAAATGTTCATTTGGTTACCCCATGCAACCCACTGGGCAGCATCTTACAAAATTGAGATTTTTTTTTTTTTAATTTTGTGTTGCAGCTTGGCCTCCAGGGCTATGATGCAGCAAGTAGATTCGCTAGGGCCACTCAGGGAAAGGGAACCCAGAAACCTGGCATGCCAGCAAAAGGGTAAGAATTTCTTACCAGTCAGACTTCTGGCCTCTCTCTGTGCGCGCCGACTGTAGGAATGGTAAAAATCACTGCCTCCTCTGCAAAGTTTCAATTAATGAAACAAAAGCCTTCATGTGGCTAGTATTAAGCTGTAGCAAATCTGGTGTAATTTGTGCTATGAATTTGTCTTTCTGTATTTTTCTGTCATAAAGAGAGGTACCTTAGGATAGAATATGGGCTTAGGACCCGGTAAGCTTGCTGTTCAAGCCAGTCCGGCACACTGGTCAGTTACAAACTTTGCGGCAGGTCCCTGAAACAAACAAAAAACTGACTGAAGTTTTCCCCTTGTCTTATGCCCTTGGAAGCTTGACCTTGTAACCATATGGTGGTATACCTTCTTAGTCTCCAGCATCCAGAGGACAGGAATTTTGAGGTTCACGTCATAGCCCTAAAAATTGTCTTGAGCAGTTAAAAGCCTTTGCAAGCTCAAAATTGGCTGCCTCTAGGGTCCTTCTAAGAAAAGAAATGGAAACTGCCCAATGCTGAAGCTTAGTAGCTAAGGTTTTGTCTTTTCACAATGGCAGCCCACATTCAGGGTTCAATTCCCAGCTCAGGGAATTAGTCCTTTCTAGTTTGATATCTACGTGAGCTTTGCCATTTGTTGATTCTCTGCCCCTCCTTGAACAACATCTGGCTTTCCTTTTTGAATTTTCCCTTCTCTAAGCTGCCTTTGTAGATTCTAAATCTTGTAAAAACTGCTTACCACCTGTTTGAAAATACTTCGTACACCTGTGGTTAAGTCACAACCTTAGTTAAGGCTTATTGGTTTCACCTGGGAGATTACCTTTGGTAAAGTTTAAAGGCCATAAATATTGGCTGTTTGTCCCGGCTAGAGTCTGGTAATAAGAGATTTTGTTAAAAGTTAGCTTAATTAAAAGCAGATATCCAAGCTATACGTATATTTAAAAGGTCTTTATGTTTTTTTCTCTTCTTGGATCTTATGAAGAAAAAAGTATTTTTTTTTACCAGGGGAAAACAAGACAAGGGGAAAAAAAAGGTATTTTTTTTTTCACAGTCAACTGAATTGTTTCTCTGTTTTGCCTTCTTGCCACTCTTGATGCACATGTGAGAGGACCTAAGATAATTTCTAATAGCCTTGGACTCCTTGAGAAAAACAGAGGAGGTGCCACAGACCCCGTTTTAGGGAAAACATCTGTTTTCCTCATTAAGACCCAGGGATTGGAAGCAGATAGATCTCTCTCAAAAGCTAAGGCTCTGTTCTGTTTTGCATTGCGTTATTTGACATTTTTTACTTTTTAGAGTATCAGAAATTACTTCACATTATGAGTGAGCTTTGGTGTGTAATAACTAGGTAGCAAATATACTTTTGGGCATGGCCAGTGGCAGTTATGGCGGGATACTTGGCTCTCTGCACGTTTGGATCAGAGAGGCGTGCTCTCAGCCACCTGGAAGGTATGGAAACATCCCCATCCCCCACCCCACCACTGAGATAAGGCTTCCGTGGGGGATAGGCTGATCACAGAATGGGCTGATTGACTCTGGGTTGTCTTGCAATGAAACTCACAGTAAGATCATTCATTGTCTTGTTCTGTAGTATTTCTTTTTTGGGAATTGAGGATCCGGTATAAAAATAGGACCCTGAATTTTGGGGGATCTGTTTTGCTTTCCATCTGTATCTGCTTATTAAGCCCTAGAAACGGCATGTTTTCCTAACCCTGTTCCTCAAAGGACCCCACCCTGAAGCCAGTAATCCAATTAAGAAACTTAAAAACTGCCAAATGAAAAATCGTAACAACTACTGGATCTTCTGCTGTCTGTATATTTATATGTGTTGTGTGTGTGACATTTATATATGAAGGAGCTCTGATTAATTGGCTTAAAAATAAGCGCTTAAATATTTTGTCAGGAAAATAAAAACTAATGCCTTTTAGTTCACGTGACTTTAGTAAGCTTTGGAAGGACAGTTTAAAAAATTATTGGTAAAATAAAGACATTTGGTCTAAATTAGGTCAGATAATTAGGTTTGCTAAACGCTTTAAGATCATGAACTGCTTCTTTGACTTTTGAAAAGTCAAAGAAGAGCTATTCTTTGAGCTATTAGATTCTAGGTAAGGCCTGTGGACATGCGGAGTTAGGGATGCCCCCTCACTATGATGGAAGGATAACTTATCTGCATTTTTGTCTCGTATCTTAGGCTCCACACCTGCTACAAAATTAAAAATCACTCACTTATCAGGTTTTTCAGCAACAACAAAAGTTTCTAAGAGTTAACAGTGTAACATGCAATGGAGACTACTACAGAAACGTTTTACATGCAAGGTGTGTCAGGAAAGTGAAATGTGTTTTTGGTAAAAGATTATAAGAAGGCATGGAAATGTGGGAGTTTTTTGGCTACACTAGTTTAGAGGGTTAAAGGTTTTAACTAAGATAGCATAAAGCTGAAGGTTTGAGCAAGTTGTGATAGGTTTGTGAAAGATTAATCTGGTAAAAGAAATTTTATATGTGAACATATTGGCTAAAGCTAAAGTGACATTATTCAGTTTTTCTGTAAATTGAACATTGGAATAAAAGCACAAAAGGATTTCCTTGGAGCACTGATCTGCTCTTTAACAAAAATTGTAAAGGGTCATAAGATTTATAAGAATCTTACCTTAGGGTCAAACATTAAAATTGAAGAGATTTGTCTAAGGTTCTACTAAGAATTGGGTTTGATATTAATAGTACACTAATGCAAAGGTGAAATTTGGCTTTCTCTTGAACAAGATTTTCCATGAATAAAGTTTTTTGCCTTTTTAAAATTTTTGAGTTATTTTGGCTAGATGACTTATGGTGGCCTATGATTCTCTTCTATAATATCAAGTGTTTTAAACCTTTGATAGTAACAAACTTTCCAAAACCAAATTATAAATTATGTCTTTTTCTGACCTAATTAATCTTATAGCTATTAGGTCCCCTAAAGTCCAAAAATGACATATTTGGCTTATTTGGTATAAAAATCATACAGGAAGCATTGTCAAATATGAAATGGTGTTTGGCTTTCTTTGGGCTGTATTTGTATAAATATGTTATTAGTATATGTTCCAAAATTACTGGAAAGTCCTGTAATTCTGATATGGCTTAGTGTATGTAATTAATAATTATAATTGTTGTGTAAAATTGTATGCCACAGAAGTAACCAAAATTGTCAAATGTGGCTTTAGTAGTGGCTGTCCTAAGACTTTTTGTCACCCACAATTATTGTCTTGTTTTGATTCTCTTCAAAAGGTGGTTTATAATCAGCTATAGGACTTTGACAGGTGCTCTTGAATGCAGGTTTCTGATACCTTTGGAGATTGTGACATTAGAATCGAGGAAAAAACTTTCAGGACTCTCATGGAGAGCTGAAATGTTTATGAATATCAAGCAGAACAGGTGTTAACTGCATAGACTGAACTAATAGAAGACTAAAATAACCCTTCTATGACTTTTTACTTAAAACATTGCTGATCTTTGTTTTTCAGAGCCAAGAAAACTTTTATTTGTAACTTTAAAAAATAAAAATAAGATGCAGTCTCTCTCTGTTGCCCAGGCTGGAGTGCAGTCGTGTGACCTGAGCTCATTCCACCTCCACCTTCCGGGTTCAAGCAGTTCTCCTGCCTCAGCCTCCCAAGTAGCTGGGATTACAGGTGCATGCCACCATGCCTGGCTAATTTTTGTATTTTTAGTAGAAATGGGGTTTGGCCATGTTGGCCAGGCTGGTCTCAAACTCCTGATCTCAGGTGAGCCACCCGCCTCGGCCTCCCAAAGTGCTGGGATTACAGGCGTGAGCCACTGCACCCGGCCCAGTGATCATTTTAGAGAGACAGTTTAACCACTACCTGACCATCACCTGATCGTCACCTGACATTCCTGGGCGTGTGAGGGGGGAGCCCTCTCCTGTCCTGCTCATGTCTAACTACCTACTCTAACAGATGGAAAGAGATGATAGAGATAGGGAGTGGGGAGAGAAGTAGAAGGGGACACTATGGAGAGAGAGGAAAGTACATAGAGAGAGGGGCATTAAGAGAGGGAGTATGGAGAGGGGGAGGATGGAGAGGAAGGAATAGAGGAGAGAGAAAGAGAATAGAGTGAGGCATAGAGGGGGAATAGAAAGGAAAAGAGGAAGAAATAGAGAAGGGAGAGAGAAAGGATTGAGAGCTGGGGATACATATCTGAAAAGAAACCCAAGAAACTGAGAACATTTTTTGTCTTTATAGAAAACAACTTGGTGGCTGGGGTGGAAGGTGGAGACAGGGGATAAAGGGTGAAAGACACTTTTCATTGTATATCTTTTTTTAATCTTTTGAGTTTGGATGCATATGACTATATTACTTATATAAAATAAAACTTTGACTTAAAGTATCAACAAGAGAGGATCCTGGATTGCCATCTTTCTGTGTGGCCACTGGCAAGTAACCTCATGGAGTCCAGGTCTATGACAGGGGTATGTTGTTAACTGCTCTGGGGATTGTTTTGAGGACCCAGAGGATCTCATAAGCAAACCTCCCAGCACCGTGTCTGGCACCTGGTGCATGCTGCTGCTTATCAGCACCCCCAGCAATGAATCTGAGTGACTTTGGAAGCACCCCACCACCTGTCTGAGCCTCGTTTTTCTCATCCATCCTCCTGGAGGAATAATGACCAGATTCATAGGGTTGATGCAGGGATCCACCAGGAGAATGCTAACACCTACCAGATGATCCTTCTCTGGACTTCATGCCTGGATGATCTGGTCACACCCTTAACACTTGCCCACCCACCTCAACCCAAGTCAGGGGAGACAGAGACAGAACGTGCTGAAAGTGGTTACTTTATTGGTTGGGAAAGGGAGAAGCTGTGGTCAGCCCAAGAGGGAATACAGAGTCCCGAAAAAGGGGAGGGCAGGTGGGCTGGAACCAGATGCAGGGCCAGGCAGAAACTTTCTCTCCTCACTGCTCAGCCTGGTGGTGGCTGGAGCTGGAGGAAGAAAATTATAACAATACCATCAACAACAATATCCATTAGACTAGGCAGGAGTACCTGCAGCTTAAATCCTAGACCAGCTCCTTGACCCCACCCCATCCCACACACCCACACAGCAAAGCCTCACCTTCTGGGGGCTCTGCTTGCATTTTCTACAGGTTCTAGACATACTCTTCTCCTTCAGACCATCCCTAGCAGGTACCTGGGTATACTGTGGTCAGACCATCCCTAGCAGGCACCTGGGTATACTGTGGTCCCAGATGTCCACTGTGGCCTTCCTGAGGGGTCATGGCCATTTCTCTCCCCAAGAATCCTTCTACTATTAGGAAGTTCTGCCATGCCTTCTTCTTTAGGTTAAAATGGGATTATCTGATCAATTAGATCTTATTTAGCTACATTTTATAAGCGAGATAACTGTGACTCAGGGAGGTGAGAAGGTTAGGTAAGTGTCAGAGCTAACATTTGAACCAAGGTCTTCTTGACTGCAAAGCCTATCCATGCAGTTGGCATCTGAGAGCCCTGGCTCCAGGGAGACCATAGCTTAGTTTAGAGAAACCATAGTTCCCTCTCGGGCACCAAGAGCACACCCCCTCTCTAGATTTCAATTGCTCATCTCTGCACTATTGGATTCTATCAGTTATCTTCAGGTTACTTTGCTGAGAAATTGTTAAAAGTAGCACATGACAACCACGAGATTTCAACCCAAGGGTACCACCAAGCTGTTTTTTGTTTGTTTGTTTTTAATTTGAGATGGAGTTTCGCTCTTGTTGCCCAGGCTGGAGTGCAATGGCGTGATCTCAGCTCACCACAACCTCTGTCTCCCAGGTTCAAGCAATTCTCCTGCCTCAGCCTCCTGAGTAGCGGGTGGGTGGCACCCGCCACCACACCCATTAAATTTTTTTTTTTTTTTTTGGTATTTTTAGTAGAGACGGGGTTTCTCCATGTTGGTCAGGCTGGTCTTGAACTCCCGACCTCAGGTGATCCGCACACCTCAGCCTCCCAAAGTGCTGGGATTATAGGCATGAGCCACCACACCCAGCCAAGCTCTTGCTTATTCTGTTCCCTCTGCCTGAGACAGCCTCCCCAATGCAGCTCATCAGACTACCCACCTTTCACTCTTCTTTTAGAACAGGCTGAGGGTCACCCCACTGGTATACCTTTCCCAACTGTCCCTGCAACTAACCTCCCTTCACCTCCGCCTGGGTGACGTTTTCTCCTGTTTCCCACAACACCTGGCCATCAATGCACTTTCTCTTTCCCGTTCACTTACCTCAGAAATTGGGAGTGACACAGGACACCTTCCCACAGCCATTGCGGCAGCATTTCATCTGGCCAGGACACTGGCTGTCCACCTGGCACTGGTCCCGACAGAGGCCGAGCTGGGGAAAGTTAATGTTCACCTGGGGGCAGGAACCCTCCTTATCTGGGTAGAAAAAGGAGTAAGGGTAAGTGGGCAGAGGCGATACAGGGAGATTAACTTGTACCTGCAGCATGGCCCCCCCACTGCCCCTCACTGGGCTTCACATACAGCAGAGCTGCCTGCCTGAGTCCATCTTGGGCACCTGAGCTGCTCTCAGGAGGCCCAGGAAGATCACCTGCAAATCCCTCCTCCTGCTCCCAAATGGAATCACAGGACCTCAGCTTGAGTCCCAAGTGGGCCTTCGTGGCCTAGGGCCAGAAATCTCCCAGAGCCTCCGTGTCTTTAGGTGCCAGTGGAACAGTGCTAATTACAACATAGGGTTGTTGTGAAAGCAGTGGGAAACAAACATATATTATTTCTCCCTGAAATATCAAACTACTCTGTAGTTATGAGAAATTATAACAGTGAACACTTAATTAGCTCTTATTACATGCCAGGTATCAAGCCCCTAACATATATTAACTCTTCTAATTCTCACAATAATCCTAAAAGAAGGGGAGGGATCTGTTAATATTTCCTTGTGTTACAAGTGAGGAAACTGAGGCACTGAGAAGTTAAGTAATTTGCCTAAGGTCACACAGAATTGAGGCAGAATTTGAACCCCAAGAAATCTAGCTGCAGAGTCTATGTGTTAACTGCTGCTGCCATGGTTAAGCACTATGCTGCCACTTAAAGTGTAAAGTACAGTACACATGTGAGGGGTTACACACTTATAATCTTCACTCATACCCACAGACCGAATCCCAGTTGCAGTCTCTCAGCACCATGACCCTCCAAATACACTCATTCATCCATGCAGAGAGAAACCACACGTCCTTCCACTAACAAACACACACACAATCACACTCCACTTCCCAGGTTAGATAGAGGGGAGCCAGGCCCAGCCAAATCCATTCATCAACTGAGGTACATCATGGTTGCTTCCAACTTTTGGCAATTATAAATAAAGCTGCTATAAATATGTGCAGGTTTTTGTGTGTAAAACACAGGCACAGAACTGGGTGATTAGCTGTAGAGGACAAGGAAAGTGGCTGACAGATCACCGGGTGCAGTGGCTCATGCCTGTAATCCCACACTTTGGGAGGCTCAGGCGGGTGGGATCATCGGAGGTCAGGACTCGAGACCCCCCGCTCTACTAAAAATACAAAAAAGTTAACTGGGCGTGGTGGCATGCACCGGTAATCCCAGCTACTTGGGAGGCTGAGGCAGGAGAATCGCTTGCACCTGGGAGACAGAGGTTGTAGTGAGCTGAGATCATGCCACTGCACTCCAGCCTGGGCGACAGAGCGAGACTCCATCTCAAAAAAAAAAAAGATTTAGGTTCAGCTTTCAAGATGGCCGAATAGTAACAGCTCCAGTCTGCAGCTCCCAGTGAATCAATGCAGAAGGCAGGTGATTTCTGCATTTTCAAATGAGGTACGTGGCTCATCTCATTGGGACTGGTTAGACAGTGGGTGCAGCCCACGGAGGGCGAGCAGAAGTAGGGTAGGGCATCATCTCACCTGGGAAGCACAAGAGGTCAGGGAACTCCCTCCCCTAGCCAAGGGAAGCCATGAGGGACTGTGCCGTGAGGAATAGTGCACTCTGGAGCAGATACTACACTTTTCCCACGGTCTTCACAACCCACAGACCAAGAGATTCCTTTGGGTGCCTACACCACCAGGGCCCTGGGTTTCAAGCACAAAACTAGGTGGCCATTTGGGCAGACACTGAGCTAGCTGCAGGATTTTTTTTTCATACCCCAGTGGTGCCTGGAATGCCAGTGAGACAGAACCATTCACGCCCCTGGAAAGGGGGCTGAAGCTAGGGAGACAAGTGGTCTAGCTCAGCGGATCCCACCCCCATGGAGCCCAGCAAGCTAACATCCACTGGCTTGAAATTCTCACTGCCAGCACAGCAGTCTGAAGTTGACCTGGAACTCTCAAGCTTGGTAGGGGGAGGGGCGTCCACCATTACTGAGGCTTGAGTAGGCAGTTTTCCCCTCACAGAGTAAACAAAGCCACCAGGAAGTTCAAACTGGGCAGAGCCCAACACAGCTCGGCAAAGCCGCTGTAGCCAGACTGCCTCTCTAGATTCCTCCTCTCTGGGCAGGGCATCTCTGAAAAAAAGGCAGCAGCCCTAGTCAGGGGCTTATAGGTAAAACTCCCATCTCCCTGGGACAGAGCACCTGGGGGAAGGGGCAGCTGTGGATGTGGCTTCAGCCTGCCTGCCGGTTCTGAAGAGAGCAGCAGATCTCCCAGCACAGCATTTGAGCTCTGCTAAGGGTCAGACTGCCTCCTCAAGTGAGTCCCTGATTTCCGTGTCTCCTGACTGGGAGACACCTTCCAGCAGGGGCTGACAGACACCTCATACAGGAGAGCTCTGGCTGGCATCTGGCGGGTGCCCCTCTGGGACAAAGCTTCTAGAGGAAGGAACAGGCAGCAATCTTTGCTGTTCTGCAGCCTCTGCTGGTGATAGCCAGGCAAACAGGGTCTGGAGTGGACCTCCAGCAAACGCCAACAGACCTGCAGCTGAGGGGCCTGATTGTTAGAAGGAAAACTAACAGAAAGGAATAGCATCAACATCAACAAAAAGGACGTCCACTCAGAAGGCCCATCCAAAGATCATCAACATCAAAGACCAAAGGTAGATAAATCCACGAAGATGGGGAGAAACCAGCACAAAAAGGCTGAAAATTCCAAAAACCAGAACACCTCTTCTCCAAAGGATCACAATTCCTCGCCAGCAAGGGAACAAAACTGGACGGAGAATGAGTTTGACAAATTGACAGAAGTAGGCTTCAGAAGGTGGGTAATAACAAACTCCTCCAAGCTAAAGGAGCATGTTCTAACCCCAATGCAAGAAAGGTAAGAACCTTGAAAAAAGGTTATAGGAATTGCTAACTAGATTAACCAGTTTAGAGAAGAACATAAATGACCTGATGGAGCTGAAAAACACAGCACGAGAACGTCATGAAGCCTATACAAGTATCAATAGCCGAATTGATCAAGCAGAAGAAGGATATCAGAGATTGAAGATCAATTTAATGAAATAAAGAATGAAGATGAGATTAGAGAAAAAATAATGAAAAGGAATGAATGAACAAAGCCTCCAAAAAATATGGGACTATGTGAAAAGACCAAACCTATGTTTGATTGATGTACCTGAAAGTGATGGGGAGAATGGAACCAAGTTGGAAAACACTGTTCAGGATATTATACAGGAGAACTTCCCCAACCTAGCAAGAAAGGCCAACATTCAAATTCAGGAAATACAGAGAACACCTCAAAGATACTCCTTGAGAAGAATAACCCCAAGACACATAATCATCAGATTCACCAAGGTTGAAATGAAGAAAAAAATGTTAAGGGCACCCAGAGAGAAAGGTTGGGTTACCCACTATGGGAGGCCCTTCAGACTAACTGCAGATCTCTCTGCAGAAACCCTGCAAACCAGAAGACAGTGGGGGCCAATATTCAATATTCTTAAAGAATTTTCAACCCAGAATTTCATATCCAGCCAAAGTAAGCTTCATACATGAAGGAGAAATAAAATCCTTTATAGACAAACAAATGCTGAGGGATTTTTCTCATCAACAGGCCTGCCTTACAAGGTCTCCTGAAAGGAGCACTAAACATAGAAAGGAACAACTGGAATCAGCAACTGCAAAAACATACCAAATTGTAAAGACCATCGACACTATGAAGAAACTGCATCAACTAATAGACAAAATAACCAGCTAGCATCATAATGACAGGATCAAACTCACACATAACAATATTAACCTTAAATGTAAACAGGCTAAATGCCCCAGTTAAAAGACAAAGACTGGCAAATTGGATAAAGAGTCAAGACCCATTGGTGTGCTGTATTCAGGAGACCCATCTCAAGTGCAAAGACACATAGGCTCAAAATAAAGGGATAGAGGAATATTTACCAAGCAAATGGAAAGCAAAAAAAAATCAGGGGTTGCAATTCTATTCTCTGATAAAACAGACTTTAAACCAACAAAGATCAAAAGAGACAAAGAAGGGCATTACACAATGGTAAAGGGATCAATGCAACAAGAAGAGCTAATTATGCTAAATATATATGCACCTAATACAGGAGCACCCTGATTCATAAAGCAAGTTCTTAGAGACCTACAAAGAGACTTAGACTCCGACATAATAATAGTGGGAAACTTTAACCCCCACTGTCAATATTAGACAGATCAATGAGACGGAAAATTAACAAAGATATCCAAGACTTGAACTCAGCTCTGGACCAAGCAGACCTAATAGACATCTACAGAACTCTCCACCCCAAATCAACAGAATATACATTCTCCTCAGCACCACATCACACTTATTCTAAAACTGACCACATAATTGGAAGTAAAACACTAATTAGCAAATGCAAAAGAACGGAAATCCTAACAGTCTCTCAGACCACAGTGCCATCAAATTAGAATTCAGGATTAAGAAACTCACTCAAGACCGCATAACCTTACATGGAAACTGAACAACCTGCTCCTGAATGACTACTAGGTAAATAACAAAATCAAGGCAGAAATAAATAAGTTCTTTGAAACCAATGAGAACAAAGACATAACATACCAGAATCTCTGAGACACAGCTAAAGCAGTGCTTAGAAGGAAATTTATAGCACTAAATGCCCACAAGGGAAAGCAGGAAAGATCCAAAATTGACACCCTAACATCACAATTAAAAGAACTAGAAAAGCAAGAACAAACAAATTCAAAAGCTAGCAGAAGACAAGAAATAACTAAGATCAGAGAGAACTAAAGGAGATAGAGACATGAAAAACCCTTCAAAAAAAATCAATGAATTCACAAGCTGGGTTTTTGAAAAACATCAACAAAATAGTCTGACTGCTAGCCATACTAATAAAGAAAAGAGAGAAGAATCAAATAGACACAATAAAAAATGACAAAGGGGATATCACCACTGATCCCACAGAAATACAATCTACCATCAGAGAATACTATAAACACCTCTACGCAAATAAACTAGAAAACCTAGAAGAAATGGATAAATTCCTGGACACATACACCCTCCCAAGTCTAAACCAGGAAGAAGTCGAATCCCTGAATCGACCAATAACAAGTTCCAAAATTGAGGCAGTAATTAATAGCCTACCAACCAAAAAAAGTCTGGGACCAGACAGATTCACAGCCGAATTCCACCAGAGGTACAAAGAGGAGTTGCTGGTACCATTCCTTCTGAAACTATTCCAAACAATAGAAAAAGAGAGCCTCCTCCCTAATTCATTTTATGAGGCCAGCATCATCCTGATACTAAAACCTGGCAGAGACACAATAACAAAAAAATTTCAGGTTAATATCCCTGATGAACATCAGTGCGAAAATCCTTAATAAAATGCTGGCAAACCAAATCCAGCAGCACATCAAAAAGCTTATCCACCATGATCAAGTTGGCTTTGTCCCTGGGATGCAAGGCTGGTTCAACATACACAAATCAATAAACGTAATCCATCACATAAGCAAAATCAATGACAAAAACCACATGATTATCTCAATAGATGCAGAAAAGGCCTTTGATAAAATTCAACACCCTTCATGCTAAAACACTCAATAAACTAGGTATTGATGGAAGGTATCTCAAAGTAACAAGAGCTATTTATGACAAACCCACAGCCAATATCATACTGAATGGGCAAAAGCTGGAAGCATTCCCTTTGAAAACCGGCACAAGACAAGCATGCTCTCTCTCACCACCCCTATTCAACATAGCATTAGAAATTCTGGCCAGGGCAATCAGTCAAGAGAAAGAAATAAAGGGTATTCAATTAGGAAAAGAGGAAGTCAAATTGTCCCTGTTTGCAGATGAAATGATTGTATATTTAGAAAACCCCATTATCTCAGCCCAAAATCTCCTTAAGCTGATAAGAAACTGCAGTAAAGTCTCAGGATACAAATCAATGTACAAAAATCACAAGTATTCCTATACACCAATAATAGACAGAGAGCCAAATCATGAGTGAATTCCCATTCACAATTGCTACAAAGAGAATAAAATACCTAGGAATACAACTTACAAGGGAGGTGAAGGACCTCTTCAAGGAGAACTACAAACCACTGCTCAACGAAATAAGAGAGGATACAAACAAATGGAAAAACAATCCATGCTCATGGATAAGAAGAATCAATATCGTGAAAATGGCTATACTGCCCAAAGTAATTTATAGATTCAATGCTATCCCCATCAAGCTATCACTGACTTTCTTCACAGAATTAGAAAAAACGACTTTAAATTTCATATGGAACCAAATAAAAGCCCACATAGCCAAGACAATCCTAAGCAAAAAGAACAAAGCTGGAAGCATCACGCTAACTGACTTCAAGCTATACTACAAGGCTACAGTAACCAAAACAGCATGGTACTGGTACCAAAACAGATATATAGACCAACAGAACAGAACAGAGGCCTCAGAAATAACACTACACATCTACAGCCACCTGATCTTTGACAAACATGGCAAAAACAAGCAATGGGGAAAGGATTCCCTATTTAATAAATGGTGTTGGGAAAACTGGCTAGCCATATGCAGAAAACTGAAACTGGACCCCTTTCCTTACACCTTATGCAAAAATTAACTCAAGATGGATTAAAGACTTAAATGTAAGACCTAAAACCATAAAAACCCTAGAAGAAAACCTAGGCAATACCATTCAGGACATAGGCATGGGCAAAGACTTCATGACTAAAACACCAAAAGCAATGGCAACAAAAGCCAAAATTGACAAATGGGATCCAATTAAACTACAGAGCTTCTGCACAGCAAAAGAAACTATCATCAGAGTGAACAGGCAGCCTACAGAATGGGAGAAAATTTTTGCACTCTATCCATCTGACAAAGGGCTAATATACAGAATCTACAAGAACTCAAACAAATTTACGAGAAAAAAACCCCATTAGAACGTGGGCGAAGGATATGAACAGATGCTTCTCAAAAGAAGACATTTATGCAGCCAACAAACATGAAAAATGCTCATCATCACTGGTCATTAGAGAAATGCAAATCAAAACCACAATGAGATAACATCTCACACCAGTTAGAATGGAGATCCTTAAAAAGTCAGGAAACAACAGATGCTGGAGAGGATGTGGAGAAATAGGAATGCTTTTACACTGTTCGTGGGAGTGTAAATTAGTTCAACCATTGTGGAAGAGAGTGTGGCCATTCCTCAAGGATCTAGAACAAGAAATACCATTTGACCCAGCAATCCCATTACTGGGTATATACCCAAAGGATTATAAATCATTCTACAATAAAGACACATGCACACATAGGTTTATTGCAGCACTGTTCACAATAGCAAAGACTTGGAACCAACGCAAATGCCCAAGACACATGCACACATAGGTTTATTGCAGCACTGTTCACAATAGCAAAGACTTGGAACCAACCCAAATGCCCATCAGTGATGGACTGGATAAAGGAAATGTGGCACGTCTACACCATGGAATACTATGCAGCCATAACAAATGATGAGTTCATGTCCTTTGCAGAGACATGGATGAAGCTGGAAACCATCATTCTCAGCAAACTAACACAAGAACAGAAAACCAAATACCGCATGTTCTCACTCATAAGTAGGAGTTGAACAATGAGAACACATGGACACAGGGAGGGGAACATCACACACCAGGGCCTGTCGGGGGGTTGGGAATTAGGGGAGGCATAGCATTAGGAGAAACACCTAATGTAGATGACGGGTTGATGGGTGAAGCAAACCACCATGGCACATGTATACCTATGTAACAAACCTGCACGTTCTGCACGTGTACCCCAGAACTTAAAGCATAAATACAAAAAAAAATGTTGTTAAGTTGCCAACAGTCTTGACTTCCTAATACAAAGAAATTCATTCTCTTGAAAGGAGTAGGAACCTGTAATATTGGGCTGCCCTGGAAATAAATAGGGAACCATTTATGATCAAAACAAGCCACTGTGTATGGAGTATCTTCTCACTAATAGACACTTTAGATGCATTATTTCATTTAGTCCTCATGCCAATCCTATAGAGTTTGGAATTATTCCCATCTTAGAGCAGAGGCTCAGAGAGGTAAACAACATGCTCAGGATCACATAACTAGAAAATGGCAGAACTAGGATTCAAACCTCCAGGCTGCCTCCCTGGCTCAGGAGGCCATCTGACCTTGTCCCTCTTCCTGCCTCAGTCTGTCCATCTGAGATAAGGGAACAAATTCTTCATCCATCAAACAGCAAAGACTCCCTCCTTTGCTCCTCCACCTCTCTCATCTGGCTGCTGCCTGCTTTCTCTCCAAATCTTCCTCTCTCCTTCTGGTCCTCCTCTCCCTGGCCCAGAGGAGGGGACTCATGACCTTGAAGCTGCCCTTGGTGGGCTGCCAGTCCCCCTCCACTTACCACCTCCCTGCTGATCGGTGTCTTGGGTCACCGTATTACAAACCTTCCCAGCCTGTGCTGGCATCTTCAAGGAAATAACAGAGAGGAAAAGTCACAGGGGCTGTATTCTGGATAAAGAACATCATTACAGTACCTTGGTTCTCTCCAGGTCCTATCCCTGCCTCTAATCCTCAGCATTTTCCTCTGGAGAACGGAAAGCTGAGATTCCATGCTGTTTAAGCCACCCCCTGTTCTGATAGCCTGGTGGAGACTGCAGCTCCAGCAAGCACCTTTGAGAGAGTCCCCAGCTCGCGCTCACTCAATCCTTAGAGTGGAAGAGATTGACTGAAAGACGACGAAGGGCGATACAGTGTCCAGGGAGGATTCCTCACTTTCTTCGAATCACTCAGCCAGTTGGCCTGAAAGGCAAAAGCTGAACCCTCACTATGACTCCAGCAGCCATGGGATGGCGGTGTGACCTTGGGCAAGAACATTTTTTTCTCACCGATGCTCCCTTACACATCTTTAAGATGAGCGGGGCATTTTCCTAAATCTGTAAAGTTCCTTTCCGCCTGGACAGAGGAATTGGGGAAAATCTTGCCAGGCCAGGCTCTCCCAGTCTTTCCCCAGGGCTGGGGGAGGCCCCCAGGGAGGGACTCCAAGAGGAGAGGTGAGCGCCCCAGGCTCCGGGCTTTCCCGCAGGGCAGGCTTCGGCCGGTTCGAGAAGGAAACTGCGGCCCCGGGTCCCCAGGCCGCGGGGAACAATGTCCCGGCTGTGCGTGCCCGGAAGCCCGTCATGCACCAGAGACTCGAATCCCAGCTAGGGGTGGGGACCCCCCCTTGGCTGCGTTTCAACGACGCCTTTGTCTACCCCTGGGCCGTGCGAGGGAGAGGACTGACGGATCTGGTTTCAACCGCCTTGACTTTCCCGGGGGTCCCCGGGTCCGGGGGCGCCCCTGTTCCCGGAACCCGGGCCCTCCCACCTCCTCCCAGCCCAGCGCGGCCCCGCCCCGTTCCCGCTCGGCCGCCGTGGGGTTACCATTGGGCAGAGAGCAGAAGGTGGCACAGCCCGCGCTGCAGCACTTGAGGTTGTCGGCGCATTCGCTGTCCGAGACGCACTCTTGCGTGCAGTTCTGGTCAGCCTGGAGCTCGGGGCACACGCCAGTCTTCTCTGCTCCTGTGCCTGGGAGGGGAGGCCCGGGACAGTCGAGGGTGGGGCGTAGCGCCAGCCCCAGAGGATGCCCACCTCCTGCTCCAAACCTTAACCCCAAGGAATTCTCAGTCTCTGGCCCTAGGAGTCCCCTTACAGCCCCCAGAGACTCCTTCTTCCAGACCAGGAGTCCCTGACCCCTGGGAGTACGAGAGCTCCCTAACCCTTGGCGTCGGGGCCCTCAGATCTCAGCCCTAGGGGACGCCGCACAGCTGAGCGTCTCGGAGCTTCCGAGGTCGAGGCAGAGCAGCCCCCACCCCCAGCCCACTGCAGCCACGGAGTGTCCGCGTTCAGCACAGAATCCTCCCAAATTGCAGCCATCAGTGGTCTCTCCACCTCCAGCACATTGGACCCCACACCCTAGGCTCCAAGGGTCCCCGCCACTTCCGCCCCCGGAATTCCCACTTCCCCAGCCTCCAGAGGCTACGCCTCCGCCTGGCTCCATCCTGGCGCTCGTGGCTCGGCCCCTCTAGGCGCCGGGCCTCTCCCCGCCCCACTCACCTGAGACTAGGGTGAAGCCGAACAGCAGCAGGCTGAGGAGGAGGGCGGCGGCTAGCGGGCCTAGGCGACAAGCAGGCATGGTGCTATGCCCGGGCGGGGTGCAGGTGTGAGCCGATGCTCAGGTGCGGGGATTTAACCGCGCGCGCGGGAGGGGGCGTGGGGTAGGGGTGGAGCCGAGCGGGGAAGGGGAGGGTGGAGGGCTTTGCGGGCACCGCGGGCGGGCTGCCACATGAGGTCATTTCACAATCCCCCAGGATCAGGTATCACTCTTGGCCCCGGTGGGAACCAGGAACTTAAGCAGCTTCCAGGACGGGACCAGCTACGGCCGGACCCTTGTCCACGCCTCCCTCCTGACCTCCCTCCTGGGGCCTGAGGGCCAAGGCTCAGGGCTCCTGGGTTTCTATTCCAAGACTCCGAGGTTTCTCCAGAGTGTCCCCAGTGGGCGGTTGAGGAGGATAAGGCAGGGCCCGCAGGGAGGCAGTAGAGCATGCGGGTTAAAGGGTTCGATTTGGGGTCAGCCAGATGAGAGGGCAGATCCCTCTTGATGGAGGGCTAGGGTAGTGATACAGAGCACATAGTAGGGGCTACAGAAATAGCACTTATTATTAATAAACAAACCCTCCTCATCAGAAACAGGCCCAGGAAGGTGAAGCACCTAGCAGTCTCAAGCCGTTTGGGTGTGTGTTTCTGTCTCCCTCTCTTTGTCCTACCGGCCCCTGATCAGGGCTGACTGTGCCAGGCTCTGTGCTCCTTGTCTCAAGGAATTGTCGCCGGTCCTCTGACCGGGGAGTTACTGTTATCAGCTGTATATGACAAAGGAACTGAGTGTTTAGGGATTTAGGACCGCACCTCCACCACAAGGTCCCCTGCAAAGCTGTACAAATAAGGTTTTGAACCCAGGTCTCTCCCTCCAGGCCCTTGTTTTTTCCATTCCGTCGTAAATATTCACTGGGTGCCTACTGTGTGACATATGCAGGGCAAGACGCTTGGTGAAGAGAAAGTCGTCAAAAGGGGCCCTCCAGCACTGGTCTTGAAGGGGTGACAGGGTCTGGGGTCTGACTCCCACCTCCACCACTTCCCACCTGAGGGCCCTGGAATGAATCCTTTCCTGGATCTGAGCTGCCACATCATCAGTGAAAATGACACCTATATGGGACTTCAGTGAGAACACAAATGCAACGTTCCTGCCACGGAACAACCATGTACTCACTGGGAGCATTGAGAGTAGATCCACACTGATTGACACAGGGACTCCAGGCCTGACCCATGATAGGTACTGGATACATGGCCATGAGTGCTCCACAGATAAGTGTCTCCTGTGACGAAGGAGACCAATAAGTATAAATGAAGCTTTAGAATCCAGGGGGTTAAGTGCCAAAACAGAGTTACCCAGGGAGTTAGACAAGAAGTGCTTCCTGCTCCAATGATCTGAGGTTCTAGAAGCCCCAGGAGGTCTTTGCTGCTGGAGGCTAGAGGGGCCCTGGGGCAGTGAACACTGGGATGATAGTGACAGGTGAGTAGGGTTTGGTGATGTGAGTACATCTGGCCACTGTCCCCAAAATGGATGCTGAGAACACCTCCCCCAGCTTCTCATGCTCAACTTGGGGACTGGGGACGTTATTGGGAGGGGCCAGGGCTATTTACTCTGAGCTCAGTCAACAATGAGGGCAGGAGCCAGGTGGGAACACAGCCCATAACAGGCTAGTGAAACCCAGTCTAGGGCACAAAGAGAACACTGGGGTGAGCAGCCAGTTTTTAGCCCGTGGACCCAGCTGGCTACTGTACATTCAGCCCCAGGCACTGCTGCCAACAGCTTTCTTCCGGGCCCTATTCAGCTCCCTGGGCCAGGAAACTGCCCAGCCTTGCTCCTCCCAGGCCCTTATGAGCACCCTATTGATTGGCTCTCTCTTACAGGAATACAGACTGAGGGAGAGTGGCAGGGCCAGGCAGAAGGATGGGGAAGGAATTTTCATCAGTCAATGGCATCAGATGTTTAGCTTTTGTGGTGCCAAGTTCCGTGCTAGGTATAGTTATAGATATTCTCTTTACATCATTTAAAAGGGCAGAGGCTTTAGAACCAAATGCATCCATGCCCAATCAGGGACAATGCATCCATGGCCACTTTCTGGCTATGTGACTTAGAGAAACACTTCATGTTTTGGGCCTGCATCTTCTTCCTGCATAAACTGTGTATCATCCTAACAGTCTTGGATGATTATTATAAGGGTTTTATAAGATTATTATAAGGGTTAAAGGAAAAAGCATAAATCAGAGGTTGCAAATCTGGCTAGAGCACATACATTATTAACTACACAGTATGTTTTAAATTTTTAAATTAGTTGCCAAGATTTAAAAGTAGCGAATTTCATATAAAAATAAACCTCTAGCTTCTCTTGGAAAAAGTAAAAGATCTGGCAACACAGTCCTGCAATCTTAGATATAACAACCATCAGCTAGAGCAGCAGGTCTCAAAATTGAGCATGCGTCAGAATCATTTTTTTTGTTGTTTTTGTTTTTTTGAGACTGAGTTTTGCTCTGTCCCCCAGGCTTCCCTCCCCTCCCCTCCCCTCCCATCTCCTCCCCTTCCCTTCCCTTCCCCTGCCTCCTGGGTTCAAGCGATTCTCCTGCCTCAGTCTCCCAAGTAGCTGCGATTACAGGCGCCACTACACCCGGCTAATTTTTGTATTTTTAGTAGGGACGGGGTTTCACCATGTTGGCCAGGTTGGTCTCGAACTCCTGACCTCAGGTGATCTGCCCGCCTTGGCCTCTCAAAGTGCTGGGATTACAGGTGTGAGCCACAGTGCCCAGCCTAAGCATGCATCAGAATCACTTGGAAGGCTTATTAAAATACAGATTGCAGGATCCCCATCCCCAGAGTTTTGATTAGTAGGTCTGGAACCTGAGAATTTGCATTTCTAACAGGTTTCCAGGTGATGCCAATGCTGCAGGGCTAGGGACCATACTTTGAAAACCAGAACCTAAGTACAGCTACTCTTTTTCTATGAGGGAAGCATTCCCTCCAGTTTCCCATAATCCCCACCACCACCATCCTCCCTCTCTGCAACTAGTTCCATTCACAGTGCTCACCTGACCCCAGGAGGACATTTAAATTTGTGACCTCTGGAGTGGGCACATAGTAAGTGTTTGGTGAAAGATAGCTTATATGTATTTAGCAATCTTATGGATTAAGTATTATTACTCCCATTTTACACGTTAAGAAACTGAGATTCAGCTAAGCAAAGTGACTTGCTGGAGGAAACACAGCCAGTAAATCAGAGGGAAGACTCTTGCCAAATTACTTGTGTTGTCCCAGTTATTTCAATATTATACACATTCACACAGATCTATCTGAGGTTAACGTAGATGATGCATCCAAAGTTTTGGACTTGACTTCATGAGTGTAAAAAAATATATATCAGGGAAGAGGAGGAAGAAAAGAAGCAGAAAGGAAAGAAGGAAAAGTTTATAGTGGTAGATGATGTCAATTAGCTGTAGACATGCCCACTCTAAAATGACTGTAAACAAGTTAACGGTGAAGATTTAAGAAGTTTCCAGGAACAAAAAAGGTGCCTTTAACCATGCAATGGGCCTCTCCTTTTAGACTTTTGGACTCAGTCAAACTTCCTTTCATTCCATGGAAACCTCTCTCTTTGGATATATTGACTATTTTGTTTTGTCACCTAGCATTCATTTGTCCTTTTTCTGATAAATCACCCTGAGTTTGCTTTGGAGGAAATAACTTCCTCCAGACCAAGACAGGTGGGGCCAGGGAGACTGTCAATTAATGTGTCTGCCCTACCCCCAGGCAGAGTGGCCAATCAAATACTGTTCCTAGAACTGTAATCTTGAGCAATGAATGATAAAAGACCTGAAAATTTATGGAGCTAACTCAGAGGTGTCCTGGGAAGAACTCAGTTCTGACTTTACCATTCTTTCCAAGCTGTGTTCTTTTAGCCTTTCCTTCAGTTCTGAGAGCTAAACTGAATCAATTAGTGCTATTGGGTGCAAGCAGTAAAATTCAACTCTGGCTAACTTAGAGATATTATTAGGAAAGGAGAATGGATGCCGACTACATCCCATTTTTATAAATTTCTTCTCTGTTTACAACAGCCAGAGTTGGTTTCTGTTGCTAGTAACCAAAGAGATCTTACTCCCTATACCAGTGTAACCACCAAGTTCCTCATTTCCAAATCCAGTGGACTTCTCTCAGCTCTCATTCTCTTCTAACTCACAGTTAAGATCCTTGTGGCATACATGCAATAATGTTCAAACCAAATCCTCATTAAAAAAAAAAAATACACATGGTCTCTGCACAAAAACCCATGAAAAGCAGAGCTTGTCTATTTGAAGTGGCTCAGGTCCAGCCCTAAACCAAATAATCTTCCTAGAACAGTGCACTTGTCGAGTTAATTCCTTGACTGTAAATTCTACTGGATCTTCACTGCCTTCAGGATAAAGGCTGAACTCCTTAGCCTGCCTTTTTGACTGATACCAACTTTTATTTCCAGCTACATTACTTACTTCATGCTGCACAAACCTTCCCTGGGCTCATTGTCTCATCAAACATTCCTTGATCAAGCTCACCCCAAGAGTCTTCTTTATCAACAGCTGAGACTTGAATGATGTGTAACATCTATCTACAACATCATCTGGGGCTGAGCATTACCAAAAAAGGTTAAAGCAAGTCCAAAGATCCTAAGGCAGGAAGAAGCCTGATGAATGCCAAGAAGAGTAAGAGAACCAGTATAGCTGGAGCAGAGTTAAAATCAAGGGAGATGAAATCAAAGAGCTAGGCAAGAACAAGATCATGAAGGACCCTGAAGGCTATGAAAAGCAACATATCTTTTATGTGCAATGGGAAGCCATGGGCTAGTAAAAGCTGGGAGATTGGGGGACAAAATCATCTGATTTATAATTTTTGAAAATCCCTCTGGCAGCTCTGAAGAATGCATTGTAAGAGGACAGCTATGGAAACTGGACTAGTAGTAAGAGGATTTTTGCAGTTGTCTTAGCAAAGCATTGATAGTAGTGGTTCCTTTTATTAGGCAAAAGATCATGAATTACTGGGTACTGGTCAGTCCATCACATCGGGAGACAGGTCTGATTTATTAGACTTTCCACCCTAAGATAAAGTCACAGGGAGAAGCTGTGAGGTTGTAGCAGTAAAAAAGGAGGCTTAGCAAAAACTAGCTCTATTTTGCCCCAAACTCCTACCCCACTCCTGTGGTGACATATTTTAGGTTAACTGCTTTTGCTCATTTCTACACATAGGCTGAGCTAACTATGGGAGAAATTTAGTTTATAGTTTAAAGCAAGGTTGCTAATAGTCCCTTCCCCAAATTAACCCCAGAGGAGATAAGGAGGGTGTATACACAAGTAACAATATTGTGTTAAAGATGATTTATAGGAGCATTGTGACCTGACCAAGGACAAAGAAGTTTCACCACACCCCCTTGGACCCTCACTGCCACCCAGATGTCTGTGATCCTTGATCACCTCTTGATCTCAAACCCCTTTCTCTTCCCCTTCCCAACATAAAAAGAGCCTACAATTCTATTAACTTAGGATGTTTCTTTAGGACATTAGTTCACCATCTTCTCAGTTTGTTGGCTTTCTGAAATAAAGTTGCCTTCAGTACCCCAATACCTTGTCTCTCAACTTATTGAATGTCATGCAGTGAGTAGTATGAGCTTGGACTCATTTCCATGGTTACTAATTCGTCTACTAGCAGGATGACAACCCAATTTTTCTGGTCCTTCCTAGGATGGAAAGGATGGGTACCCACAACTGCCATGAAAGCCATATTCATCCCAAAGGGAAGCATGAGACCCATGAGATTTTCCTACCCTGAGGCCAAGAGTGTTGTAGCAGTTTTTAAACATGTCAACAGTTGTTTTATACCCCTCTATATTCGTCACTTCTCACACTGCTATAAATACCTGAGACTGCATAATTTATGGAGACATAGGTTTAATTGACTCATGGTTCTTCATGGCTGGGGAGGAAACTTATAATCATAGCAGAAACTTACAATCATGGAAACTTACAATCACGACAGAAGGGGAATCAGACACCTTCTTCACAAGGCAGCAGGAAAGAGAAGAGTGAACGAAGGAAGAACTTCCAAATACTTATAAAAACATCAGATCTCGTGAGAACTCACTCGCTATCATGAGAACAGCATGGGGGAAACCACCCCCATGATTAAATCACTTCCCAACATGTTCCTCCCTTAACACCTGGGGATTACAATTCAAGATGAGATTTGGATAGAGACACAAAGCTAAACCATATCACCTTCCTATAGAGAAGTGGGGTTTGTATCTCATTCCTTGAATCTGAGTTGGTCTGTGATTGCTTCAACCAAGAGAGTCTAGTAGATGTAATGCTATATGGTTTCCAAGGCTAGATCATAAATGATGGTGCAATTTCTACCCTTTTAACTGGAACACTAGCTCTTGGAGCCCTGAGCTGCCATGGAAGAAGCCTGACTATCCTGAGACTGCCTTGTTGTAAGGAAGCCCAAGGCACATAGAGAGGCCACATGTAGGCGCTACAGTTAGCAATCCCAGCTGAGCCCAGGCTTTCAGTCATGCCAGCCCAGGTGCTAGCCATGTGAATGAAGAAGGCACCAGCTGATTCCAGCTCCCAGTCATCGCGTCACCCCCAGCTGTTTGAGTCTTCCCGGCTGAGGCCTGAGGCATCATGGAACAGAAATGAACCATTCTCATGTTTGTGTCCTGTTTAAAATTCTGACCCATAGAATCCATGAGTCTAATGAAATGATTCTATTTTACACCAGCTTTAGGATGGTTTGCTGTCATGCAGCAATAGGTAACTGGAGCAGGCGAAGATTGTTGGTGAGGTTCTTTATAACCCTGTTGGACCCGTGGGGGGACTATACAGAATTAGAACAGGCTGTAAATTACTGAGGTTAACCCACAGAAATCAATCTGTAACAGAATTGAAGAAGAAACAAGCAAGTAGTTTCATTATTTGTCAAATTGCCCCTACTACCCATCCCATAAGAACTGGTAAGAGCCTGAGATTTGGAGTCAAGAAGAGATCATTTGAGTCCCAATTCTATCACTTCCTAGTTCTGAGACCCTGGGCAGTTATTTCACCTCTCTGAGCCTCAGTTTTTAAATTTACAATATGAAGATATTTCTTGCCTCATTAGCTCAACATAGATTAAGAGAGAATATTTTGCAAAGCAATCCTAGGATTTCTGTAACAAAATACCACCAACTGGGTGGCTTAAACAACAGAAATTTATTCTCTCACAGTTTGGGGGGTCAGAAGTCCAAGATTAGAGTGTCAGCAGGGTGGGTGCATTCTGAGGGTTGTGATGAAGAATCTGTTCCATGCCCCTCCCTTAGCTTCTGGAAGTTTTTCTGGCAATCCTTGCTGTTCCTTAGCTTGTAGGAGCATCACCCCGGTTTCTGCCTTCATCTTCCCACAATTTTCTACCTATATGTGTGTCTCTTTAAATTTTCTCTTTTTCTAAGACACTTGGACACACACATTTAAGGCAGCACAATTAGCAATTGCGAAAGTATGGAACCAGCCTAAATGCCCATTGACCAATGAGTGGATAAAGAAAATATGTGGCATATATACACAATGGAATACGACTCAGCCAGAAAAAGGAACAAAATAATGGCATTTGCAGCAACCCGGATGGAGTTAGAGACTATTATTCTAAGTGAAGTAATTTAGGGATGGAAAACCAAATATCGTATGTTCTTACTTATAAGTGGGAGCTAAGCTAAGATAATACAAAAGCATAAGAATGATATAATGGACTCAGGGACTTGGGGGGAAGGGGCAAGGGGATGAGGGACAAAAGACTACACATTGGGTACAGTGTACACTGCTCGGGTGATGGGTGCGCCAAAAAATCTCAGAAATTACCACCAAAGAACTTATCCATGTAACAAAAAAACCCCTGCTCCCCAAAAACGATTTAAATTAAAAAATTTTTAAAATACATAAAATAAAATAGTCTCTCTGAGTGTGTCAGTTATATTTGATTAGGGATCACCCTATAACCTCATTTCAACTTGATTGCTTATGTAGACTCTATCTCCAAATAAGGCCACATTCCAAGGTACTGGATTTCAACATATGAATTTGAGGGGACACAATTCCACCCGTAAGAGAGAGTAAAAATATTGCTCTGTGTTCTGAGCTGAAAATGATTCCACAGGTTCTTTCACAGCTTTATTTCTTGTAAAGGGTTACAGCCAGGGCTGGCCCAGCTCCCTTTTCCTCTCCTAGCAGCAGCTTTGATCCTTTCTGATGAATGAAGGGAGAAAGGTGCCCTTAGGCCAGTCCTGCTAACAATGTTCTCTGCAAGTACATAGGTCTTGCCTCCAGTTCTCTGCCTCCTACCAAATGGCTTACCCAACAGAGTTACTCATAACGCTACCAGCAATTAGTTACATCTCTGTTTTTTCCATTGGCCTGTGGTCTCCCCCAAGAACAGGGACCAAGGTTGATTCATAGTAGTGAATAGCAGAGTCCATCTCCTGCCATGATTCTCAACTTCCACACTCTCAAATCAGACTCCCTCAAACACTGATGTTTGCCAAACCTGGTCCTTAGTACAAGCCTGCAGGTGTCTAACCAGCATTTGTGAGTACCCACTGCATACCCATACACTGCCAAACAGAGGCCAACATAGTGAAACCTCATCTTTACTAAAAATATAAAAATTAGCCAGGTGTGGTGGTGGGCACCTGTAATCCCAGCTACTCAGGAGGCCGAGACAGGAGAATCTCTTGAACCTGGGAGTCAGAAGTTGCAGTGAGCTGAGATCGTGCCTCTCCACTCCAGACTGCATGACAGAGCAAGACTCCAACTTGGGGGAAAAAAAGGCACATCATCTTTGGCACATTTTTTATATATAAAATTATAGGCACTTGACCTTGGTGCCCACTCAGGGCTCTTCCAAGTGTATTTTCCTTTCTTTACTGTTCTAAAGCCTTTAAAAATAAATTTCCACACTTGCTCTGAAAAAAAAAAGATTATATATTAGCTAGAATTTTTATTCTTAGTAACCTTAAATTTTAGCAAAAAACTGGGATGCAAGCAATGCTGAACTGAGTCTGAGTACAGAATCAAGTTATCCTGGAGAAAATCATTGATTTTCTAGACCTTTGAAATAAAATGTTTTAGCATCAGGCTGCAACAGTGGCTAGAACTGGAGGGAAAAAATAATTACAGGAGCTGACATTAAAGTTGAAGGAAAGAGTTATCAACTAGGGCTTTGTACTCAGATAGCAGCATTATAAATGAGAACGACTCCACAATTCTTAGAAATGTTTCCCCATATCATAACCCTTTCTTAATTGGACATCACCCAGATGTCCAATGAGCATTTTAAATAATTGTCAGATTTTTAAACTAAACAAAAAGTTTACCTTCAAGCATTTATCCCATTTATATTTACCCTATTTATTTTTAGGAGTTTATCTAGATGACTATGAGAACTGAGATATTAGACAAATCTAGTCATCATTTCAAGTTATTTCCTTGTTAACTATTTTAATAGCCTGTTCACCTAGGTAAGAACCTTCAGTTAAACACATGAGTACATGCACAAAGGTCCTATCTTTTTTACCTTGGAACTCTAGCCATGAGACAGCAACACAAACTTACCAGTTTACAAAAGATGGTTGAACCCAAATTATATTTTTGGCAAGTTGGAACCTGTTTACATGGCTAAACTTTGTTTTCCCCAATAGGTAATCCAATGAAGGTTGTGAACCAAAATTGTGGGTAAACCAGTTTCCATGGTAGTTTAATTTTTAAAAACCTCTTTTACTTGTTTTTCCCCTCTTTAGTTTCAAAAGAGTTTTCAGTGTTTACATTTTAGCTATTAATAGAACTAGCGGAACTGTATTAGAAAAACAAAATCTGGGACTGGGTGCACTGGCTTGTGACTGTAATCCCAGCAGTTTGGGAGGCTGAGGCGGGAGGATCGCTTGAGGCCCAGTGGCCCAGCAGGGGAGACGGACAAGGAAACAGGCAGTTCTGATAAGAGATTGGTTTTTAAAAAAGTGTTCTAGACAGCCAGCAGGGGGATTTATTCCCTCTGCCTAAGGAAACTATGGGCAGAGAAAGCAACATCTGAATTTACTGGAAACATGTGGGGAAGACATTCTCCACCCAGCTTAGAAAAAGGAGGAAAAAATTTTGCAACCATATATTTACCCAACATAAGAAGTCCGGTGGTTAGGGAGAAGGTGGACTCACTCATGCAAGCAATCAGAATGAACCAGCCCCAAGCTATATTTTTATTGTGTTTATGAAACCACAGACAGCAAAATAATATTTATAAGACATGTTGAAAATACAAAGAATAACAACACAGCAAACACTTGTGAAATTAATGTGGGTGGTGGATGTATGAGCGCTTGCTGTCAGGATATTAATATGATCTGTGAATCCTTCTGTGTTCCTATAATGTCATTTCTCTTTCCTTCCCCCTCAGAGCAAACAACTTAAAATGTATACTTATCAGTTCTTTGCTTTGCTTTACAGTTTAACCACATATGTGTTCATCCCCGAACAATATATTTAATACACTTGTTTGATATTCTTGTTTTTCTATCCTTGGAAATCTTAGGCTGTGTGGGTTTTGTTGCATCCTCTGTCATTTCAGTTGACTCTCACCAGGCCTTGCTTCCCTTTTATTTTGTAATTTTTGACTGTGAGCTCTCGTGCCTTAGAACTTTATCTTGTGGGAATTCTTTGAGGACTCAAAGGTAGATTCCTCCAGAAAGACTTCATTTCTGCCAAGTTTCTGGAGACACAACTCACACAGGACCTCTTTAAACCAGATTTGCAGCTTGAGGCTTTTCAGATCATGTATGTATTGTGCACTGAAGCTCGAAACCCACTGGAGAGCTAGCTCAAGGTAAGAGGAGTAGGGAGTAACACCCTACTTTCCAGATGCTGAGTCTCCCCCATGTGTGCCCTGTGAGGTGCAGCCAGCTAGGACACGCCAGTCCCCAGCCCAGTCCAAGAAAGAGTTTCTGGGCCATAAGGCAGGGGCCTTGAGCTCCACTTCTTTCATTGTCCACTTCTTTGTTCCAGAAGTCAGATGAGCAGATCCTCAGTGGGAATCCTGCCCCTACTCTTTTTTTTCCTTTGTGAGACAGGCTCTTGCTCTGTCACCCAGGCTGGAGTGCAGTGGCACAATCTCAGCTCACTGCAACCTCTGCCTCCTGGGCTCAAGGGATCTTCCCACCTCAGCTTCCTGAGTAGCTGGGATCACAGGTGCACAGCACTGCTCCCCTACTCTTGTTGCTGTGTGACCTCAGCAGGTCGCTGAGACACTCTGAATGCCTTGTTTTCCTCTGTAGCATGGGAAAATGGAGGGAGTGTGGTGGAAGAAGAAATAAGGCGGTATTATGTGCCAACTGAGTAATCTCTCAATAGAAGTTATTTTCTTTGCAGGATGTGGGCGGAATATAAAAGCTCATTTTAATTGATTACTATGTTTCAGGCATGTACCTAAGAAGCTTACATGCAACCTCACACCTCTTTTTTTTTTTTTTTTTTTGAGACAGAGTCTTGTTCTGTCACCCAGCCTGGGGTACAGTGGTACAATCTTGGCTCACTGCAACCTCCACCTCCGGGGTTCAAGCAATTCTCCTGTCTCAGCCTCCCAAATAGCTGGGACTACAAGCGCACACCACCACACCTGGCTAATTTTTGTAGTTTTTTAGTAGAGATGGGGTTTCACCATATTGATCAGGCTGGTCTCGAACTCTTGACCTTAGGTGATCCGCCCGGCTTGACCTCCCAAAGTTCTGGGATTACAGATATGAGCCACCGTGCCCAGCCACAACCTCACACCTCTTTATAGGTGAAGAAACCAAAGTTGGCAGAGAAAGCAATTGGCTTGAGTCTTGCAGGCATGACCAGCAAAGCCAGGAATTACACTCTAGTCCTTCTGACACCAAAGCTTGTGCTATTAACTCTCTGTTATCCATAACACCATCTCCCTAAGAAGGAGAAGCAATGCTAGAATTCTCCATTTCCCAGATGCTTCTAGTTTTTGAAGGAAGCCGTATGTAGTGTCGTCTCAACAGGTATGGGGAAAAGTCCAGGAATGAGAACCTGGATTTAAACCTGAATATCGAATATTGATCGGATTAACATTATAGTATAACGCCACTGGGAGGATGAGTCATAGAAAGGGTTTGTAAAAGTCATGGAGGCAGGTGGAAAAGAAAGCCAAGTCCTCGTTTTCCATAGTGGTAAGTCTTAAATCTGAAAAATCAAATAGTAACAATTTAGGTAACACACCTAAATTTACACACAAGGAAGAAAGTTCCAAAAGAATCAGCCAAGGGGCCGAGGTGGAGGATCGCTTGAGTCCAGGAGTTCGAGACCAGCCTGGGCAACATAACTTGTCTCTCCAAAAAGTTTTTAAAAATTAGCCAGGCATGGTAGTATGTGCCAGTAGTTTCAGCTACTCAGGAGGCTGAGGTGGGAGGATGCTTGAGCCCAGAAGGTCGAGGCTGCAGTGAACTATGATCATGCTACTGCGCTCCAGCCTGAGTGATGGAACGAGACTCTTGACTCAAAAAAAAAAAAAAAAAAAAAAAAAGTCCATGATGTAAAGTAACTAAAAAAAAGAAAAGAAAAGAAAAGAAAGAAACCCCTTCTCCATGCTGCCCTCTCAAAAAACAAAAACTTCTTCGCCAGGCTTTCTCTAATGTCATACTTCATGCATTCCTGAGAAGTGGGCAGAGCAGATTTTGTCATCCCCACCTTACAGAGGAGAAAACAGTGGCTGAATTGGCATCCCAAGTTCAGGCAGCATAGCACAGGACCTGCAGGGACATTCCCAGCAAGTACTAGAAGAATTCGTGTGAAATGCTTCATAAATGCTTCTAAGGAGCATAACTGTAAAACAGATCCTTGTGGCAGTGTTTATTGGCTGCATTACATGATTACATGAGTGTTAAAAGGGATGCTTGAATTATCACACGTGGCGCCACCTTCTGTTGTAAACGAGAACCTGAGGGACAGGTGACACTCTCCAGGATCACGCGGTAAGGCAAGAGCAGAACTGCCCTTTTCCTATCATTGTGATTCTATATACAACCCCTGGGCCATGTCAGCCACTCCTGCTGTACCATTTTCCAACTGGGTGAAAAACCTCAGATCTCTATCCATTCCAGACCTCTCTCCATTGTTGGTGTGTTATGTTCTCTTCATGGCAGCTGGTGACCTTTTAAAAATTAAATCAGATCACGTTACTTTCGTGTTCCAAGCCCTTCTGTGGTTTCCACTGTACATGGAATTACAATCTAAATACCTTGTCATGGCTGTGATCAAGCCCCTGCCTATCTTTTTCTGCCATGCAGGAAGAGTTTGTTCCTGCCTTAGGACTTTTGCATTCATTCTTTCTTCTGCATCCACCAGAGGCCTACACGGCTCCTTCCTTCACTCCACTCAGAACCATCCTGCCTAAACTGGCCCCTCTTCACCTTGTATTCTGAGTTATTTTCTTTTTTTTTTTTATTATTATACTTTAAGTTCTAAGGTACGTGTGCACAACGTGCAGGCTCATTACGTAGCTATACATGTGCCCTGCTGGCCCACTACACCCATCAACCCGTCATTTACATTAGGTATTTTTCCCAGGGCTATCCCTCCCTCCCTGAGTTCTTTTCTTCATAGCAGTTATCACCACCTGAAACTTATCTCACTCAATTATTATTCTCTCCAGCTGAAATGTCAGCTCCAGGAGGGTGGGGAGCTTGTGTGCTGCCTTCACTCTTGTGACCCAGCACCTAGAACAGTGCCCAGCACATACAGTCGGCACTCAATCATAGCATGGCTATTGAGTCCTTCCTGAGTGCAGGCACTATTCCAAAGTCTATACGTGTATTAACCTCCCCTCCCTCAGTAACAACCAAAGAGGCAGGAGCTGTTATTACCAACCCCATTTTACAGATGCATCAATAATGACAGAGAAGTGAAGTGACTTGCGCACACAACCAGTAAATTGGCAGAGTCAGATTTGAATCCATGGAGTCTGGTCTGCACTTTCAATCACCGAATACCCTTTCTAAGAAACGTGTGCTGAACGAGTGCATGGATAAATCAGTGTCTACTCAACATCTTTGCCTAGATATCCCGCAGAGATGGGGTTTTGCTATGTTGGTCACGCTGGTCTGGAACTCCTGGCCTCAAGGGATCCACCCGCCTTGGCCTCCCAAAGTGCTGGGATTACAGGCATGAGCCACCGCATCAAGCTTTTTCCCCTATTTTACGGAGAAGGAAACTGGCTCAGAAAAGTGAAGTGACTTGCTTATGGTCACACAGTAATATCTACTAAACAGTCACATGGTAATAGCTACTAAAGCCGAACCCCTCTAATTAGTACCAAGCTCCTTGGCTCGCGCCTGTAATCCCAGCACTTTGGGAGGCCGAGGCAGGCGGATCACAAGGTCAGGAGATCGAGACCATCCTGGCTAACATGGTGAAACCCTGTCTCTACTAAAAATACAAAAAATTATCCGGGCGTGGTGGCGGGCGCCTATAGTCCCAGCTACTAGGGAGGCTGAGGCAGGAGAATGGCGTGAACCCGGGAGGCGGAGCTTGCAGTGAGCTGAGATCTGGCCACTGCATTCCAGCCTGGGCGACAGAGCGAGACTCCGTCTCAAAAAAAATAAAATAAAATAAAATAAAAAATAAATAAGTACCAAGCTCTTTTCCATTATAAACTTATTGATTATTATTACTAATGAATATTATTACTATTACTTTTATCATCCAAGCATTATTTATCGAGAAGTTATTCTGCCAGGTACTTGTACAAGGAATTTCACAAATATCATAGCATTTAATTATCACTATGATTCTGTGAGATCAACATGAGAAAAAAAGCAGAGGCTGACTCACGCCTGTAATCCCAGCACTTTGGGAGCCCAAAGCAGGCAGATCACCTGAACCTGAGGTCAGGAGGTCAAGATCAGCCTGGCCAACATGGTAAAACCCTGTCTCTACTAAAAATACAAAAATTAGCCAGGCTCAGTGGCATGCACCTATAATCCCAGCTACTCAGGAGACTAAGGCATGAGAATCGCTTGAACCCAGGAGGTGGAGGTGACAGTGAGTTGAGATCGCGCCATTGCACTCCAGCCTGGGTGACAGAGCAAGACCCTGTATTGAAAGAAAGAGAGAGAGAGAGAGAGAGAAAAGAAAAGAAAAGAAAAGAAAAGAAAAAAGAAAAGAAAAGAAAAGAAAAAAGAAAAGAAAAGAAAAGGAGAAGAGAAAAGAGCAGACCTGACTTCCAGGAGCTGTCCTGACACTCAGCGGGGCCTTGATGTTCTCCTGCTGAACATGAACAACTTTGCAAAACATCAATGTCAGACAAGGCCATGCTCTGCCCATGACAGATCAAAACCAAAACTGCCTAAGCTGTAACCATGTTTGAACACAGACAAAACATGAGCAAGCCACAAAAATAACCAAGCAGCCCTCTCCCCTGGCTAATATGAACATCGGCTGCTTCTTTACCAACTGCTGCTCTTCTTACAGCTCTAATCTCCATCCAGTCATCCCTTCTTACAGCTAAGATGTATTAAGATACCCAGTCATAGAACTGCTGCATTTCCTGAGCATCCGATGCAGAGCAAAGCCTGCTTCTTTAAACCGTCCTCCAAATCAACGAACACAAGCCTGAGTCCTAGAAGTCCTTTCTAACATCCTCTTAATGAGATGTCACTGTGTGATCACCCAGGTCTGTATTCTCCTTTGCCTTAGTGAGTAATAAACGCACATTGTTCGACTTCTAGTTCAGCTAGGAAGAGGGGTATTCCTAGTGGTCTCTGGCTGGAGATATTGACAGGTATTGTCATCATCCATATTTTATCAATAAGAAAACTGAAGTTCAGAGAAGTTGAGAAACGTATGCAAGACCACAAGGCAGTGAGTGAGAACTAGCTGTATCTAACGCCCAGTCTATGTCCTCACTTGTTTAACAATCCCTGCTATTCCAGCACTCTATGCCTCGGTTTTCTCATCTGCAGCAAGGCAGTTAGACTTTGCTCTCCAAAGGTCCCTCCAGCCCCCATCTTCTCGGAGGCAGGTGTGTGAATGCATTGTCAAAGGAGCTCTGCCTGGAGGAGCTGGCGAGAACGTCTCTTTGGCTGGGAACCCACTGGATTCCAAACAGATTGTTCCCATGATGCCTTGCAGCTAGAAGGTCTAATAATGAACTTGAAGAGTGGTGCATCCTCAGAAATACCTTCATGAGCCTTGGACCCCTGCCCACCACCTACCTCCTACCCCCTCCTCTCAGCCATCCTCTTTTCTATTTCTGAATTACATTGCCACAGCTCTTGCTTAACTGGGGGAGGCAAGGCAGGGGGTGACTCAGGAGCTCTTACCCTACTGAGCACCCTCCTCTTCCTACAGTTGCCTCTCTCCCCATCCCCAGTGAGGGGCACCTCACAAGGGGGGCTACCATCTGGCAGCCTCTGCAGATATTGTAGGGAGCTTTAAAAAGAGATTCTCTTAACTATGAATCCTAAGAGACTGAAAGCTCCTGGAGGGGACTTAGCAAAATGTTGCACAAGAACCAAAAATACACTTTGTGGGAGGTGGAAGTACTTTGATTACCATTTCTCAATCTCTGCAGAACTGTCTTAGTACAAAGACAGCTGACCTGGTTAGTGGGCTTCTTGAGAGTAGTCAGGACCCATGTGGAAATGAAGGGCCAGGGGCAAAGGGGACACATATTTGTTTCTTTTTTTTTCTTTTTTTGAGACAGGGTTTTACTCTGTCGCTCAGGCTGGAGTACAGTGGCACAATCACAGCTCACTGCAATCGTCACCTCCCAGAATCAGGTGATCCTCCTACCTCAGCCTCTGAGCAGCTGGGACTACAGGTGCATGCCACCACGCCCAGCTGATTTTTGTATTTTTTGTAGAGATAGGGTTTCAACATGTTGCCCAGGCTGCTCTTGAACTCCTGGGTTCAAGCAATCCACCTGCCTCAGTGCTGGGATTATAGGCATGAACCACCATGCCTGGCCCATATGCTGGTTTAATGGGAAACAAGAGTGCTCTTCTAATAATGAGTGCTATCAGCTGGAACCTGGTGCCAAGAGGAGGTGAGCTTCCCATTGGAGAAAGTACGAAAGCTAAGGCTGACTAATGAGCTGACTTCTATGAAATTCTGGGTTTTCATTATTCAGAAGCCTTTCCCAACTTTTCTTCTTCCAGCACCAAATCCCTCTCCCATCCCAACATGCACACACCTATGCCACTCCCCCCATGGGTCTGCTTCTTAGAGGTAAGAAAGGTAGTGGGCTCTCTCCTGATGAGCTGGGTGGAGCAGAGGGAAGCAGGAAACTCAGGCTACAGGGGAGAAGGGCACGACTCTCATGCAAATGAGGTGGTTCCCCCATCTCTCCTAGGTTACTCCTCTTCCCCTTCTACCCACTGACGGCACTCCAGGTTCACCTATATTCAGGGTTGGGTGAACTTTGAGGAATAAGCTGGGGTCTCCTATGATGCAGAACAGCTACTTGGAAACCAATACAAATACTCCTTTCGGAGAGGCGGGAGGTAAAGGAAATTAGAATCCTTTTTCTAATGCCCACATCTTTGCCACACCCAAAAGCTTATGTTTTCCTCTTTCTTTCTACCTGATAAAATTCAGTTCATCCTTCAAAATCCAGGATGAGCGCTGCCTCCTCTGCGACGCCAGCCTTGACCTCTTCAGGTGAGATTAAGGGCCTCCACCTGGGTTCTCGCAGCGTTTGTGCTGCTGAAACTATTCCTCTGTCTCCCCTGTTCTGGTCCAGCCAACTCCTAAGTGGGGTGCACTGTGGTACAGAAAGAAAATATTTAGAAACTTCAGTTTATTCATTTCTAGCCTATACTTTATTAAAATTTATATTATTGAATACTTATAATGTACATATTAGTACAACAATATGCACATACTTATAAATACGGGAACTGCACACTCAAAAACCTTTTCCTGGGCCGGGCACAGTGGCTCATGCCTATAATCCCAAAACTTTGGGAGGCCAAGGCGGGAAGATTACTTGGGGTCCGGAGTTCGAGACCAGCCTGGCCAACGTGGTGAAACCCTGTCTCTACTAAAAATACAAAAATTAGCCAGGCAGACGCCTGTAATCCCAGCTACTCGGGAGGCTGGGCAGGAGAATCGCTTGAACCTGGGAGACGGAGGTTGCAGTGAGCTGAGATCACACCACTGCACTCCAGCCTGGGTGACAGAGTGAGACCCCCATCTCCAAAACAAAACAAACAAACAAACAAACAAAAAAACCTTTTACTGAAATGGGTGGTGTGAGGGATCAAACAAATTTGGAGGCTACCGTTTTGGTCATTACTGTTTTCCTGGTGCCTATCACAAAACAGGTGCTTAATATTTAGGAGTGAGGCCTGGCGTGGTGGCTCACGCCTGTAATCCCAGCACTTTGGGAGGCCGAGGCCAGAGGATTGCTCGAGGCCAGGAGTTCCAAACCAGCCTGAGCAGCATGGAGAGACCCTGTTTCTACAAAAAGTTAAAAAATTAGCTGAGCATGGTGGCACATATCTGTAGTTCCAGCTACTGGGGAAGCTGAGACAGGAGGATTGCTTGAGGCCAGGAGTTCGAGGTTACAATGAGCAATGATTGCACCACTGCACTCCAGCCTGGGTGACAGAGCAATACCCAGTCTCTAAAAACATATGTATTATGTATATATGTGCACATATATGTATATAATTATACTATTCCCTACTGGAAAATGAGTGACCCGGATATCACTTACAAACACTAGTGATACATATGTGTGTGTATATATGCATATATATGTATATAATTATATACATGTGTATGTGCATGTATAATATATATTATATGCATATGTATATAATTATATACATATGTGCATATACACATGTGTATATGTAATTATATATTAATAGAAATAATATGTATAAATATATAAAATATGTATATTATATACACATAATATATGCTATATACATGTCTGTTTTATATATGTATATAATTATATACATATATACACACACATGAGAGTGAATGAATGAACAAGTGAATGAGGCTGCCTGGGTTGTCTATTATAATGATTATATATGTTAGCTGTGTGACATTGGGCAACATACTTCCCTTTCTTAGGTCTGAATTCCTCATCTGTGAAATGAGGAAGTTGGATCAGATTCCCTCCCAAATGCCATCCAGCACTAGTTTCTAAGTGATGTCCGGGTCACACATTTTCCAGTAGGGGGCAGTATCATTTAGTCAATAATAATCATAGTTAATGTTTAAGTTGCAGTCATTACATGGTCCAAGGGCTCAGCATGTGTTAATTCACTTAGCTACACAACAACCCCACACAGGGAGAAGACAGGTACAGAGCACACCTACAAGTTAAATCACTTGTTCAAAGCCACATACAGAGTGTGGCAGAAGATATGTGCCCTACCCTTACCCCGGACCTGACTCCTTCGGTGCCACCAGCTGATTTCCAAGTGCTAGTGTCTGCATCTCTTTGCCTGAGGGCTTCCTTGGAAGCCACACAAGGAGGGCCCAGGCCCAGATCAGCCGGAAACCCTCAGTCCATATGGAGACTGGTGCCTGAATATCTCCACTGGTGCATAAACACTTGCTCTCCTAGGGAAAGGGGGTGATAGCTGCTGCGAGGAATTGTCTGGCCCTGCTCCCAGCATTCCCAATGGGATTAAGCTCAGTCACAAACAGTGATGGGGGGCTTGATGCCTCACCCTTTCTCACCCCCACGCCCACCTTACCTAATAAGCTGCTTCTTAGATCCCCAAATTCCCAAATTCAGACAAACCCAGAATTAGGACTTTTATAGCCTGGCTGGAAAGTCTGGGCTCTAATTTACACAATCTTCCTCCCAAAGGACAAAGCCTTTGGGTCTGTCACATATGCCTGGGTTCTGCCATTTATCAGCTGTTATGGGTTGAACTGTGTCCTCCCAAAAAAGCTACTTGGAGTCGTAACCCCCAGGTCCCTCCAAATGTGACCTTATTTGGAGATGGGCTCTTTACAAAGGTAATCAAGTTAAGATGAGGTCATCAGTGTGGGCCCTAATCCAATACAACTGGTGTCCTTAAAAAGGGGACAGACGGGAGAACACTATGTGAAGACTGGATTTATGTGACCACAAGTCAAGGAGCTTCCAGAAGCCAGGAGAGAGGCCTGGAACAGATCCTTCCCCAGCTTCTTCAGAGCAAACGCAGCCCTGTGGACACCCTGATCTCACACTTCTGGCCTCCAGAATTTAAGAGGGTAAATTGCAGTTGTTTAAACCAGTCAGTCTGTAGTCCTTTGTTCTAGTTGCCCCAGGAAAACAATATGGCAGTTACGTGACATCACCGTGCCTCCATATCCCCCTCTGTAAACTGGGGACCATAATGCACCCTCCTTCACAGGATTCTTGGGAATTAAATGAAATAATGCGTGTAAAAGGCTAAGCATGGAGCCTGGTACATGGTCGGTGTCCACTAAATGGGTAGTTGTTATTGCTGTAACTGAAATAACAAACCACCACCACCACCCTACAACACACATACAGAGATACACACACACACACACAACTTCAGGGAAGGGGATTTCTTAGATAAGCAGACAATTGACCCTCATGCTCCTTCCCTTCTCCTTCAGAGAGACCAGGAGAACAACCTACCCCTCAATCTGACCTGGCCCAAAAGTAAAAAAAAAAAAAAAAAAAGAAAAGGCTTTAATGTTGAAACATCACTCAGGTTTTTGTGTAGCTTGGAGTGGCCATTAAGAGGTAGGTGTTGCAATGGGTTTTCTTCTTACAACTGGTAGGGCCCAGTCTGATGGCAGGAAAAGCGGTGATGCTGCTGTTCTGCAAAATATTGGGAAGATCACCCAATATTAAGGTTCTTAGTTGCAAACAACAGTATCCAATCCAGTTTGTTTAACTGGAAAATGAATGTTTTTAAATATTGTATAAGGCCAGAGAGACAAAGCCTGAAACTACACAGACAAGGAAAAATGTCCAACATCACAGGGAGCGAGGGGGATTCTTTCATGAAAACCCCCCCGCCACCACTACTTGGCAGAGCTGATGCTCAGAACTGGATGCCAGGAACTCCACCCCTGCCATCCCCAAGGAACCCAGTGGGGGGGTGGGGGGTGGAGGACGAAGGTGAGGATGCAGTGAGAATGAGGGCTACGGTGAGAGAGTCCTGGATTCAAACCCTCAGCCTGTCATCCGTGCTGGGCAGAGGAGATGTACTCATGCCCTCCTTTATTCATTCATTACGCAAATATTTACAGACTACCTCCTTTGTGCCAGGCACTGTCCTAAGTGCTGGGGGTAACGTGATGAAAAAACAAAGGAATGTGGTTTGTGTTCTCGTGGTGCTCAGTTGATCAAATCAATGCTGAAACAAGCCTGTGGGGAGAGGAAGGAGGCAGGGTTCTGCTGTGAAGGAGAAGGTTGAGGAGGAAGCAGAGAAGGTGCTGCACTATTTCAGAAAGCAGCCACAGGCCCTGTCTGGGGCATCCTCAGATGTCAGCATCTCAAGGCAGCACAGGTGACAGGCTCTCTGCAAAGAGAAAGGAATTTGTTAATTGTCGTTGCTGAAGCCCTTGACTTGGACACTGTGCAGCTGGCAGATCCTAGACCCTCCCAGAAATGAGCACCTCTGGTCCTCCCTGCAGTCAAGGCAACAGACAAGAAGGCAGTGAGTTTGCCAAGCCTGGAGGGGGGTGGCTCAGGAGCACTGCAGACTCACTCTGCAGGGTGGCTGCCTCAGTGTTCCCATCTGAAAAAGGGGAACAGGTAAGACGGCTCAGATTATTTCAGAGGTGCTTCTAGCAGTGACCTCCTGCCAAGCTGGCTTTTGGAAGATGTGTTAAGTCTGCGGTTTCACAGGACACGTCGCCACTTTCTCCTCGGAAGGCAGAGAGAGCCTCAGCATCAGAGGAGGGACACTGTGTAGGTGCGAGGGGTGTAGGACCTGTGAACTCTACCTCTTTGCCTCAGATCTTCCCTCCGGACCTGCTCCTCGCCTTAACCCATGCCCTGGGTTCCCGGCTCTCTTGTGTGGCAGATCCTGGCTCACTCCTGCTTCTCCAGGAAGTGGTTCTCCTTCCTTCTGCAGCGGCCATATCCAAAGATCTTGCAGATCCTGGAGCTGATGTTGAAGAAGGACCTGGAAGGAAGGCTCCAGGTAGAAGGCAGGTGGCGGGGCTCCAGAGACAAAGGAGGGTCAATAAGAAGATGGTCATCACAGCGGTCTACACAGCAAGCAGCAGAAACAACCGGCATGGCCAAGCATGGTGACTCACACCTGTAATCCGAACACTTTGGGAGGCCGAGGTGGGTGGATCACCTGAGGTCAGGAGTTCGAGACCAGCCTGACCAACATGGAGAAACCCTGCCTCTACTAAAAATACAAAAATTAACCAGGTATGGTGGCATGTGTCTGTAGTCCCAGCTACTCAGGAGGCTGAGGCAGGAGAATTGAAGGAGGCGGAGGTTGCAGTGAGCCGAGATCATGCTACTGCACTACAGCCTGGGCAACAGAGTGAGACTTCATCTCAAAAAAAAAAAAGGTAAAATATTTTTATGAATATTTGAGAATTTAAGTCTCTGCAATTATTCAATGTGTTCATTCAGCCACAGACTTCTTCACCTCTTTAGTAAACCATCAGGTAAACAGACGGAAAACAAAAACCTGGTGAAATGAGAAAACCTTTGCATTGATGTGGAAGTTGTTTTCTTGGTTTTCTTTTTAAAGCTAGAAATCACATTCTGGTAGACGATTAACACTTTAACTTGATCTTGAAGTCTGGAATGATTTGTATTCAGATTCAAAGCTCTTGGGCTGAGCAGGGCTGGGTTAGGGTGCAGAGAGCAAGGCAGGACTGTGCAGGTGCAAGGTTGGACCCTGTCTTTATTTTAAATGTTTATATTTTGTTCATGGACTTTTAAAATTAATTTTAATTTTTTAAACCATTGCATTTTAATATGATTTATCTTGATGGCTGAGGTTTTTGACTTCTTAAATTCTGTGTCCAAGACCTCATTCATCTCACCCTTGTCCGGAGGTGAAGCCCTGTCCCTTGGGGCTGGATGAATGAGCTGGATCTTTTGCTGAGAGCAGATATGATGGAGACCCAGAAGGAGGATAACACCAGAGCCCTGAGGAGGGAAGTGTGGGTGCCACAGAGTAGAAATCATTAGGAAAGGGAAGGCTGTGGTTCCTGAGGGCAGCCTCGCCTGCTGGGTAGCTCTACCTGGGGCTGCTACTCTTCCCTCTTCACCTTTTGATGAGCAAATCAATGAGTTCCTGTACATTTAGTCCTCTAAAGTAGGATGATTTATCTGTTTTCTTTGAGTTGTAGGAGTTGGAAATCTTTATTGTTTAATGCTTTTCTTTATTTTCTAAGTTTTCTATCATGAGCATATATTACTGCATTTAGGTATCAGGAAACAGCAAAGGAAAGACATTTAATTACTTATGTAAAGAACGGAATCATCTTCAACAGAGCAAAGCATTCTTACTATTCAACAGACCTGAGACAGACCGAGGGAACAACACATATACACAGGTCTTCAGTGTTTGCCTGGACTGGTGCAGTAGCCTACTCACTGGCCCTCTGTCTCCACCCTTGGTCCCCTACAGGCCACTCTCCACACTGCAGCCAGAGGGATCCTGTGACAATTTGAATCAGATCATGATGTTCCTGTGATTTCCCATCTCTCTTACAAAGCCTAAGTTTTTATACAGTCCTACAAGGCTTGCCCCCACAGCCTCTCTGACCATATCATCTTACACTCTCCCACCCCACCCACTCAGCCCCAGCCACACTGGCCTCATCGCTGCTGCTCAAACACATCAGGCACAGTCTTCCTGGGGCCTTTGCACTAACCGCGTCTTCTTCCTGCATTGCTCTTCTCCCAGCTGGTCACGATGCTCACTTACTTTCTACAGGTTCTGCTCTTTGACCGGTCTACATAAAAGAGCAGCACCTCCTTTACCCCCATTACTCCTTATCCCCTTCCACTATTTTGTCTTCAAAATGCTTGTCATGACTCACATATTATCTCCTTATTTTTCTATTGCCTGCCTCACCTAGAGGGTAGGGTCCTTTGCTGCTGTGTTTTGTTTACAGCTATGTGCTCATGGAGAACGATGCCTTGTAGGTACTTGGCAAATATTTGTCAAATGAATTAATCTGCTCATGCTCATTGATGGTGGGGATGGTGCTGCAGTCATTGAATAGAATGAGGATAATTAAGTTCCCTGGAAAAAAGTGTATTTGATCATCGGGCACCTCCTTGTTAGGAATCGAGTTCTAACATGTTATAAATGGTCTCGACATGGGAGGTCAGAAGAGGGAATGATTTTTTCCAACTAGGGGATCGAGAGAAGTTTCTCAGGGGTTGGACCTGGATATGAGCTTTGTAGCACAGTTGGATTGGGACTGGAAGAGAAGAGGGTAGAAAAGTGGACTAAGGGATCGGCACAAGCCAGGTACTTGGGGAATGTGGAGGACTTATGGCATGATTCTGAAACTGCCTTTGTGAAAATTATAACTGAGGAAATTATGACACTGAAAGAGATCAGACCTAACCAACTCTATCTTGCCTCTACCCTTTAAGCTGTCCTTGTTCATTCCTGGGTGTAGGCAGAACTAACCTTAGGAAGGAATTTAGTTTATGGTTTGACTGAAACAAAATTGACACTAGCCCTTTCCAAAACATACCTCCTTCTTACCTGGGTAACAGTCTGCCTTAATTAGCTACAAAATTAGAAATTACAGTTTAGGAATCATGCAGCAAGAGTTTGAACCTCCCCAAATTGCTCCTGGTGATAACATCACTATTGTAAAACCTAAGATCAGCGCTTGAGATATTTTGCAGACCCTGCACTTGATGGATCAGCTGACACCACCCAGACCAGTAATCTGGCTCAACCAGTTCTGCAATCCCACCCAGGAACAGAAGACAGCAAGAAAACCTCACTTCAATTCCCCTGTGATTCCATCTCCAACCTGACCAATCAGCACTCTCCACTTCCCGAGCCCCTACCCACCAAATTATCTTTAAAAATTCCAATCCCGGGATACTTGGGGAGACTGATTTGAGCAATCATAAAACTCCAGTCTCCCACACAGCTGGCTCTGCATGAATTACTCTTTCTCCATTGCAATTCCCCTGTCTTGAGAAATCAGCTCTGTCTAGGCAGTGGGCAAGGTGAACCCATTGGGCGATTACAATTCCTTCCAGTTGCAGCTATTGCAGGCTCCCAGGGCCTCTCCCTTCAACCCCCATCACTTCCTTCACCTTCCTTCTGGAATGGCCTCAGCCCATGAATGGAATGGCCTCAGCCCATGAAGATGGAAGGAGGGAGGAAGGCTGTGGGCACTGCAGGAGCAGAGGGCAATCAGAATGTGTAATTTAGAAAGTAGCCCAAGGACTGAGCAGAGGACCTCAGTTCCCCTACTCCTCCATCACCCTAGATGTCTTTTAAGAGATGGAGTCTTCCTTTGTTGCCCAGGATGGTGCCACCATGCCCAACCCTCACCTCACATGTGGTTCAACCCCAGAACCACAAAGCCAGAGATACCTTAGAAACTCAGCAAAGCCACAGGAAGTGAGGCTTATGGAGAGCAATGCCTTGTAGGTACTTGGCAAATATTTGTCAAATAAATTAATCTCCTGATGCTCACTGGTAGTGGGGGGTGCTGCAGTCATTGAATAGAATGTGGATAATTAAGTTCCTTAGAAAAATGTGTATTTGACCATGGGTCACCTCCTTATTAGGAATCTAGCTCTAACATGCAGCACTCTCATGCTATGAGATTCACCAGCCTGAAGACACTCAAAGATCTCGAGAGGATAATAGTTGAGACATAGGAAAGTGAGGGCCTGGAGTTATTACTAATATCTTGACAGCCTGGGAGAAGCACACCTTGGCCCTCGAGCAAACCTCCAGCAAACTCTCAGAATACAGAACAAGTTTCTTGCTTTCTGCCTACAGGTGCCTCAGGCAGTTAAGCTGTTCTAGATCCTTCTGATTAATTCTTAGAAGGGGGAAATAAAATAATGATTTCATATCGGATTTTCTTACTTGGAGGTAGGTAGACAAAGTCTTTGAGAATAAGACATTTTAGTAAAAAATGAGTAAAGAATCTGTGTGGCAGGCATCCCCACTGCACAGATGAGGAAATTAAGAATAAGTAACTTACTCAAGATCACACAGCTAGTAAGTGCTGGAGCCAGGACAAGCTACCATTAAGCCACAACTCAATCATTGAAGAATCTGGCTTCTATAGGGAATTCCTTTTTTTTTTTTTTTGGAGATGGAGTTTCACTTATGTCACCCAGGCTGGAGTGCAATGGCACGATCTTGGCTCACTGCAACCTCCGCCTCCTAGGTTCAAGCTATTCTCCTGCCTCAGTCTCCCAGGTAGCTGGGATTACAGGCATGCACCACTATGCCTGGCTAATTTTTATATTATCAGTAGAGACAGAGTTTCACCATGTTGGCCAGGCTGGTCTCAAACTCCTGACCTCAGTTGATCCACCTGCTTTGGCCTCCCAAAGTGCTGGGATTACAGCTGCGAGCCACCGCACCCAGCCAGAGAATTCTTAAAATGCAGATAACTGGTAAGGGTCTTGGGGAGGAGCTACCCAAACTCATTTCTCCCCTTAGCCACCAAAGAACAGGGATGAGTGAGTCTGGAGAGTTTTTTCCTAACACCAAATACATGGTATTGTCAGAGGCGTTTGAATCAGAGAGACTCCATCTTGAATAGGAGCTGGGTAAAATAAGGCTGAGACCTGCTGGGCTGCTTTCCCAGGAGGTTAGGCATTCTAAGTCACAGAGTGAGACAGGAGGTCGGTACAAGGTATAGGCCACAAAGACCTTGCTGATAAAATAGGTTGCAGTAAAGAAGCCTGCCAAAACCCACCAAAACTAAGATGGCAACAGAAGTGACCTCTAGTTATCCTCACTGCTCATGATATGCTAATTATAATGCATTAACATGCTAAAAGACACTCCCACCAGCACCATGACACTTTACAAATGCCATCATAATGTCAAGAAGTTACCCTATATGATCTAAGAAGGGGAAGAACCCTCAATTCCAGGAACTGCTGACCCCTTTCCCGTAAAACTCATGAATAATCCACCCCTTGTTTAGCAAATAATCAAGAAATAATGAAAAAAATAGCCAACCAGCAGCCCTTGGGGCTGTTCTGCCTATGGAGCAGCCACTCTTTTATTCCTTTACTTTCTTAATAAATTTGCTTTCACTTTACTCTATGGACTCACCCTGAATTCTTTCTTGCACGAGGTCCAAGAACCCTCTTTTGGGGTTTGGATTGGGACCTCTTTCCGGTAACAGTATCTTTTCCAACACCAACAAATTCTCCAACACCAACTAGGTGTTCACAAATTAATTCACTTCTGACACTCCTGAGTTAGAACTGTAAACCAAAAGTATCTGAAACAAGTCTCAATTTTGGAGTTTATTTTGCCAAGGTTAAGGACATGCCTGTGGCACAGTCTCAGGGGAGGCCCTGATGACGTGGGCCCAAGGTGGTCGGCCTATAACTTGATTTTATACATTTTAGGGGGACATAAGACATCAATCAATACATGTAAGATGTACAATGGTTGAGTTCAGAAAGATGGGAGGGGCTTCCAGATCACAGGTGGATTCAAAGATTTTTTGATTGGCAATTGGTTATTATCTAAAGATCTGGAATCAGTAGAAAGGAATGTCTGGGTTAGGTAAGGGGTTGTGGAGACCAAGGTTTCATCATGCAGATGAAGCCTCCACTTTAGCAGGCTTCAGAGAGAAGAGGTTGTAAATGCTTATCAGCTTAAGGTCTATGTTAGTGCTAATGTCCAATTCCCCCTTTCCATCATGGCCTAAACTAGTTTTACAGGTTAACCTTGGAACGCCTTTGGCCAAGAGGAGGGGTCCATTCAGATGGGTGGGGGCTTAGAATTTTATTTCTGGTTTACAGCACAGACCTCACAGGTTAAGGGCTCAGTCCCACAAGACCCTGCTCTCACTTCAGATACAAGCGCAAATTCCAGGGGTCACTCACACTTCTGACTGATTGGCTATACAAATTTTAGTGTTCCACAATCGCCCCTCAAGTTGGATAACTCACTAGAATGACTCTCAGAACTCAGGAAAGCATTTTGCTTACTGTTGTAAACCCAAAATAAAATTCTAAATCCCCCAACTGATGGAATGGAGCCCCTGTCTCAGCCAAGGAGATTCCAAAGAAACCTGGAAAACTAGTTCAGGCCATGATGGGAAGGGGGGATTGGACACGCCACGTTGCACTCCCCTCCCTTTGGAATTCAGGCACAACTGACCAGCAGTAACATTAAAACAGAGATCTTAAGACTAACAAAACAGATTAGCAATAGGATACCAAATTCCAGCCTCACTCTGGTGTAAGTACCACATGTCAGAGAGGCCCTGAAAGAAATCAAAGTATTTTACCCTAAAATATATTTTTTGACATATTTTTGAAATAGCCCTGCAAAACTGTCCCTTGTGGGGAAAATCTACATTCTGTAGAGAATCCCCTTCCCTTTCCAGGTTGTTTGCCTGATTCAGGTGAGAATTAACTAAGAGTCTGGCACTTTTTTAAGTCTGATAAGAAACATTTACCATCTATTGTCTCTGAAGCCTGCTACCTAGAGGCTTCATCTGCATAATAGGAACGCTGGTCTCTATGACTCCTTATCTTAATCCAGACACTCCCTTCTATGCCTTCTGTGGATTCCAGGTCTTTAAATAAACTCCCAACCAATTACCAATCAGAAAATATTTGAATCCACCTATGACCTGGAAGCGCCCCCACCCCATGCTTCCAGTTGTCCCATTTTCCTGGACCAAACCAATGTACATCTTACTTGTATTGATTGATGTCTTATGTCTCCCTAAGCTGTATAAAGCCAAGCTATAGCCTGATCACCTTGGGCACATGTTCTCAGGGTCTCTTGGGGCCGTGTCACAGGCCATTGGTCACTCATATTTGACTCAGAATAGATCTCTTCAAATATTTGACAGAGTTGGACTCTTTTTGTCAACATAAATGTGCACATGCCTGCGAACTGCCTGGGGATCTTCTTGAAATGCAGATTCTGATTCAGCAGGTCTGGGGGATGAGATGCTGTGTCTCCAACAGGTGCTCCCCCATGTCCATGGAAAGAGTTAAACTCTGTAAATATTTGAAGAGATTTATTCTGAGCCAAATATGAGTAACCATGGCCCATGACACAGCCCTCAGGAGATCCTGAGAATGTGTGCCCAACATGGTTGGGGTACAGCAAGACAGGAGACTTCAATCAAGTACATTTAAGAAATACGTTGGTTTGGTCCAGAAAGGTGGGACAACTGGAGTCGGAGGATGGAGCTTCCAGGTAGCAGGCTTCAGAGAGAATAGAATGTACATGATTCTTATTGGGCTTAAGGTCTCTGTTGATGTTAACACTGGAGAGTATAATGAGGCATGCCCGACCCCCACTTCCTGTCATGGCCTGAATCAGTCTTTCAGGTTAAATTTTAGGAGTGCCCTGGCCAAGGAGGAAGCTCATTTAGATGGTTGTGGTGCGGGGGTGGGGGATGAGGGGAGCTTAGAATTTTATTTTTGGTTTACATTCTCCCACTTCTGGCCAAGAATTGCCAGAGGCAACATCAATGGCCAGCAAATCTTCATTATGTCCCATAGTGTTTCTGGGATGCCATGGCGGCCTGCCCCTGGTCCATCTTGTCCCTCGATGGGATTCCCTATGGATAAGGGACCAAGAGTCAAAAGACTTACAGCTGGCTGGGCAAGGTGGCTCACGCCTGTAATCCCAGCACTTTGGGAGGCCGAGGTGGGTGGACCACGTAAGGTCAGGAGTTCGAGACCAGCCTGGCCAACATGGTGAAATCCCGTCTCTACTAAAAATACAAAAAATTAGCGAGGCATGGTGGCAGGTGCCTGTAATCCCAGCTACTTGGGAGGCTGAGGCAGGAAAATCGCCTGAACCCAGGAGGTGGAGGTTGCAGTGAGCCAAGATCACGCCATTGCACTCCAGCCTAGGTGACAAGAGCAAAACTCCGTCTTAAAAAAAAAAAAAAAAAAAGGAGACTTACAGCCAATCAAATGTTACAGGCCAGATGGAAATGGACATGGACAGGCATTCATTACTCTTTAAAATTATTATTGCTATTTTAAGTAAAAAGCTAACAAACAAAAAGGCAAAAACTAACTTGTCTTTAACTCCTATGTATTCAGCTACTGTAAACTTGGTTTTAATTACAGACTTACAGCAATTAGCTATACAAAAACATAAGCATTGCTCTGTAAAAGATTTATATATATATATATATATATATATATATATATATATATATATATATGTATATATATCTTTACAACTTATAACTGGGAATATTATACCCAGGAGGCTTTGTCACAAGGCATCTTTATCCTGTCAGTAAATATTTTAATTCTACATGAAGCAGAAAATTGTTTATTGTTGGGGTGGATGCAAAAGTGATACATAATAGCTTAGAAGACAAAGTCCCTTGTTTTACCAGCTGTTTAGGCATCTTTGTACCCTTCCTTGATTTGGAGGGTCTGACCTTGACCTAACTCTATCCCTCAAAACTGGCCCTTACAATCTCACGCACCCGCCTCTTCCATGACAGTCACTGGACCTAGAGGGAGGATGCTTGTATAGTTTTAGCAGCAGGGCATCTGCAGTGAAAAACAGATCCGGCCCAGTGAGATGACAAATGAGGGAGATTGACATCTCTGGTGTTCAGAATACCATGATTTGGGCTTCCTTGAAAGTAAAACAAGGAGAGATAATAACATTAATGTTTTGACAATCAAAGGGTATTTGTGGGCCGGTGGCTCACGTCTGTAATTCCAGCACTTCAGGAGGCCGAGGCAGGTGGATCACTTGAGGTCAGGAGTTCAAGACCAGCCTGGCCAACATGGTGAAACCCTGTCTCTACTAAAAATACAAAAATTAGCTGGACATGGTGGCAGGCATCTGTAATCCCAGCTACTTGGGAGGCTGAGGCAGGAGAATCGCTTGAACCCAAGAGGCGGAGGTTGCAGAGAGCCGAGATCGCACCATTGCACTCCAGCCTGGGCAACAAGAGCAAAACTCCATCTGAAAAAAAAAAAAAAAGAACCTATTCCATCCATTAGGGCACCAACTAAAGATATGAAGAAAAATTATAATCTGGTACTCTCCAGAGGATTATTGTAGCCAAGAAATAATGCATGATTCAATCTGCACTCAAAAAAAAATTGAGGGCTAAAATCTAGTATCAAATGTTACACTTTTCCTTTGAAACAATTTCTCTTTCTCTAGCCCCTTTTTATCTATTAAAGAGAAATTACAGTAAGACTAATTTGTGTGCAAAGTGAGTTTTAGTCTTATATACTTGACCTGATTATTGCATAAAATGCAGCAGGGAATGATTGGCTATATAGGCCCCTTTTTAGTTGCTTTGCTGGAACTTTACCTGAAAACATGCTATAGCTAATTTTTGTACAATACCCATTTTCATAAGATATTTAGGTAAAGGGGTTGCAAGTACCTTACATAAAGCCTTTTTAAACATCTTAAATTTCATAATTCTATTAACCTGTATGTTTTATGTTCTGGTCCTAGGAACTTTTTTTTCCTACCTCCAGACCATTTTACCTTTTCTGGTTCCCAGCAGGGAGTGGCATCTGTAAGACCCATGACGGATGACAAGTTGAGAAGCCTTCTCAAACAGTTGTATGATTCTGTGGGAGGGGCACCCATGTAAAAGGGGCCCCCTAAACCCCCAGATTTACCATGACCTGGGTAATAGGCATATTCAGTGGGAGGATATCCCCGTCATCATACAGCCAGTCCCACACGGCTCTCATATTTATCTGAATAAACGCCACTGTAAGATCTGTTTGCCTTGAGAAGGGAACTGCCCAACTCTCCCTGTAAAATGCCAAGTGGAGCCCCCCCGATGAAGCGGTTGATATGCTTCTCATAATTCCGGAGAATTCCTGAGAACTCTCGAGAATAAGCTCCTGTGCGTTTAGCTCACATACACTCATCAGTGATCGCCCTATAGGGAACTGTGGGTCCTGCATCAACTCAAACGAGCTCTTAAATTTTGTAGCATTTAAAATTAAGGATTTTTGTCTTTAAAGTAGTGATTTTTACAATAAATTACCCAAAAGGCTTCTCAAGAAGCTGATGATACCAATATACAAAATGGAACAATTCCTTTATATTATTCCTTGTAGCTATAGTAGGTACTTGGTTTTGCCCTTCCCCCACATCGACTGTCTTCTTGGTAACCACAGGTCTCAGAGTTAACTTGGATGTAGGAATTGGAGGAAGCCAGAGGGGTAGCGGGAAATCAGGCATGAAGAGCCCCAGGCCTCACCTGCGCCCCTCTCTCTTGAGCCCAGGATTAATTTCAGACAGCAGAGACCGAACCCCCTTTGCCTATCATATCCCTGGGAGCCACCACTGAATCAGCCACCACTGCACTTGGAAAGGGTAGGACTCATGCCAAAGATGGGACACCATGCCGACATTATCTTGAGGCCCAAGCCTACATTATCTTGTGGCAGAGACAAGACCACCACAGTTTCATGGTCCCACGCAACATGGCACCTGGTGAGCCCCAGAAAGGCACCACACATAGAGCTTCAGAAGCTGCCATTCCCACGTCTGACCACGCGGGGGCGACGAACCCTCAGATTGGGCCGCGCCCTTAGGCGGAGCTGCCCTGATCCCAGACCCAGGGGAGCCGTGAAAACCCACTGGGCGTCCCAGGGCAGCGCTGCCCTGAGAGCTGCAAACCGAAAGTATCTGCCCCCGGGCCAGAGCGCTCGGGGCCTGGTCGTGTTACGCAGCTGGAAAGCTTGGACCCTTCGGCGGCGTGGGATAAGGCGAGTTTGCCGGCAGAGCCAGCAGCTCGCCCCCGCCTGAAATTCCAATTCGCAGGGACGGGGATGGTGACACCTGAGGCAATTCCTCGGCTACAAAGCATCATGTCTCATCTTCTTGAGCCAGTTTCTTCTTCTGTAAAAGGGAAATGGTACTGGCATTCATAAGATTTTGCAGGATCAAAGCAGAAAATCATTAGGAAAACACTTTGCAAACTGTAGAGAACATTGCAAATGTTATATATCAGGGTTTTTAAGAAAACTTTTAAATATTCTCTATTTGGAGAAAGAGGTAGGAAAATTCTGGAGATATAGTAACGAACAAAATGTACCATATGTCTGGCAAAATCTGTACCAGGTATCTGGCAAAATCTGTCCCTGTGTTTCTTTTTGAAATTGACTTGAATTTTATTTCCATTCTTAGCTGTTTAATATTTTGCTTAATTTTGAAATTGCTCATTCTTCATGCTACAGCCAGTGTGATCTTTTAAAGAAGGAAATATGATCTACAACTACATGTAATGAACGGATGAACATCATAAACATAGCGTTGAGTTAAAAACCCAGATAGAAAACAGCACCTGCTGGATGACCGCGTTTACATGGAAAGTACAAAAACAGGCAAATAGTTGGAAGTCAAGATAGTGGTTACTCTAGGGGAATGAGTGGAAGGGGTGCTTTTAGGATGCTGGTAATGTTCTATAAAATTCACTGGGTTATACATTTCTGCACTTTTTTCTGGATACATTATATCACACCTCAGTGAAAAGTAAATACTGTATGGGGGAAGGAAGTGAATGAAGCTGATCGTGTCTCCACCCGCCTAAAAGCGTTCAGTAGATTCTGATTCTTGTGAATGTGAAATCTGTCCTCCTTTACCAGGTCCACCTGGTGCCCCTGGCTTCATCACCAATGGGCTTACCATGGCCACACGGGTCCTCTTTCAGGCCCTTGTGTCACTCTCTCCCATGCTGACCAGCTCTGGCCACAAAGCTGCCTCTTCCATCACTGGGAGCTCTTCCCCACCTCGGAGCTGTTCCCGTCACCTGGATTGTCTTCCCTCCACATTCCTGCCACCTCCTTCTGCTCAGCCTAAAGGTCACTTTCTCACAGAAGCTGTCCCTGAGCCTCAATCTAAATTGCATCCCCACAAGGACACAAAGATGTGAGCAATAAACACTAAGGATTCCAGAAGGGGGGATGGAGGAGAGCAAAAGTTGAAAAACTACCTGTTGGGTACTATATTCACTGCTTGGGCGACGGGATCGTTGGAAGCCCAAACCTCAGCATCATGCAATACACCCGTGCAACAAACCTGCACACGTACTTTCTGAATCTAAAAGAATTTCTAAAATAAAATAAATTGTACCCCCTTAGTTCTTTCTGAGCACCCTCTTTTTATCTTCATAACACCATCATTTGTATTTATGGAATGATTATGCATCATTATTTGGTAAATGACCTCACCAGCTAGACTCTAAATCAAAAAGGGCTGGGGCTGTATCTGACATATTCTCAGTTGTATCAGCAGCACCTAGCACGGCATCTAACATAAATGATACTTATTTGTGGTTTGGCTTAATACAAAAAAAAAAAAAAAAACTTTGGGAGGGGAGGGAATTCAATCAACAGACAAAAAATAATGCTATGTAGGGGAAAGAGAAACAAAATGTTCACAGGTATTGTATTAGTGTTGTAAGAACATGGGCGTTCTTTTTCTTTCTTTAATATCACCTATTTAATCTCTTATGTTCTTTTTATGATTAAGAAAATAAAAAACCTTACAAATATTTTTGTACTATTTAAAATTAAGTTTTCATTTAAAACATAGACTTCTGGGTGTATTAGTCCATTCTCCCACTGCTATAAAGAACTACCTGACACCAGGAGTGGTGGCTCACGCCTGTAATCTCAGCGCTTTGGGAGGCCGAGGAGGGCAGATCACCTGAGGTCGGGTGTTCGAGACCAGCCTGACCAACATGGAAAAACCCCACATCTACTAAAAATACAAAATTAGCTGGGTGTGGTGGCACATGCCTGTAATCCCAGCTACTCTGGAGGCTGAAGCAAGAGAATCACTTGAGCCCGGGAGTTAGAGGTTGCAGTGAGCTGAGATCGCGCCATTACACTTCAGCCTGAGCAACAAGAGTGAAACTGTGTCTCAAAAAAAAACACAAAAAAACAAAACAAACAAACAAAAAATGGCCGGGTGCAGTGGCTCATGCCTGTAATCCCAGCACTTTGGGAGACCGGGGCGGGCGGATCACCTGAGGTCGGGAGTTCAAGATCAGCCTGACCAACATGGAGAAACCCTGTCTCTACTAAAAAAAAAAATACAAAACTAGCCAGGGTGGTGGTGCATGCCTGTAATCCCAGCTACTTGGGAGGGTGAGGCAGGAGAATCGCTTGAACCCGGGAGGCGGAGGTTGCGGTGAGCTGAGATCGCGCCATTGCACTCCAGCCTGGGCAACAACAGCAAAACTCCGTCTCAAAAAAAAAACAACTACCCGAGACTGGGTAATTTATAAAGAAGAGGTTTAATTGGCTCACGGTTCTGCCAGCTGTACAGGTAGCATAGCTGGGGAGGCCTCAAGAAACTTTCAATCATGGTGGAAGGCAAAGGGGAAGCAGACATGTCTTACATGGCAGGAGTGGGCGAAAGAGAGAGGGGGGAGGTGCCACACACTTTTAAACAACCAAGTATCATGAGATCTCACTATCAGGAGAACAGAAAGGGGGAAATCCACCCCCATGATCCAACCAGCTCCCACCAGGCCCCACCTCCAATATTGGGGATTACAATTTGACATGAGATTTGGGTGGCAACACAAATCCAAACCATATCACTGAGTAAAGTGCAGATGGCAGGATAGTTTCACAATAGAATGTTCATTCTCTGGTTTCTATTGAATTGGATAGGAGAAAAAAAAAAAACAGGTAAAAAAAAAAAAATCAGCAGCAGTAAACCACCATGGGAAACAGTAGAACCTCATTCCATAAACTTCAAAAAGCAGTAGCAACAGAAAAATATAGAATATCTTGATGTGTTTCGTCATGGTCCTATCCCCAACTGCTCTGTTCCAGAAGAGGTGCAGGAGAAAGAGGAAATAATACAAAAGTCCTGAAAATTCTCACCAGTTGTTCCAGTGAGTTGCCTACCAGGATCCATACTTAGTGGCACAAAACAACAACTCTTTTCTGATGCACGTGGATTCTGTAGGTCTGGAATTCAGGCGGGGCTTAGTTGGGGAATTCTTTTGCTCCTTGTGGCCATGTCTGAGGTCATTCTGTGGTACCCAGCTGGGCTGGGCTGGGCTGGAGGACCCAGGATGGCTTCAATCACATGTCTAGGGCCTTGGCAGAAAGGCTAAACTAAAAGGCTAAACTCAGCTGGAACTGTTGGCCGGTGTCCACTGCATGTGTTCTTTTCAGCAGTGGCCTCTGGGTAGTCAGACTTTTCACATGGACATCAGCATCACCCAGAGCCAGCATCCCAAGAGTGCAAGATGGAAGGACAGCCTTTTTTGACCTAGCCTCAGAAATCACACAGTATCTCTTCCACTGCATTCTACTGATCATGATGGAGTCGGCAAGGTCAGCCCAGATTCAAAAAGGGGATTGACCCCAATTCTCAATGGGACAAGTGCCAGAAAAATTGCAGACATGTTTTTAAACTGAGACAGATTAGTTAAAATTTTCCTATATGTAAAATATAACTTCCTCCAAGACCCGTCCCCACCTACCCCCACTGCCCTACTTCCCACTAAAAAAAAAAAAAAAAAAAAAAAAAAAAAAAATCTTGGCCAGATGCAGTGGTTCATGACTGTAATCCCAGCACTTTGGGAGACTGAGGTGGGAGGAACACTTGTATCCAGGAGTTCGAGACCAGCCTGGGCAACATAGCAAGACCCTATCTCTATAAAAAATAAAAAATTAGCCAATCACGGTGCCACAAACCTGTAGTAGTCCCAGCTACTCAAAAGGCTGAGGTGGGAGGATTGCTTGAGCCTGGAAAGTCAAAACTGCAGTGAGCCGTGATCACACCACTACACTCCAGCCTGGGTGACAGAGTGAGTTTGTCTTAAAACCAAACAAACAAACAAACAAACAAACAAACACCTCATCCTATTTTGACATCAAACTCAGCTCCAATTTCTGGAGCTTATCTACATCAAGTCCAGCTGCAAAGAGGCGTCTTGGGTTCTGTTCCGTGGGTAGAGTTTCTCTCCATCTGAAAACCTGTGAACTAAAGAGACATGTTTTCTGCCTCACATGCACCCAACCTGCAATGGCGAGATTGGCACAGGAAACCACTATGTTCACTACCGTTTTAAAAGGGGAAGTTCAGAGCAATCACTGAGCCCCGGCAATTCTGAAATTGAATTGTGCACCTGTTGCCAGAGGTTCTTGGCTCCACTCTGACTCACACTTCCTTTTCCATAAGAAATGGCTCTTGCTTGCAACTGAGTAGCCTTCTTGTCCTGTGTCTTAACAGAATACCTGAAACTGGGTAATTTATTAAAAACCAAATTTATTTCTTACAGTTCTGTAGGCTGGGAAGCCCAAGGTCAAGGGGATGCACCTGGTGAAAGCCTTCTTGTTGTGGGGACCCTCTGCAGAGTCCTGAGGCAGTTCAGGACATCACATGGTGAGGGGGCTGAGCATGCTAAACTATGTGTTTTCCTCTTATAAAGTCACCAGTCCCACTCCTATGATAATCCATTAATCCATTTATCTGTGAATGGATTAATCCATTCATGACCCAATCACCTCTTAAAGACCCCACCTCTCAGTACTGCCACATTAGGGATTAAATTTTAATATGAGTTTTGGGGAGGAGTGTTAGAGAACTGCATGCAAAAAGTCAAGATGCATCCCCAGAAAATTCAAGTCCCACCCAAGCTCTTGGGGTCTCCACAGAGATAAAAAGCCCACCAAGGTTTGCCATTCCCCAAGGCTCAAATTTCTAATTGGTTGGCTGATCCAAAGCTCCAGGGAAACTTTCTCAAAAATGGAATAACACGTCACTAGAGGAAGCCAACTGTGGTTCCAGGAATTTAAGAAAATCTCCAGAGAGCAGAGCCCAGGCTGCCCATCATAGTCAAGAGACATCTCCAATAGCATTCCTTTCTTCCCTCAACCCCATGACTTTAGGCTCCACAGAAGTGTATAGAGGCAAACTTCAGACTGCAATTTGGGGGGTAGGGATGGAAATAACAATAGATCTCAGATATGGTGAGAAGGAAACCAAAGAGAATATACTGACACCAATTAGAATAAGCGAAAGGACAGGGCAGAGTTGCCCAAACTGAGCCTGACGAAGATGAAGGGAAATGACAGAGTAGCTATGCACCATACTACATACAGTTATAAGGAAGAAAGAAAATAAAGCAGGGAGGGAGGGAAGAAAGGAAAAAAAGAAGAAAATTAAAAAGGAAAGGACGCTGGAGAAAAGAAACAGACACAGATAACTGAATTCAGCAGAAAATCTGATAAAAGGAAAAATTTATAGGAGGGCTTTCAGCTTAAAAAACAAAAACTTTAATAAAATAAGACATTAGGCTGGGTTCAGTGGTTCAGTGTTCACACCTGTAATCCCAGTGCTTTGGGAGGCCAAGGTGGGAGGATTGCTTGAGGCTAGGTGTTGAAGACCACCCTGGACAACATAACAAGATTTCATTTCTAAAAATAAATAAATAAATAAATAAATATTTTAAAATAAATAAAAATTTAAAAGACCCTTAAAAATGAGTGTTAAAGAAATAAATTGAAGATCTAGGTAACACCACTAAAAAAACTGCAAATAAATTGAAAATCTCAAGGAAGAAACAAGTCAGAGCTACAAATCAAATTACTAGCATAGAATAAAAGTTGGGGATAGTAAGTACCAATAGCCTGGGCCAGGTGCGGTGGCTCACACCTATAATGTCAGCACTTTGGTTGGCTGAGGTGGGTAAATCACTTGAGGTCAGGAGTTTGAGACCAGCCTGGTTAACGTGGTGAAACCCCGCCTCTACTAAAAATACAAAAATTAGCCAGGCATGGTGGTGCGTGCCTGTCATCCCAGCTACTCGGGAGGCTGAGGTGAGAGAATCACTTGAACCCAGGAGGCAGAGGTTGCAGTGAGCCAAGATTGCACCACTGCACTCCAGCCTGGGCGACAGAGACTCCATCTTAAATAAATAAATAAATAAATAAATCTCAATAGCCTAGAAAGAGGAAAAAAAAAGTCAAATTATTTTTTAAAATATTACCCCATAAAATTGTCCTTCAGGTATTAAGAAAATATGCAAAAATTCAGGGAAAACAATATCCATAAACTCTTCATTTTTGTAGAATTATTTTTGTTAATCAATCTAACAAAATGTTGATGAGGTTATCCTGAAGTTACTGATAGTTGCTTTATATGGTAGAGCATCAATGTCCAATATGGTAGCCACTGACCACATGCAACTATTGAGCACATGAGTTATGGCTAATATTAGTTGTTATATGCTATAAATGTTTAAAGTACACATCAGATTTCAAAGACTTAATATAAAGAAAAGTAAAATATTGCATTAGTTTTTATTTCATATTAATTATATATTGAAATGATATATATACTGTACTCAAATAAACTATCATCAAATTAATTTTACCTGTTTTTCCTTTCTTTTTTTTTTTTTTTTGAGACAGGGTCTCCTTCCCTGTCACCCAGGCTGGAGTGCAGTGGCACAATCTCAGCCCACTATTAGCCTCAACTTCCCGAGCTCAGGTGATCCTGCCCACCTCAGCCTCCCAAAGTGCTGGGATTACAGGCTGAGCCACTGTGCCTGGCCCCTCTTTTTACTTTTTAAAAAAGCTACTAGGAAATTGAAAATTCGATTTGTGGCTTGTATTATATTTCTGTTGCACAGCACCATAGTAGACTTTGGGGAGAGATTTCGCTTGTTTGTACTATTTAGTTTAGTTTGATCTTTTAAATAAGTATGGTTATTCATATAAAACAATACACTCATTATTCCTAAATTGAATAAATAAACCAATGGACAAAGAGCTATGCTTTCTCCCCTGGGATGTTGAGACAACTAGCTGGGAGGCTCTGGATGGGAACCAATAACAAAAGAATGGAGAACAGCTGTTCATTGTCCAGCCCACTCCCTTTACAGATAGGAAAACTGAGACCCCAAAGGTCACTTACCACTCTAAAATCTCATGGACTCAAGTGTGCAGTAGATGAGGCTGAAGACTGGCATTTCAGCTGAGGCAGGAATACTGACTTAGGGGACATTCTCAGTAGCTCCCAGGAGCCCCTCCAAGGTGTGTAGCACCACCTCCAGACAAGGAGTCCACTTCATCCCGGCTCATACCTCTTGCCCAGAGTGCTTCCTCTTCCAAGAAATCAAAAACAAGATATTTCCTTTGTCCTGTGGAAACAGGGACTCTTCTTTTTCTGCAGGTATAAGTTCCAGCCTCCCAGCCCTGGCTCATGGAGCTCAGCCCTTGGCACCATGGAGCTCAGCAGCTTCTGTGCCCTGCCTTGCCATCTGCCTGGTGGGCATGACCAGCTCAGAAAAGACCTCAAGTGAGCTGAAGTGCTATTGGGAAAGAGGACCCTGAGACCCATAGCCTATGGGACAGGGCTGGCTCCAACAGGCTACCCGGTCACTTTCACCTCAGCGGGAGTCCAAGGCCCAGATATTGAAAGGGCTCACCTGTGGTCACCCTTCAGTCTGGGGGAAGACCTGGGGCCAGACCTCCCAGATGCCTATTTGATTTAATTAAGTCTTCATCAAATTATTATTTTATTATTATTATTATTCAAGATGGAGTCTCACTCTGTCGCCCAGGCTGGAGTGCAGTGGCCTGATCTCGGCTCACTGCAACCTCCACTTCCTGGGTTCAAGTGATTCTCCTGCCTCAGCCTCCCGAGTAGCTGGGACTATAGGCACCCGCCACCACGCCTGGCTAATTTTTGTATTTTTAGTAGAAGCGGGGTTTCACCATGTTGGCTAGGCTGGTCTCGAACTCCTGACCTCAAATGATCCACCCACCTCGGCTTCCCAAAGTGCTGGGAGTGGTGTGAGCCACGACGCCCGGCCCAAATTTTTACTTTTATTATAAACTCAACATATACTTTTGTTTTAAAAAGACAAACAATACATAAATTGTTATAAAGTTAAAAGTGAGTTCTCTGTTTTACACAATCTTATTCTGAAAAGTATCCATTGTTAGAATGCTTAGGAGAGACAGTAAGTTTTCATACTACTTTAAAAATAAGACCAAGTTCTTAAGCTTGGCTACACATTGGTGTCACTTGGAGACTCTGTGAGTCCCACATTAAATTCTGATTTAACTGGTTTGGGTAAAGCCTGGGCATCAGGATTTTTTCAGTTCCCCAGGTGAATGTAGCGTGCTAGGATAGCAATTTGAAATAGGGTATGGCCAGGGAAAACCTCACTGATAATAGTGGAGGTGGTGAAAAGGGGTGGGATTCTGGATTTATTTTGAAGGTAGGGTGCAAACAGGATGAGAGAGAGACAAGGATGACTCAAAGGTATTTGGCCTGAGTGCCTGGAAAGACACGAATTACCTTTTACAGAGATGAGGTGACTATGGTTGGGCCTGTTTGGGGTGGGGTGGAGCACATCAGAAGCTCGGTTTTGGAGATATTCAATTTGAGATGTCTTTAGACATCCAAATGGAGAAAGCAAGTAGGCAGTTGGGTAAATGAATCCAAGATCCAGGGAGGAGGTCTGATCTAGAAATATGTGGGTGTTGCCAGAGCGTAGGTTACATGTGGCATGGTAGTGGAGGTCGTTTCTAGGTACTGACAGGGCTGCGGGTATAAAAGAGAGCCAGGCCACAGCTCTGTGCTCTTCTGACTTGGCAGACACCCCATGCTATGCATGCTCCATCCCACACTAGGCACACTACACAGACCACTTAGCTTTGTGTATCCACTCACCTGCGTTCCTGTCTCATTTACAGTCTGCTCCTTTACTGCTTTTGAAGTAAACTCAAGTAAAAGCACCTTGAACAAATTGCCTTTGCCCATGGTCTAGACTAGCTCACCGCCTTTCCTTCCTACATATGCACACATACCACCCGCATGTGCTGAGGGCTCCTAAAACCCTTCAAGGAACCTACACAGCCCATCTATGCTGGCTACAGAGACACCTGTACCACTGTGTTAAGACTGCTGCACTCACACATGTGGAGCTTCCAGAGTGCCCCTTGCCCATCCCTATCTTGGATCCCAGATCTCAAGCCAGAATAGCCCATACCCAGTTAATACATTTAGCGTTTGCTGATTGAGCACTTACATGTCCTGAGATGGGTCAGGTCTTAATGAAAGACAGAACCTGTGCCTCCAGGAAGCACACCATCTGGTGGAAGTCAAAGGACAGCAGCCAGCTGATAAGGAACACGTGTTAAGTCCAAGGCAATCTGGAAGCAAAGGCGTGGGGCACGGACACGTCAAGGGAAACTTCCCGGAGGCAGCAACTTCTCATCTGGGGTGTGTGTGTGTGTGTGTGTGTTTGAGACAGAGTCTCACTCTGTCACCAGGCTGGAGTACAGTGGCGCAATCTTGGCTCACTGCAACCTCTGCCTCCCAGGTTCAAGCGATTCTCCTGCCTCAGCCTACCGAGTAGCTGGGACTACAGGCGCGCGCCACTATGCCCAGCTAATTTTTTTTTGTATTTTTAGTAGAGACGGGGTTTCACCATGTTGGCCAGGATGGTCTCGATCTCTTGACCTTGTGATCTGCCCACCTTGGCTTCCCAAAGTGCTGGGATTACAGGCATGAGACACCGTGCCCGGCCAGCCTCATCTGGTTTTATGAGGGAACCAGGCAGTTGAGAGGTGTGCATGGTTGGTGGAATAGGGCATTCTAGGCCAAACCACTATGATGGGAGAACTGAGTGGGGTAGGAGGTGGGGGGAACTGCAAATAACACACAGTTGATGCCAAGTGTGCCAGAGGAAAAGACAGAAGATGAGGGCAGTGGGAGGCAACCGCCTAAAGGCTTGTTTTACAGAAATCCAGGGTTATGTAACCAGCAAGGGAGGTGGGCGGGGCGGGCTTCAATCCAATGAGCCTGGCTTCAAAGCCTGGGGGTGGTCTGAGGACAGAGCACAGCAGGAGCTCCTGAGAAGCCTGCTAAAAAGTCAAAGTCTGGGCCACACCCAGACCAACTGAATTAGTAGGATCTGGACCCCAGGAACATACATTATTTTCACAAGTGCCCCCAGTGACTCTGATGCACACTACAGTTAGAGACCCACCACCCAGAGCCCTCCCACCTCTCCACTCTACCCTTGCTGATGTGGACTGACTCTCAATGCCCCCAAGAAGTAGGATGATTCATTTCCATGGCCATGGATTATGCTTTCAGAAACACTCCCAAACAACCCGGGGAGTTCTGGGAATCACAATCAGATGGGGATGGGGAGGACAGGGGGAGCAGATCAGGAGAAGAAATTTCCGGCCAGGTGGGAGGAGGTAGGGTTTTTTGTTTTTTGTGGAGGGGGTTGCAGGCATAGGGTAGGAGGTCCTGTTCAGGCACTCAGCAAACAATCCCCAGTCCCCAGCTCTTCCCAGGACTCAAGGACAAGAGGCAAAGAACCACGGAAACAGCCGTTTTTATTCCACAAACAGTAAACTCCATCCACTACACAGTGACATACACTGTGTAGCACACCCCATCACCTTGGCCAGTGCTGCCAGCCGACCTTTCTGTGGTGATGGAAATCTTTTTCTGTGCTGTCCAATACAGCAGCCACCGACCACTTTTGCTTATTGAGCACCTCAATATAGAGGTGGCCACTACAGGTGAGGAAATGAATTTCTAAGTTAATTCAAATTCAAATGCCACATTTGGCTCGTGGCTCCTGTACTGGACAACACAGCTGTAGGCCCTGACCTGGTCCAGGGCACTTTGGTTCAAAAGCCAACTCTGAGGAGAGCAAGTGGCAGAAACAGCCCTTGGGCTCCCCTCCCCAGAGAGAAACGGCAGCTGCAGCTGCTGGAAAGGGCAAGAATCAGAGTGGGGGGACACCTCGGGCGCGCCGGATAAGGTTGGCCAGCCGCTTGGCCAGGCCACCTGTGCGGGGCTCCTCGATGTGGAAGGTTCGGGTGAGGAGATTGTAGAAGGAGCCATAGCACACGGCCACCACAGTGCACGTGAGGCAGATCACGTTGTAGGGCATGCTGAAGTCCGGTGTCGGCAGGTTCACCAGCAGCGGCTCCGTGTAGAGCCGCACAAAGTAGTTAGAGCCATCAGAGACTGGGAACCTGGGGTCAGGGGAAGAGCGGTGAGACAGGACTGGCTGCTCCTCCCCATCTCACCCCATCCTCATTCCGGCAGTATTGGGCAATGCAACACAGTGTTTCCAATGTTCTCTTAGGCTCAAAACCTTTCAACAGAAGGCATAGCTCAATCTCTAAACCTGATAAAGGGGAGCGGCGGGCGGGGGGCAAGGGGAGGGAGAGCATTAGGACAAATACCTAATGCATGCGGGGCTTAAAACCTAGATGATGGGTTGATGGGTACGGCAAACCACCGTGGCACATATATACCTATGTAACAAACCTGTATGTTCTGCACATGTATCCCAGAACTTAAAGTAAAATAAAAAATAAATAAGAAAGAAAGAAAGAGAAAGAAAGAAAGAAAGAAAGAAAGAAAGAAAGAAAGAAAGAAAGAAAGAAAGAAAGAAAGAAAGAGAAAGAAAGAAAGAGAGAGAAAGGAAAGAAAGAGAGACGCCTGGTGTTGAGGTGGAGGAAAGGGGCCCCGCCTTTGCTTGGTTGCTTCTTTCTTAGCCTGGTTTCAGCCTAAATGCCACCTCCTAAATGAAGCCTTCCTAGATAACCCAGTAAATCAATTCCTACCCAACCTCTAACCCCATTACTCTCTAGACCAGAATCTTCCTTCTAGACTGTAAGCAAAGGGAGGCCAGGGCCAAGTCTGTTTTGTTTAATCTTGCACACTCAGTGCTCTCAGAAGCACTTGGCATTTGATAAGTGCTTGATTAAATATTTAAGAGCATCAAGAAGTAAATGTAGGCTGTAAGTAAAAGTATTCTTCTAGAAGCACTTTAAAATCATTTTATAAAGTCTTCACAAATTCCACAGACTGCCAGGATTTTTATTAGGATTGAATTAAATCTACACATCTCTTTGGAAGATGTAACATCTACCCTGAACTCCCCTGCAGGAGCCTGGTCACCTGTGTTAAGGCCCAGCAGGCAGCTGAGGATGTGTTATCAGTGAGTGTGGTCACACTTACAGGCTGTTGAAGAGGGGACTCTCTTCCCAGTCCACTGGCTTGGCTGCTACCATGCTGGGCACAAGGGCGCTGAGGACAGATGGGCTACAGAGAAGCAGAGAGATGGCCCGTGTTCCCATCTGGCTGCCCTATCAAGGGGTAAGCAGCAGAAAGGGTAGGTCAGGGGGATGAGAGGTGGCCTGTGGGGGTGGAGCCCACCTGACATAGAAGCCATGGTTAGGATCTGGCGTGTACTCGGTCCACTTCAGCAGCGCCCGCTCAAACTGGATGGAAACCTTGGTGACTGAGTTGGCCGGCAGCTGAATCAGCATCTCCAGGAGGTGGGGTTGCAGCCGGTCCTGGGCAGGCTGGTAGTGGATGTAACCTGGAGACATGCAAGGTCACCCACATCTCTTTCCTGGGGTCAGGCTACCTGCTGCCCCTGTCCCTGCTGCTTGCCATGGAGCCTCAATCTGGGTGCCTAGAAGATGGGCTTGGGAGCATAGAAGCCAGGCAGGCAAGGGAAGAAAGCAGGGGCTAAGAAAAGGGAGAGGATGTTTCCAGGGCAGTGATCCCAGGATGCGATCAAGAGAGGTTGTTAGGAGTGCTGCAGATGGCTAATCAATCTTCACATCACTACAACTGGGGCACCAGACACCAAGTGCCTGATGTGACGCAAGAAGAAGTTCACAGAACCACCTGGGAATTTTTCTTGCCAAAAATGTGGGACATGAATCTAATCAGGTTTCTAAATCTAACCACCAACACACAAGAAATATAGGAGAGGAGGGGTGTGTTAAACACTAGCACAAGGACAAACCCAGAATGTGGAACATTCTACACAACAAATGACCCAGTTTCTTCAACAAATAAATGACATTAAAAAAAAAAAAAAAAGGCATGGGCACTGCTACAGATGAAGAGAGACTGAAGAGTACCACACCAAAGACAAGACATTTATAATAAGGGACATTCTGGGTGTGGAGACAGGGAGTATATGGGAACTCTGTGCTTTGTGCTCAGTTTTTCTGTAAACCTAAAACTGCTCTAAGAATAGTCTAGTAATTTTAAAGAAAAAGAAACTTTTTTTTTTTTCGTGACAGGGTCTCACACTGTCGCCCATGCTGAAGTGCAATAGTATGATCATGGCTCACTATAGCCTTGACCTCCTGGGTTCAAGTGATCCTCCCACCTCAGCCTCTTGAGTAGCTGGGACTACAGGCGTGCAACACCACCCCCAGCTAATTAAAAACAATTTATTTTAATCCCAGCACTTTGGGAGGCCAAGGCGGGCAGATCACAAGGTCAGAAGATCGAGACCACCCTGGCTAACACAGTGAAACCGCATCTCTACTAAAAACAGAAAAAATTAGCCAGGCGTGGTGGCACGCGCCTGTAGTCCCAGCTACTCGGGAGGTGGAGGCAGGAGAATCGCTTGAACCCGGGAGGTGGAGGTTGCAGTGAGCTAAGATCGCGCCACTGCACTCCAGCCTGGGTGACAGAGTGAGGATCCGTCTCAAAAAAAAAAAAAAAAAAAAAAAAAAATTTTTTTTGTATAGGTAGGGGGAGCCTCACAATGTTGTCCAGGCTGGTTTCGAACTCCTGGACTCAAGTGGTCCTTCTGTGTTGGCCTCCCAAAGTGCTGAGATTACAGGTGTGCACCACTGTGCCCACCCAAGAGAGGAACTTAGTATAAAGCAAATGCAATGTGAGAACCTTGTTTATCCCAATTTAAACAAACCAATTATAAAAAGACATTTTTAAGACCACAGGGGAAAACAGAAGTGGTAATGATACGGTTACATTTTTAAAAATCCTTAAAGTATTTAAAGGTTAATTGATGCAATGTCTAAGATTTGCTTTAAGATATGCCAGCAGGCAGCGGCTTACACCTATAATCCCAGCACTTTAGGAGACTGAGGCAGGAGAATCGCTTGAGGCCAGGAGTTTGAGACCAGCCTGTGCAACATAACAAGACCCTGCCTCTGTGAAAAAATTAAAGGCATGGCGGTTCATGCCTGTAGTCCTAGGGAAGCGGAGGTAGGAGGATTGCTTGAGCCGAGCAGTCTGAGACTGCAATGAGCCATGATCATGCCACTGCACTCCGGCATAGCTGACAGAGCAACAGTCTGTCTCTTAAAAAAAAAAAAAAAAGGCTGCAGGGTGTGTACAGGGGATTATTACACTATTCTGTTTGGGTTTGGGTTTGAAATTTTCCAAAGGAGAAGATTTAAAAGAATAATAACAGAAAAACCTATAGAATATGCAGTTAGGATGTCTGAAATAGAGATTTTGAAGGTGGTACAAATAATGGTGCTGAAAATAAGTGAAACTATTCACCGTATGTTTGAAAATATAGGAATCAACTAAAGTACTGAAAGGTTTTTAAGTTTGGCCGTTTGGGATATGGTACAACCTCTTCCTCAGAGGTCTTTTACTTTACTACTAGTCTCCCCCTACACCAAAGAAAGGCAAGTGCTTTAGTGCTATGCCTGGCACCTAATAGGAAGCACTAATATTATCTTCTCCTTAGAAAAATAATAGAAAATAAAAATAAATTTTAATAAAAATAGAAATAAAAAAATTTAATTAACTGTACCTCTTTACCCCTCCCAAGGAAGCAAAACACCATCTACTCCAGCTCTGCTATCTTCCTAGCTTCAAAAGCCTAACGTTGCCAAACCCTTTCCCTACCTTAAAGAGTCTATGAATCATCACAAAACCCAATGCTCCAGAAAGGAGGCAAAAGTAAGTGAAAAAGGAAGCTACTGTCCTTGTACAGTCCTATTAAGAATCACCAGTATTATGTGTTTTAATTATTGCTGTTTTATAAATTACTTCTGAACCTGGCACAGTGAGGCTCCCGTTCCAGTTTTGAGAAACTATTCCTTACTCTTTATGCCTGTGTAGCTTTTCAGAGGTACTTCAGGAACTACCCTGGGAAATGAGAGTTTGGGGGACCTGGAGAGGACATGAGAGGGCGGGCTGGGGGCCTGGTTCAGGACTCAGGTCCTCACTTGGTTTGTTCTCCTTGCCCTTGGAGGTGATGGTGAGGGTGTGCACATACAGCCGCAGATACCAGGGTACGGTGTCCAGCAGCAGCACCGGGAAGGCCCGGTATGGGTGGGTGTTGTACAGCAGTGTGCTCAGCTCCCCCTTCTGCAGCCCATAGCCACTCACGTACCGCTGGGCATGCAGGAAGGGCACTGGGGGGGCCTCTGTGTAAAGAAATATCAACAGTTAACAGCTGCCAAAGGTAAGAATCACTCCCCACCCCACCTGCCCAGGCCATGTTCAGAGTCCCAAGCCAGTGAGTAGATGGGGAACAGCCCTGCCACTGAAACTGGGCAATCTGGGTTCTGGAATCATCCCTGTCTTCCCCAGCCAACAAGCGATGATGACAATAGGTTGCTAGTATTGAAGTGCTTACGTGACGAACACCGTGCCCCCTTCGAACCCAATCCAGGTCCTCTCAGGATATTCTGCTCTTTCCCTTGGTAAGGGAACTGAACACAACTGTAATTAATTAACTGACACCTGCCCTAGCTAGTAGACTTATATTTCTTGAGTGCAGTGTCCTCTGTCTTATTCAACACTCTATGCCTGGCACTTAGTATGAATTCAAAAGTATTTGGTTGATTAAGCAAATGCATGAACTAACTCCATTTTTCACATCATCTCATCCAATTTGCTAAGTATACTCTATTTTTCAGATGTGGATGCTGAAGCTTGGGGAGTTTAGGAACCTACCCAAAATCGTAGAGCTTGGAATAGCTACAGTCAGCAGCATATGACTCTGGAAATCTGGTCTAAATACAACCCAATCATCTAACGGCAAAGACGTGGGATTGTGAGTCTTTTCTCTGTAGCCGTTGCAACCCAGCAGTCCAACCAACCACCCACTCACCATTCTCTGGGGGTCTCTTCCACTTGAGCTGGATGTTGAGGTTTCGAGAGTTGTTGATCATGGCGGTGTCAAGCAAGTCATAGATGGCATAGGTCTTCCGAGTGCCTAGGATGACGTCCTGATATGTAGTGGTCGGGGGTGGGTGCACCTCTAATGTCTCGTTGTCCTGGGGACACAAAGGCAGGGCTAAGAAGCAAGCAGAGAGGGTAGGCTGGTCCTGGGGACCAGCGGTGTGTTTGTGTGTGTGGCTGGAGACCTTGTTACCTGGTTGTAGGTGGTGATGTCCACATAGACTCGGCTCTCTGAAGCCAGGGGGCAGGGCTCCGTGAGGGTTCGGGAGAACATCCGGAAGAGGGACCAGTCTGAGAAACAGAGCGCAGGGCTGAGCAGGGGCCAGGCCTAGGCCTAGTCCACATAGATAAGGCAGGGCTGGCATGGGTGGGTACAGATGAGTTGCCAAGGTAACTTACCTTTCTTTCCCTGCCCCGTGATGAAGGCATCAAATACAACTGACAGGGTCTGCCTCAGCTCCCAGGAGATGCTAGTACAGCGTGCATTCTATCACAAGGGCCAGATGGCAGCAGTGAGGGGGTATCACTCTCACCACACAGCCCCCAAAAAGACTCCTACTCAGACTCAATCCCTCATCTATGTATCTTCACATCCATCGATTTGCTACCACCCACTCCTGAGCACTTGACCTCGTGCCAGACCCCGTGCTGACAGCTGTATGTGCATCAGTTTGATAAACTATCACAACAACCCTAGGAGTGGATTCTACTATCAATGTCATGTGGCAGGGTGGGAAACCAAGCTCAGGGGAATGAAATGATTCACCCAAGGTTACGCCAGCTGGCAAGTGACTGAGCTAGCAATTGCACCCGCATAGCTATTGTTCTGAACCACTATTTTCCATGACAAATATTTATTCAGTGCTTGCTAGGCAACCACTGTTTTCTTGGTGCTTGGCCAATGCCCTGAATAACCGTCATCACATCTACCACTCAGTACTCACTCAGCCTGAGCCAGACACTGACCACATGCTTTACATGTACCTTCTCTGAGCCCCTGGATGGCAGCTTCCTCTACTCCCCATGACTTACTCTGCAAACAGGGCGGATATGCACTGCCTGGGAGTGGTAGCTGGTGTGGAACAAGCGATCTGCCTTCAGCAGCACAGAGAGGCCTGCCTGGAGGAGATGGAAAGAGATAAGAGAAGCCCTGTATGGAGCACTTGGCATGGGGCGCAGGTTCTCTATACACCCCCCGCCCCCGGCTGCCAGGCTCTGCGGCCTCACCTTGGAACTACAGGGCAAGAGCTTCTTCCAGGGGGTGAGGTTTTCGGTGCAGACCACCTCCCGCGGCAGCACAGCATAGCGCAGAAAGTAGTGGTCAGTGTCTGAGGGAGACAGAGGTCTGTCTGGGGTGGGCCTTGGGCTCTGACCCCTCGGGATCCACATTCCAGAGATGGGAATGACCCTCCTGCTCCCCACACCACCTCTAGCACCACAGTCTGGACAGTCCCAACTGGGAGTAGGACTCCCTTCTCTCCTTGGGAAAAGGCATGCAGAGATGGCACAGTATTGGGGGCCTGCACACACAGGGGACTTAGGATCTAGCCCAGGCTGAGGAAGCAGGAAACTGAGGGAAAAGGAGGCAAAGGTTTGGGCAGGAGGTAAGAGGAAGAAGGAAAGGGCTGTAGGGGTTATCTCACCATTGGCCAGACCCAGGGGTTTGAAGGAGGCAGTGGGAGTGACTGTGTTGGTGGAGTCGATGAAGTTGAGAGAGGCGCAGAAGATCCCTGAGAGGACATTACTGAGCTCCTTCCAAGATTTATCCACACTGGATAGAGACACAAATCCACTCACTGTCCTGGGGCTACCTCTGCTCCCTCTTTCAAAGTCCACAGCTGGCTGCTAAACCTATGATAGGAGGAGGCTGTATTCTTAACTATTAGACGGGCCAGTTGATGGAGCTGGAACATTGCTGCCCCCAGCCAGCCCACTTGCTGGGTCTCATCCTACTCAGCCCCTTCTTCCTCACTCTCCTCTGGACATCTCTGCATCCCCATGGGTCTCTGCTCAGGTGATTCTTCCTTCCTTGCAAGCCTTTGCTAACTTCTTTCTGCCTACCTTCATGATCCGGCTCCAGTGCTTACCTCCCCTCCACGAAGCCTTTCCTGCCCTCCTTAAGCACAGTCTCCTCTGTGCAGTCACGGTTCTGACCATCCAAGCATCTTACTAGGTCCCTCCTGGGAGATGGCTAGGTGGCAGCAGCATCGTGTCCTGACCACCTTTTCTCCCTAACTAGGCTGTAAGCAACTTGAGGACAAGGACCAGTCTGGGTCATCTATGTACTTCCCCTGACACCATGGAAAGCGCCTCATGTATCAGAGCTGAAATGAGCTCACTGATCTTCCTTGAATGTGCTGGGCTGGGCAAAACAATGCATACTACCCTGTGTATACTCTGGGAATAAAGGTAAGTCCTGATTCTACTATCATGGTGAGAAGTCTTATATCCAAAAAAGCTCACTGAACATGGGAAAAACAACTGTTCTAGGATTTCATAAAAACATCAAATTAAATTAATGTTCTTTTCTTGGAGAAATATCAAAAGAGATTTGCTCTCAGTAATAGAGAAAGCATAAAACTTAATAAGCACTAGAAAGAATTCTAAGCATTTGCTCCACATTTCAGGCAATTACGGGCTGAGGGAAGACAGTGACAGCAGAGTAGACAGGAAAGGGTAGGGGAGCCAGAGTTGAGGCAAGAGAGAAAGTCTTGGCAAGCTGGGGAGTTACTGCTTATTCCTTATTCCTTAGTGTTGTCCAGGAGCTTTTGATAATTCTATGTTCAGAGCTTTTCAACTGCTCCAATCCTTAAGCCTCAAATAAAAATGGCAAACTTGAAGCCGGAAAGCTCTACTCAAACCATAAACATGCTTCATTTGGTATGCACAACATTGACCCGCACAGCACTCAAAAAATTTTTAAATTACTTGCTGATATTTGAATTTGCCAATTTTCACATTAAATTCCAGATTTCTGGTATCTCTTGAAAAATGAGGCCAGGTGTGGTGGCTCTTGCCTGTAATCCCAACACTTTGGGAGGCTGAGGCAGGAGGATCGCTTGAACCCAGGAGTTCGAGACCAGCCTGGGCAATATAGTGAGACCTTGTTTCTACAAAAAATTTTTAGAAACATTTGACTCTGACCACATTAGGCCTCTATTCCCACATGGCAACAATCCATAGAAGCTGAGTGGCAGAGCTGTCCTCGTTAGAATGTCACACAAACTCTCTAGCCTGCCACAATTCCTGCTGCTCCTTTTTATTGCCCTAAAACTTGTTATATCATACTTGCACTATTGATTTCTTATAGTGGGATTAAGAGGAAAATGAGATATATTTCTCATTCCTGTGTTTGTCAATTTTAAAAATACCTTTATTCATTCCTTACCTGTGTGGCCCATGTAGACCTGTTTGCAACCACTGCACAGAAAGGTTCTATTCTAAACAGGATAGCCACAGCAGCCACTGGGAAATAGCGGTTTGTAGTAGGCACAGTAACTAGACCTGCCCCCTCCCAAACAAAAGCAGTTCCTCTAACACTGTGATGTAGCATCCTGTTGGCCAGTTGTAACCCACAGATATGTTATGGTTGGCTTTCGTGGTATTTATTATCATTTAAAAAATATTAATGAATGCCTTTTAAAAGGTTATCCAGTTGCCAGTTTTCTACTGCCTTACCTCCAAATAAGCATTAATTGTTTGCTATTTGCCTCTCCAGGGATATGCATGTGCTACCTCAGGTCTGAAAGTTTTAGGATTGGGAAGTTTATTCATCTGTGGTAACATTTCTTACTTCCAATGCCAGCTCTACCCCCATGGAATCGCTGCCTACTGGAAGTGCTGTCCCCAAGAGCAGTGGCAGGATGACAACACTCTCCCAGCCACATTCCCTCCATGGCCTGCAACAGGGCCCAAGGTGTGCACTCACTCAGTGACAGTGTCTTGGAACCAGACCCACAGCTCTGCACCTGATGGGGCCTGCAGGAAGGGTGGCCCCCAGTATCGGGTCCTCCAAAAGCCTTGTGTGAATGACAGGTGCAGCTCCCGTAGAGAATACTTGGAGATCAGCTGCCCCAGGGCTTTGGGAAAGAGCCTGTAATGGGACACTGGGGAAACGGGAGCAGGTGAGTGACGATCCCCACCTCGTCGGGGTCCACACCCAGGATCCCGAACTCTACCCAGGAATTAGGCCCCGCCCCCAAAGTTTGCCTTCATCCCACGGCCGGCCAGCCAGCAGGCACTACGGAAATCTTTCCCTGGTCAGATCTCGCGCCCTCACCTCCTTCCCGCTGAAGCTCCGAATCCCAGCGCGTGCGGAACTGGAATGTGGCGGCTACGTCCCCGGAAGGCAGCGGGGTGATGACAAGTTCCTCCCGCAGGCTGTCGCGTGGGGGTTCTGCAAGGCACCAGCCGCCGGGCCCCAGGAGCAACAGGACGAGCAGAGCAAGCGGCATAGCCGCCGCCATGCCTGCGGCTACTTCCGCCTACCCAGCGGCGCTCGGCCCCATGAAAAGCCGGTATCCAATAAGAAAGGCGTGTGAGAAGTGACTTCCGCTGTCGTCCCGGAAACCGGGATGCGGTTATCAGAGCGACCGCCTGCGCAGGTCGCGAAGATTCCCTCAGAGCTGGTGGGTCTAAGGGGGTACTGGGAGGACACGAGAGGGAGTAGGCAGGGCGAGTAACCAGCTTGAGGCCGCACCTAGTTCATGGCGTATTCCACCCACCAGGAAATGCTTAATAATATGAAGCTCCTTCACTGCCATTTTACCCATTTGATAGTTGAGGAAACATTGACTGAAAAAGATCAATTACTTTTGGGAAAACCATTGTGGTTTTAATTTGCATTTCCCAAAGTAAGAGGAACCTCCTGCCCCTCTTAGCTTCTAGTGTCTCCATTTGCTGCAAAACCCCCAAATAAGTGGTTCTTTTATTACGAAAATGTTCAAACAAAATTGAAAGAATGAGCACCTGTTACAATAAACCTATTTTCCACCACCTAGATTCTACTATTTACATTATACTATACTTGTACTTTACCACATATTTGTCTATACATCCATCATTCCATCTTGTGTTTTGGTGCACTTCAAAGTAAATTGCAGACATTAGTACACTTTCCTTTAAGTAGTTAAGCATGCATATAATTAACTAGAGTTCAGTATTCGATTGCATTTTGATGTAAAATTCACATACAGTGAAATGCACAAATCCAAAGTACACATTCACTGAGTTTTGACAAATGCACACACCTATGTAACCCGAACTCCTATCATGATACAGAACATTCCTAAAACCCCAGAAAATTAGCAATACCCTTTCCTAGTCAATCCCTGCTCCTCTATCACCTTCCAGAGGCAGTTAGTACCCTGATTTTTTCCCACAATAGATTAATCTGTTCCAGAACTAAATATAAATGAAATCATATAGTATGTATACTGTGTAAGGCTTTTTTTTTTCTCATGGGAAGAATGTTTTTGAGAATCATCCATGTTCTTGCATGTATCCACAATTCTTTTTATTACTGCGTAGTATTATTAATTTATCCATTCAACTCTTGATGGGCACTTTTAAAGTTTTTGGTTATTATTAACAAGGCTGCTGTCTGTGCAAGCTCCTTTGTAGACGTATATTTCTCATATCCTTTGGCCAGGTATTTAAGAGTGGAATTGCTGGGTCAGAGAGCAGGTGTATGTTTAATTTTATAAGAAACTGTCAGACCTTTCTCCAAAATGTATCATTTTATGTTTCCATAAACTATGAGTCTCCATTGTACCACATCCTGGTCAGCATTTGAAGTTTCTAATTTTTTGTACTTTTTAGTTTTGACCACTTGGGTATGTATGTAGTGTTTGCTCATTGTGGTTTTAATTTGCATTTCCCTGGTAACTAAAAATGTTAAGCATCTGTTCATGTGCTTATTTGCCATTTATTTTTTAATTTAATTTTTATTTTTTTGTGAAAGGTCTGTTAAAGTCTTCTGCACCCTCACCCCTTTGTTTACTGGCTTGTCTTTTTATTGACTTTTTCGGAGTTCCAAAGTTAAAGTCATGCTTTAGTTTTTCCACCTGCCCTATGGGAAACACATTCATGAAGGATTTCATGAACAGTCTCTTGGTGACACTCATGACCACACTTCTAGAAAGAGCCAATTTGGTGTCAGGCAGGTCTGCCAAGATATGCGCCAACCAACCAGACATTTCCAGAAAGGAAATGTCAGAAAGATGTCTTTATCTCATTATGCCTTCATTCTGCCTGCATTCAGTGTTCCTGCCCCATTAGACACGAAATATTAGGAAGGCCATGGGCTTAGATGTCAGAAAGACAGGAGTCCAAATCCCTATGCCAGCCTTTAATCCATATGAGCATGATCAACCCAAGTGTCACTTTTCTTCATTTGTATAATGAAGAAACCTACTTTCAAGGTTGTTGTTAAGATGAGAAATTATGTACATGTAGGATATGGAATGTAGCAAGTGCTTAATAGTAACACTCAACCCTGTCACCTAGGCACTAATATGTAAATGTAGATAATAGTGCCTAAGTGATAGGGTTGCTTGAGTGTTATTATTAAGAAGTACATAAACTAAGATAATAAAGATTACAATGAGTGATGGAGCTAGGACTATAGTCTACACTATCAAACCTCAAAATAATACTTTTTTAAAGGTAGCTGCCATCATTATGACTATTTTGTACTTCTCTGTTTTCCTTTTGAAATTGCCCATCTCCATCATTCAGGACCCAGCCACCTCTAGTGAAGACTTACCTTCTCCTCCTCTAGTGGTCTACAGGCTTCATGTACTTCTGCTACATCTCTCATCACATTGTTTCCATTACCTGTGTCTGTGTCTGCTCCTGGAAGAGCTCATGGTCACCTTAGTATTTCTGTTGCCTAAGCAAGGTGACTGTCACATAGTAGGTGCTCAGTAATGTGTGAATGAATGAACAAACAAGATGACATCATAGCACAGTTCTGTATTTTCCCTACTCTGCCATGCTGTTCAGTGTCAAGTTCTGTGCACTCCTGGGGTTGCTACAGTGTAAGCCTTCTAAGGAAACTTTTTCTGAGCTGTGGTGCCTCCTTTCCGAAGTGTGTCAGGATGTCCACCCTATGACAAGTCCGTGCAAATATCAGAAGCCACGCTGTAGCTTGGAGACTGAAAGCTGGGCTCCTTGACTTAGAGTTGGCTCCAGATCTTCCTCCCACCTCCAAAGGCACTGTGTGGCCTCAAAAACCAGACAGCTAGGCTCTGGGCTGCCATAAACCACGGTTTAACTTTAATGCAACACTATAATCAAATGGTGAATCTGAAGATTATCATTTTTTTAAAAAGTGACCATATTGAATATGGTGTTTTATAGTCTACTCTTTCTTTCAAGAGTTATCATAAATGTCTTTCCACTAAAAATATGTGGTGGGTAGATGATACAATCTTGGTACTATTTTGATGATTTTTTAAGCTGTATGATGAGAACCTGGGATATTTTTCTTTCTATATTTGTTGTACGTTTGAAACCCCCATAAGTTTTTTTAAAAAAACAAAGAAACAAAAAACAGTCAGCTGGAGATGATGGTTCTGAAGGCCAGCCAAGCCCCTGTGGTTCGGCAGGAGAAAAGGTTATTGTCCCAACTAGGAAGTAGTCCTGGGGTCTCAGCTGACACTAGACTTTTCCAGGCAGGGCTGGGGCTCATAGCAGCCAAACTGAAGGCTCCCCATAGGCTCAGAAACAATTCTACTTCTCTAGAGGGCTGTAAATCCCTCTCTCAAGGCAGGCTCCCCACAATCTTCGCATCATGTGCCTGGGCTACTAAGAGATTTATTGACATGTTGACGGCAACCAAGCCAGTCTAGCTTCTCATCGTTCACCATGGAAGGAAGGGGGGTGATCCTGGGAGCTGAGAAGCCCTGCACAGCAAAGCTATTGGGATCATGGGCCGCAGCCCAAGAGATGGCTCAGCCACAGTCAGACAGGAGGTAGATAGAACCTTGCTACTCTAAAGGAAGGAAGGAGAGAAGCCACAAGAGGACAGAGATTATGTCTTCTATGTGCAGCAAGGTCATAAGCAACCCAGAAAAACCCCAAAAGTTAATAGAGGACTGGGCCCTGGCCCAGCTCAGTGGATGATCTCAACTTGGACCTAGAGGCTTTTGCACAGAAGGTATTCACTCCACAAGCTTCCTAGAGACAGGGAATGGCTGGTGGACACTCCTACTTCCCTGGAGTTCCCACAGGTTTCTCACTAGTGTTAGGAAAAACACTTAGGAACAGATACTTACACTGGCCTCCTGCAGGGGTGAGAGCAGGATGGGACAATAGGAAGACTGCAGCCTTGTCACTCAACCTTGGGTGGCACAAAAAGCTTTAGGATTTTGGCTGAAGGTCACTGATCCCATGGGTGATGTTCAATGTATGAAGGGAGGTGGACTGATTTTTTTTTTTTTTTTTTGAATGTGAGAAATGAGTTGATGTTCCTTAAGACTGGGTCCTATAACCTCTTCTTTCATTCAGCATTCTCTCCCTGGGCATTCTCTCCTGTCATTCGCACCCATGGCTTCACTTACCACCTATACACTGAGAACTGATCGTTTTCTTTTTCCAGCTCAATCCTCTTATCTAAATTCCACATGCATGGGTGCAAGGGCCTACTCAACATATCCTCTTGGATGTCTCAAAGACATCTCAAACTCAACATGTCCCAAACCAAATTTATGGCCTTCTTCTCAAACCTGGTCCTTTCTGAAACTCCCCATCTGGGTGACTAGCCCTCTGTTCCAAAAAGGATGTAAGGAGCCAGAATGGCTGGAGTACCCCCTCACTTGACATGCCAAGGAGTTCACGTCTATCTGGAGACACTGATTTGAGAGACTCTGCTGGAAGACTATAGGATGGTTGGCCAGGTGCAGTGGCTCACGCCTGTAATTCCAGCACTTCGGGAGGCCAAGGTGGGTGGATCACCTGAGGTCAGGAGTTCGAGACTAGCTTGACCAATATGGTGAAATCCCGTCTCTACTAAAAATACAAAAATTAGCCTGGCATGGTGGTGTGCGCCTGTAGTCCCAGCTACTCGGGAGGCTGAGATGTGAGAATTGCTTGAACCTGGGAGGCGGAGGTTGCAGTGTGCCGAGATCGTGCCATTGCACTCCAGCCTGGGCGAAAGAGTGTGACTTCATCTTGGGGGAAAAAAAAAGAACTTCCAAAAATTTCTTCCTAAATGGGAATAGACTGGCTGTGCCCTCTTTGCCCATCCCCCATTTCCTCTCCTGCTTTCTGCCAGTCTCAAGGTCATGATGGCTGGGGCTTTGACAGCCACCTTAGATGTGAGATATTGCTAAGAATGCAAACCATGTGCAAAAGAGCAAAAAAGGAGCCCAGTGCTGAGTAACGATGGAGCTTTCATGTAGACCTGTACTTTTTAACTTCTATATGAGGAAATAACTTTATATCTTAAGTCATGATCTTTTACTAGCTGTCAAACTGAAACCTGATCCAGGCTTCAACGGATTTTACAACCTGACCTTTGTCAGTCTTAACTCTCCCTTCATTTCCTCAAATCCAACAATTCAGCCAAACGCAATGTTTTTTAGCTCCTCAAGGATATGCTCTCTCCGTTTAAAGTCTTCACGAGCTGCTCGTTCTGCCTGGCTTACGGACTGTGCCTGGCTAACTCCCAATCGTCCTTCAGCTAAAAACAGCTCTTCAGTGACCATAGAAACTAGGTTAACATGCCCCTATTTTCTGGTACCAGAGTAGTTCCTCATCATGCTATTTATTACACTGTGAATTGTAGTATTTACTTGATTTTCTCCTCCATAAACAGTAAACTCTATGAAGGCAGGTATACAGTACAGCCTGTCTTGCTCAAAACTGTATTCCAGATGCCTAGCATGGGTGTTCCATAAACATTTCTTGAATAAATGGAATGAGTGAGTGATAGGAATATGGGATCGGTTAGAGAGCTAAAGACATGTAGTGGGTTTGATATCTTTGCAATATGAAAAATGAAGTCGAATGGTTGGCATATTATTATTAGTTTATTATTTATACCGTGCTCTGTTCCAAAAAGGATGTAAGGAGGCAGCATGGCTTGAGTACCACCTTACTTGATGAGTTAAGGAGTTCACATCCATCTAGAGACACTTGTCTGAGAGACTGTATTAGAAGACTACGGGATGGTTTAGGGGAGGGAAGAGTGCTAAGAAAAGCAGTGGCATCTTGTCCAACCTCATCTTCTCTCTCCTCATTTGCAAATCATATCTCAGGAGTAAGCCAAAAACTGGTGGGAGGGTTGCAGCAGGAAAAAATTAGCAGTAAAGCAGGAGAGGGTTAATTCTTAGAAAGGTACACAATCCCACCATCCTTCCCACCTCTGGTGCCTACTGCAAGTAAAGAGTCTGGTCTTCTCCCGACAGGCTCTGGCTGGGCCTGTGGTCTCATGTGGAGAATAGCCAGCGTGGTCAGTCTGTAGGCAGGGGCCCACTGCTAGCTGCAGGCTCCAGGCTCTGCCCCTCCATCACCCCTTTCCTCCTCTTCATCCGACTGTGCCAAGGGCGTATCTGCTCCATCATCACTTGGATTTGGGCTATGCAGGTTGGTGGAGGAGTCGGAGGAGGAGGAGGAGGAGGTCCTAGATGTGGTCCTGTCTGATGTAGGCACCGGCAGGCTCAGCTCCTCCAAATGGTTGTCCATCCCTGCCCAGAGAGAAAAGCTGGTCAGGCCACAAACAGGGCTTCAGAGAACTCTTAAAGATTATCTGGCCAGGAGTAACTAAAGTCCACAGTGGGGCAGAGACTTGTCCAAAGTGACTTTGCCAATCCAGCAAAGAGCCAGGATTAAGATCACCATCTCCTGACTGCCAGCTCCTTCCACGTCATTACACCATGTCTGGGATCTACAGTCAGGTCAATGAATGGCAAGAGTTCAAGTTCCACCTACATCACTTATTGCTGCTGAGTGGCTTTGAGCAAGTCACTTTCCCTTTCAAGGACTCTGTTCCTCCTCTGCAAAATAAAAGGGATACCTACATCCCCAAAGGGTTTTGGGAATAAAACCTAAGAATGCTTATAAAATGTCTGGCATAGTAAGCCATCAATAAATAGTAGCAGTTTTAATTAAAAGAATATCTATCTTACAAGTTAAGCATATGGGCTTTGGAGTCAGACAGACATGAATTCCAGTTTATCTACCTTCTGGCTACAATGTGACTTAACTTCTCTGAGCCTAATTTCCTGCTTATAAAATAGAGATTATATCACCTACCCTGACAGGACGTTGTAAGGATTGAGATAATATATGTAAAGTACTTTAGTACAGTATTGGAACCTACTAAAGTACTCAATACATATTAATATCATTATAATGACTAAAACTACTTAAGTTGCCAAATATAAAAATTACAATTTTACATTATTTTAATTATAGTGACTAATTATATTAATATAACAAATGTAAAATTAAAGAAGAGATTGACCGTTCCCAGAATTTTGGATTAGAGATGTGTAACCCAGTTCTCCCTCAGGGTCAACTTCCCTAAAATCAGAACAGGCAGCTGTTTCATTGGTAGAAACACCCACTTCCAGCCCTTACTTGTGTACTTCCCCAGCCCAGCCTTGTAGCCTCGTTTCAGAGCCTGACATCCGGCTCTGGCTGACTGGCACTGAAGTCCCCAAAGCAGAGGGGCATACCAGACGACTGGGGGGTTGGTGGAGGATCTTCGCAAGGCAAGAACACATCTGCTGCATCCGGGTCCCCAAGGTCAATAAGTTCTACTTGCTCCAGTGTGTCCACATTCACTTCCATGGATGAGATACTACCTATGGGGGCTGCGGATCAAGAAGTGGGCAAGTCAGGAGGACCCAAGCTGCACACCAGGACAGTGAGAGTTACATGTCAGGTCCCAAGTTAGAAGCATAGAGGGCCAAGAAAACCAGAGGGGAGAGAGTGCCACAAGATTCAGGACCCACAGGACATCCTCCCTACCCTACCCCAGTCCCTCTTCTCAGGACTTGGGACTTACGTCTCTGCGACTCGAGATGCAGATGGGACAGAGGAAAGACAAACTCTGTCTCTGGCTGTAAAATGTCCTCGAAGAATTTTTGCCGCTCCCGAAGGCGGAGCTGCTGGCGCTCCAGGGCGGCCCGAGGATTTGGGTCCATGTCAGCTCCTGCGGGTAGAGGAGCAAAACAAGTACAGCTGCAAAGTCGAAAGAGAAGACAGAGGGGACCTGGGCTTGGGGCGCCCCACTGCAGCCAGCATCCCAACAGTGGGGCCCCTGGCTCCGGCCTGGACACCTCTGCCCTTGGTGACCTCTTTCCCCTTCCCTGAAACCAAGTGTGTCCCACAAACCAAGTCTCATGCAGAGGCGGGGCTTGCCCTAAGCTCCACAAAGGGGATGCCAGTTCCAGGCACCACAAGAGAGATACTCTGTATTCAGGGAACACAGCCAATGCCCAACTCTCCATATCATGCCCTCCTGAGAGGGGTTGGAGGGATTGGTTCAGCACAAATGGAGGAGGTACGTTTTCCCCTTAATTGGCCCCGCTTGCCTCAGAAGGCCAGGGACAGGATAGGATAGAGACAGAGATCTCAGGGTGGAGGGTTCCCTTCCTCCAGTGCTGCAGCCCACCCCTTCCCATCCTTCAAAACCCAGACAAAGGCTAAAGCAACTCCTCCCGCGCCCCTCCTTTTCTCTCCACCCACACAAACACGTACACACGCATGTGCCATCTACCCCAAACCCTTGCTCTGAAGTCACAGGCCTGACTTCCAGACTAGGCTCTGCCCCTAAGGAAATCACCTTTCTGGTCTTAGTCTCCCCATCTGAAAATGGCATAACCAACCTACCTGCCTCAAATACAAGACCCTGCTTGTGAAGGTGAGCTATTTAGGAGACTACCATCTTTCCTTTGAACTCCAACAGCTCTTTATGCGTCCCCCTCCTGGGACACATCTCACTGACTTATCTCCCCATTAGTCAGTGAGGAGCAATTGGAAAGGCGGGTTCTGGGTCCAGTTCAGAGCAGGCCTCCTGACCCCTAGGGCTGAGAAGCTGAGACCCTGCCAGAGCACTGAGGCTATGGGCCAGCCCAGGTCGGTGCATTCATTCCCATTCGCTCATCTCCTTCCCGGCGTTCTGCTCTGAGCCCATCACCAGAGGCAAGGGAGTTTCTAGCTTGAGGATCAGACGTCATCCTCCGCAGACTGCCTTCCCCACCTCATCTGCACCCAGCGTATCCCAGACCCTGGCCAGCTCCACGGGCGCCACAGAGGTGGAGAGGGACCCAACCCCGACTGGCCAAGGCAGGGCCACGGAAGTCTGGGGAGACCGTGCGGCCGCGGGCTGGCGGCGGAGGAGCGAGGCGCTGACGCCGATTCCCGGGAAAGGCTCTTAGAGCTGCCGCCCAGGTCACAACGCTAAAAATACCCAGGGCCCCTGGAGCCTGTGCTCCAGCAGCGAGGAGGGGGAGGGAGAGGCCAAGGTGGGGGAGCTGACGGGGGCCAGGGGCTCTGGGACACCCCCTCTCTTTTCCCCTCCCCCTAACCCCACCGATCTCACGAGACTGAAGGAGCTGTCCCCCGGGGGGCCGCGGAGCCCAGAGCTGGAGAAAGGGAGTTGTTTACGCGACCTATAGGTACTGGAAAGGGGGTGAAGAGATTTGGGGGCAGGAGGCTGCCAGGGGCCGGGCAGGAGCCAGCGAAATGGAGAACTCCCTCTCGGTCTCAGCCCCACCCGCACTGGAGCCAGCAAGAGGGAAAAAATTCCCTAAAAAGGGACACGAGGCGTCGGCGGAGGACGGGGGGAGGGCGCTCCCCCAAGGCCGTTCCCCTCGTGCTCCGGTCCCCTCCGCGGTCCACCGCGGCACCTGCGCCCACCGCCGCCGGAGCCCCTACCTGCAGCGCTGGCGCCCCCTCTGACTCAGTCCGTCCGCTCCAGCGAGGCCGCGGCGGGGGCGTGGGAGCGAGCCGCGCCGGCCGGGGTGGGGCTGCGCCTCCAGGGCTCCCGGGGGACCGACGGGCCCTGGGAGCCGGGAACGAGGAAGAGGCGGGAGGCGGAAGTGGGGGAGGGGCGGTGGCGGGCTCACTCGCTCGCAGCTCGCCCGGCGGTCGGAGGCAGCCCCTGCGAGCGCGGCTACTGGTACTTCCAAGGCGGTCAAAAAGTTACCCGCACCCATCCTTCCTCCCTCCGCCCAGCCGGACTCCTCTGCACCACCCTCGCCACCGACGCCGGTGCGCTAGTCTCCGCTCGCTCGGATGCACTTGCTGCGCCCCCGCCCCGCGCAGACCCGCGGCGGGCGCCCGCGCCGGTTCTGCCCACGCACACTTGATGCTCTGCGCCTTTTGGGCAGCGCCCACGCAACGACTACGCACCCGAACCCTGCCTCCGGCACCCTTGGCCACACTCGCCACACTTACACGCGCGCACTTCTCCAGAGGACGCACGATGGGAAAGAGAGAGTTGGGACCCGCAGGAGGGGGCAGGGCACTGACCCGGTGCCGCCCAGCAGGGCAGGTGCAAGGCGGCGGAGGACCCCTGCCCTGGGACTCGCCCGGCTGCCCCTGATTCCTGGCTCTGGGACTAGACAGAGCCGCCGCCCAACCTACCAAGCACACTGGGCGGGGTGGGCGCCGGGCCGGCCGGGCGGGTCAGAGCTGGAAGGGTGGGCCGCTACGCCGCGCCCCCCGACGCCGGCAAGGAGCCAGCACCTCCACGGTGCTAAGAGGGGCGCTGCGCTGCTGGCCAGGCGGGGGTGGAGGGGCGAGGCGGCAACTGCGAGAGGAGAAACGTTTGCCCTCTTTTCGCAGCGTCTCCTGGCTCAGACCAGTGCTAGAAGTGTCCAGTCTAGCAGCTCCTGGACCAAGACTCCGTGGCCATTCCCTTCCTCCTGCCTTCCATCCACCCCCTTACGGTCAGAGCTCCGAAGGCAGCGTGGTGACGGGTGCGGGGAGGGGAGTGGGGGGATCTCTCTGAGATACTTCTGCCTTGGGGTCACTGGA